>NC_000011.10:47332727-47635757 GCF_000001405.40 Homo sapiens | reverse complement strand
GGAGATCCATATTTCCAGTTGATTAATGAGTAGAAGTTAACTGAAGATTTGCAGCTTAAAAAAAAAAACAAAAACTTTAAAAAAAACTTCAGCTAATTTACTTTCTGTCAGTAGAGTTTTCATTTTATGTCTTCTTTCACATGACACTGTAATAACCCTAATCATCCTTTTTCTTTTTTTCTATAGCATTACCAGGAGAGTGACAAGGGTGAGGTATGTTGGAGCTGATTTCTAAGCATGAGGGCCTTTCCCTTGCAAGTTGTTACTGCTTTTGGGGCCTCTTTTGGAGAAAAGCCAAGTAGTCAGTCTCCTATTCATCTCAGTGAGTGTTGTCCTATGGGGTGGCCACCAGTTTGGACAGTTCTGTTTGAAACCATCAGGATGGCTGGGCATGGTGGCTCATGCCTGTAATCCTAGCAGTTTCGGAGGCCAAGGTGGGAGGATCACTTGCATCTAAGAGTTTGAGACCAGCCTGGGCAACATAGACCCCTTCTCTACAGAAAATCAAAGATTAGCGGGGCCTGGTGGCACATACCTCTGTATCTCAGCTACATGGGAGGTTGAGGTGAGAGGATCACTTGAGTCCAGGACGTCAAGACTGCAGTGATCCATGATCACATCACTGCACTCCGCGTGAGTGACAGAGCGAGACCCTATCTCAAAAGAAATAAAAACCGTCAAGATCGGCCGCCCATGGTGGCTCATGCCTGTAATCCCAGCACTTTGGGAGGCCGAGGCAGGTGGAGATCACGAGGTCAGGAAATCGAGACCATCCTGGCTAACACGGTGAAACCCCGTCTCTACTAAAAATACAAAAATTAGCAGGGCGTGGTGGCGAGCACCTGTAATCCTAGCTACTTGGGAGGCTGAGGCAGGAGAAGCACTTGTACCCAGGCGGTGGAGCTTGCAGTGAGCCGAGATTGTGCCACTGCACTCCAGCCTGGGCGACAGAGCGAGACTCTGTCTCAAAAAAAAAAAAAAAAAAAAATCAAGATCTCTATTTTCTTTGATTTTGATTTCCAGGAGTTAGGACCTGGAAATGTACAGAAAGAAGTCTCATCTTCCTTTGACCACGTTATCAAGGAGGTAAGAGATGAATTACATCCTGTGCTGTTTGCCCAGATCAAACTGTGGTGTTGCAACTATGGAATCAGAATCATCAGGCCTGTGTGTTCAGTGTCTGTTCCCAAATGAAATTAAACCTTCAAATTAATTTGGGCTTTACTACATGTATAACATTAAAAAGAGAGAGGATCAGTGCTTGCTGTTCAGAATAGATGCATTTCAAGAAAACTCATTTTGCCCACACATTCCGTCTTTAGAATACTGAAAGTCTTCTAATAGTGTTGAAAACCTCAGGAATAAAAGTGTTAAAATAGGCCAGGTGTGGTGGCTCACGCCTGTAATCCCAGCACTTTGGGAGGCCAAGGCAGGAAGATCACTTGACCCCAGGAGTTAGAGACCAGCCTATGCAACATAGTGAGACTTCCTCTCTACAAAAAAAATAGAAAAATTAGCTAGGTGTGTGGTGGCACATATCTGTAGTCCCAGGTACTCGAGAGGCTGCGGTGAGAAGATGACTTAAGCCCAGGAAGTTGAGGCTGCAGTGAGCTATGATTGTGCCACCATACTCCAGCCTGTGTGATAGAGCAAGACCTTGTCTTTAGAAAAAAGTATTAAAATAGCGACCAGGCCCTTTGTATGTTGGATAGTATCTATGCAGAAAGGCTCTTTTGACATTTTTCTGACTCTGAAAAGTTCCTCATCACCCATTTCCCACCCCCATATGCTGCCATAGGTGTTTCTGTGCCTGGCTTTCAGAACTATTCTCTTATTACTTAAGTCTTCACATTGTCTTAATTGTCATTAATGAAGTCACAATTATCCAGGAAATGCAGCCATCCAAAATACATATTCCAAAGGCTGGGCGCAGTGGCTCATGCCTGTAATCCCAGCACTTTGAGAGGCCGAGGCGGGCGGATCACCTGAGGTTGGGAGTTGGAGACCAGCCTGACCAACATGGAGAAACCCCGTCTCTACTAAAAATACAAAAATTAGCCAGGCATGGTGGCGCATGTCTGTAATCCCAGCTACTTGGGGGGCTGAGGCAGGAGAATGGCTTGAACCCGGGAGGCAGAGGTTGTAATGAGCCAAGATTGCACCATTGCACTCTAGCCTGGGCCACAGGAGTGAGACTCCATCTCAAGAAAAAAAAAAAAAAAAAAAAAAAATATATATATATATATATATATTCCAAAACAAACATTACTAAAGGTCTGGAAACCAGATAAATTAGCTCTATTTTCTGTAAATTTTCATGAAATTAGTTTGCTTAAAAGCAGGGATACGGCCGGGCGTGGTGGCTTACACCTGTAATCCCAACACCTTGGGAGGCCGAGGCGGGCAGATCACGAAGTCAGGAGATTGAGACCACCCTGGCTAACACGGTGAAACCCCGTCTCTACGAAAAATACAAAAAAATTAGCTGGGCATGGTGGCAGGCGCCTGTAGTCCCAGCTACTCGGGAGGCTGAGGCAAGAGCATGGCGTGAACCTGGGAGGTGGAGCTTGCAGTGAGCCAAGACTGCGCCACTGCACTCCAGCCTGGGAGACAGCGAGACTCCCTCTCAAAAAAAAAAAAAAAGCAGGGATACATGTATTACTATGCAATTAGTATTTTCCTTAGTTTGCCCATCCAGTCCCATAGGATCTTATGCCCTTGGAGAAGGGGTGAGGGCTGTCTTAAAACTCAGTGACTAGGCCGGGTGTGGTGGCTCACACCTATAATCCCAGCACTTTGGGAGGCTGAGGCGGGCAGATCACGAGGTCAGGCATTCAAAACCAGCTTGGCCAACATGGCGAAATCCCATCTCTACTAAAAATACAAAAAAAATTAACTGGGCATGGTGGTGTGTGCCTGTAATCCCAGCTACTCAGGAGGCTGAGGCGGGAGAATCACTTGAACCTGGGAGGTGGAGGTTGCAGCAAGCTGAGATCGCACCACTGCACTCCAGCCCGGGCAACAGAGCAAGACTCTGTCTCAAAAAAAAAGAAAAGAAAAAACTCAGTGACCATAAAGATACTGTTTAAATGCAAAAGCCGGCCAGGCACGGTGGCTCATGCCTGTAATCCCAGCAGTTTGGGAGGCCGAGGCGGGCGGATCATGAGGTCAGGAGATCGAGACCATCCTGGCTAACACGGTGAAACCGTCTCTACTAAAAAATACAAAGAAAAAAAATTAGCCGGGCATGATGGCGGGTGCCTGTAGTCCCAGCTACTTGGGAGGCTGAGGCAGGAGAATGGCGTGAACCCGGGAGGCGGAGCTTGCAGTGAACCGAGTTCGCGCCACTGCACTCCAGCGTGGGTGACAGAGCAAGACTGTCCTAAAAAAAAAAAAAAAATGCAAAAGCCAATGGTAGACCTGCTTACATTTGCAATCCCAGAACCTAAATGCAAAGATTATAATTTAATTTTCTTTATTACTTCCTTACAGAGCCCTAGAGTAGAAAGATAAACTAGGAAAAACACAGCAGCTCTAAGATACTGCACAGTTACTGGGTTGTAGTCACAAAACAAAATTGTTCTCTTCTCCCAAAAATGTGAGTAGAGACTAAATGGAGCCTGTCATTTATCTAGAATGATGTCAGACTCTCCAAAATCACTTACCAATAAGAGAGCAACTTAATAATCTCAATAAAGGCCTCATATTTTTTATTTCAGCTTAATGACTTTGTTGGTGACCTTTCCTGTTTCTTTATTTTTTTCTCTTACCTGTAAAATTGAGAAAACAACAGAAGCCTGCTTTGCAGAGAAATTTTGAGAAGTAACTATAATAGAACATTGAGATCCATGAGTGAAAAGTATGATAAAATGACAATGAATGAGATCTTTCACATCCCATTCAAACTCTTCTTGACTCCAGCCAGGGCAGGAGGGCTGTGTCATTCACTTTCTTATCCTATACCACGATATCCACCCACATTCCTTCTCACAGGCATTTGAGTGTCATTTGTTTAGATTTCAGAAGTGTGTGTTGATTGTTTCTAGACAACTCGAGAGATGATCGCTCGTTCTGCTGCTACCCTCATCACACATCCCTTCCATGGTATGTTTGCAGTTGACAACTGACCTTTCTTTTATAACCTGATCTCTCCTGACCACTTAGATAGGTTGACGTGGGAGTTGACTAAAATGCCTTGCCTGCATGTTTTTGTTTGCTTGCTTGTTTTGGCTTTTATCCAATTTATCCAGATAGCAAAATGTCTTTAGGTGGAAAATCTTTTTTTTTCCCAGGGCTATCAAAATCTATCTTAACATAGTTTTTTTTTGTTTGTTTGTTTTTTGTTTTTGAGACGGAGTTTCACTCTTGTTGCCCAGGCTGGAGTGCAATGGCACAATCTTGGCTCACTGCAACCTCAGCCTTCCGGGTTCAAGCAGTACTCCTGTCTCAGCCTCCTAAGGAGCTGGGATTACAGGTGCATGCCACCACGCCTGGATAATTTTTGTATTTTTAGTAGAGATGGGGCTTCATCATATTGGTCAGGCTAGTCTTGAACTCCTGACCTCAGGTGATCCGCCCACCTCGGCCTCTCAAAGTGCTGGGATTACAGGTGTGAGCCACCGCACCTGGCCTTAACATAGTTGTAAACATCTTTTCTCTATATTCCACAGTGATCACTCTGAGATCTATGGTACAGTTCATTGGCAGAGAATCCAAGTACTGGTAAGTATTTTTGTTTTCACATACTCAAGGAGATCTTTTGAAGCCAAAGTACTAGAATAATACTACTTTGTATTTTTATGATACCCTTACAATTTGTAGAACAAATTCGTATCTGATGTCATTTGATCTGCACAAAAAACAATAAAATGGGAGAAAATATACCCAGGCAGGTTTAGTAGCCTACGTAGGATTTCAGAGTAAGTTGCAGAGCCCCTGACTCCATATGACTATACCCCTAGGTAGTTAATATTTTCACTTCTATCTCCAAATTTAGCTATCTTTGCAGAGTGAGAGAGTGCTAGAAAAGTGTGAGGGAAGGAGGTCGTGGATTTGACCTTGTCCAATGTGATAATTGAAATTATTTTGTTTATAGCTCCAAAAGAATCTTAATATATTTTACCTTTTCTTCTTGTGTACGTAGTGGACTTTGTGATTCCATAATAACCATCTATCGGGAAGAGGGCATTCTAGGATTTTTCGCGTGAGTAAATGTTGATTAGTGTGTAATTTTTGCATGAGTGGGAAACGTTTTCTGAAAGTAAGAATAGTGAGTCTTTGTTTAATCCTTGGGGAAAACGTACTCCCTGGGCTTACCTCACGTTACATTCTATTTAGGCCCCTTATTTTTTTTTCTTTTTTCTCTGCAGAAAGGCATATTTAGGCCCCATATGACTAGAATTATCTTGTAAAGATCCCAAACCTTTACTTCTAGATACTTAAAACATTTGAGGCCGGGCGTGGTGGCTCACGCCTGTAATCCCAGCACTTTGAGAGGCCAAGGCGGTTGGATCACCTGAGGTCAGGAGTTCAAGACCAGCCTGGCCAACATGGTAAAACCCCACCTCTAGGTGTGGTGGTGTGTGCCTGTAATCCCAGCTACTCGGGAGGCTGAGGCAGGAGAATTGCATGAACCCGGGAGGTGGAAGTTGCAGTGAGCTGAGATTGCACCACTGTACTCCAGCCCGGGTGACAGAGTGAGACTCCGTCTCAAAAAAATAATAATAATTAATAAATAAATAAGGAATTTCTTTTTTTAACAAAGGACTTAATTCCAAGTTTCTACCCTTGTAGTAAACTCCCAATTCTATATAGATAATAAAATGAGAAAAATTAAATGTTGAAAAATGGGGAAATCATCTTAACTTGTATTTTCCTTACCGTAAAAGAGTAAGTTTTTGCAAGGCTTGAATTTACTTTGGAAGAACTTAGACTACTACCCTCATTCTTCTATGAGGAAAAATTTTGCATCATTACCGAAATGGTGTTTTTTGTTTTTTTTTTTTTAATTTTCAGAGTATCTCCCCATACGGATTTTGAATATCATAAATACCCTGTGAGATAGGCAGGACAGCTATAATTAGTATCACTTTAGAGATTAAAAAACATTGATGCTCTGAGAGTTTCATCTGCTGCCTGTCACATCGCTGCTGAGTGCTGGAGCTGGCATTTGAAGCTGGTCTTCAATCCGTGGGGAAATGCTCTTCCCACTATTCCATGCTGCCTCACCTAGGTCACCCAGACCCTAGAAATGTGGTTTTTGATGCCTCTCATCTGTATCTGTACTTGGGACCATTCTTGCTTTGTAATTTTTCTCGTCTTTTGCTCTGCCAAATATGAATATCAGATAGCTTAGCAAAATCATTTTTTTAAGCTAGTCAAAGCAAAACAATATTTAAGTCTCTTCTGCAAAGCACCTCGCAAATCTTTTGCCTCCCTGCTTACAGTTATGAATAGTAAGGTGAGCCACTGAGGGTATAGCCGACCTGCATTTTAAACATAGGAACAAAAGTCACTGGAGATCAGCTTCAAGTACAGCTGTGTTAACGAGAATGAACTAGGTATGCGGGCTGGATTCTGGTGTTTGATTCCTTTTTTACTTCCCTAGAATGTTTTGTGACCTCTAATTATTTGACAAACATTTGTACTGAAGAGCCTGTCATGTTACTGATCACATTTTTTGGTTCTTATTTTTATTGTTTCTTCATGTAGGGGTCTTGTTCCTCGCCTTCTAGGTGACATCCTTTCTTTGTGGCTGTGTAACTCACTGGCCTACCTCGTCAATACCTATGCACTGGACAGTGGGGTAGGTTGTGACCTTCGTGAGATGTGCTCACCTTGGCTTTAATCTGGCAGCTAGATTAGCTTTTAAAGTAAGATGGGCCGGGCGAGGTGGCTCACACCTGTAATCCCAGCACTTTGGGAGGCCAATGTGGGCGGATCACCTGAGATCAAGAGTTCGAGACCAGCCTGGCCAACATGGTGAAACCTCGTCTCTACTAAAAATACAGAAAAAATTAGCTGGGCGTGGTGGTGCGTGCCTATAGTCCCAGCTACTTGGGAGGCTGAGGCAGGGGAATTGCTTGAACCCAGGAGGCGGAGGTTGCAGTGAGCCAAGATCGCGCCACTGCATTCCAGCCTGGGTGACAGAAGGAGACTCCATTTCAAAAAATAAATAATAAATAAATAAACAAGATGACAGTTTGCTACATGCCAGACTGAACAATTATATAGCTAAAAATTATCAGTCAAATTTTCAAATGCTAATGAAATGAGCATACTGTTCACTGTAGAACGATACTGTTTACTGTAGAACGATACACGTTAAAAGTCCGTAAGATGTGACAGAGTATACCCAAGAGACTTAGCCCTGTGTTACTTCAGGGCTTTAAAGAGATCACTTCTTTACTGATACTTAACTTGAGAGAACCTGGGAAAGCAGGACATCTTTATGGTGTATCGGGGGCTTTTCATCTAATCTGGACTTAAGAGGGTGCCTGTATTGGGCTTTCTAGAAACCTCAGCCTTTTGAGAATCAGTCTTATCTAGAAGTTGTCTTTCTTATCTCAGCAGTTGTGGGGCCTCTTGTATGTCGGCAGCTCCATAGCATGATGATAAATTGAACACATCACAGGGTATATGACTAAATCCATGTTGTAAACCTCTTGAGTACAGAGAGGGATTTTCTTCAACGCATCTGGTAGAAAGCTAGCTGTGTAAAACAAAGGTAGTGAATTGTCCCTTAGATATACTATAAATGTGGTTTTCCAGGGACTGTATTTCTAGGATGTGTGAAAAGGTTATCAATCTCATTTTCTTTAGTATTTGAAATCCTTTTACATTCGTCCCTAAAGCATTTTAGTATAATATGAATTTGTCTGTTAATATTGAATCAGGTTGATCATTTTGACCACTGCCTTATTATTCTAATAATCAGTGTTTTATGGTTTTGTCCTCAAAATTAGTTTTAGACAGGTGTGGTGGCTCATGCTGTAATCCCAACACTTTGGGAGGCTGAAGTGGGAGGGTCACTTGAGCCCAGGAGGTCAAGGTTGTGAGATCACAGCTCACTGCACCTCCAGCCTGGGCAACAAGAGAGATGAGATCCTGTCTCAAAAAAAAAAAAAAAATTAATTTTCAAGCTGTCAAACTGATAATTTAGAGATAGACTATATTGACATGGAGAGCAAGGCACAGTAGCTCCAGCCTATGATTCCAGCGACTCAGGAGGCTTAGGTGGGAGGTTTGCCTGAAGCCAGGAGTTTGAAACCAGCCTAGGCAACATAGCAAGACACCGTCTCTTAGCTGGGCATAGTGGCTTATGCCTATAATCTCAGCACTTTGAGAGGTCAAGGTGGGAGGATCTCTTGAGCCCAGGAGTTTGAGACCAGCCTGGGCAAACATAGGGAGACCCTTATCTCAAAAAAAAAAAGACACCATTTCTTAAAAAATATTTTGAAATTAGCTGGGCGTGGTGATGTGTGCTTCAGGAGGTCACTGCACTTCAGCCTGGGTGACAGAGTGAGGCACTGTCTGAAAGAAAAAAAGAAAAGAAAAGAAAAGGAAAAAAGAATATATTGATGTGTTGTAGTGTTGTAGGTAATTAATTTAAGGCTCTTTTCCTATTTTAGGTTTCTACCATGAATGAAATGAAGAGTTATTCTCAAGCTGTCACAGGAGTGAGTTTTTTAAAATCCTTTTAACCTTCTAGGAATAGTTGTGTTTTGTTTTGTTTTCCTTTTAAATCTGGCTTGTGTCATCACTGCTTTAAGATAACCAGATGTCTCACTGGGACATCTCCCTGAAATTTGTTATATTTGTCAAAGGTAAGAATAACTCAGTTTTCGGCCAGGCGCCATGGCTCATGCCTGTAATCCTAGCACTTTGGGAAGGTGAGGTGGGCGGATCACCTGAGGTCAGGAGTTCGAGACCAGCCTGGCCAACATGATGAATCCCCGTCTCTACTAAAAATACTAACATTAGCCGAGCGTGGTGGTGCATGCCTGTAATCCCAGCTACTCGGGAGGCTGAGGCAGGAGAATCACTGGAACCTGGGAGATGGAGGCTGCAGTGAGCTGAGATCACGCCACTGCACTTCGGCCTGGGCGACAGAGTGAGACTCCATCTCAAAAAAAAAGAGAGAATAACTCAGTTTTCGAAGGAACCACAGACTCACATGTGAAAATAAAGAGAGTAAGGCAGAACCCCTGCCTCACATCCTGCATGGTTTGGTACTGCTTAGCTTTCATAAGGGGCGTGCCTTTCCTCCGAAATAATATTGTTCAGGCCAGACATGGTGGCTCACACCTGTAAACCCAGCACTTCGGGAGGCCAAGGAAGGAGGATCACTTGAGGCCAAGAGTTCAAGACCAGCCTGGGCAACTGAGCAAGACCCCATTTCTACAAAAGTGAAAAAAAAAAAAAAAAGCTGGGGCAGGCGCGGTGGCTCACTCCTGTAATCCCAGCACTTTGGGAGGCTGAGGTCGGGAGTTCGACACCACCTTGGCCAATTTGGAGAAATCTCATCTCTACTAAAACTACAAAATTAGCTGGGCATGGTGGTGCATGCCCGTAATCCCAGCTACTTGGGAGGCTGAGGCAGGAGAATCGCTTGAACCCCAGGAGGCGGAGGTTGCAGGAGAATCGCTTGAACCCAGGAGGCGGAGGTTGCAGTGAGCCAATATCACACCATTACACTCCAGCGTGGGCAACAAGAGGGAAACTCCATCTCAAAAAAAAAAAAAGTAGTTGGGTATGGTGGCGTGCGCCTATAGTCCCAGCTACTCAGGATCAGAGAATTCTTCTGGCCTTTTGTTAAAATGTTGGATGCAGTGGTGTGCTAAGAGGAAGAAGCATCTCCAGGCTCAAAACTGTAACTGTTGTCTTTCCAGGGTACCGATGAAGCGAGACAAGTGTTAGAGTGTCTCACCGCAGTGGCACTAGGCCTTTAAGGTAAAGGAAAGGAGAATAAAGACTAGGAATGATCTAATAACAGCTGCCTTGTTTCCATTTTACAGTTTTTTGCGAGTATGTTGACCTATCCCTTTGTGCTTGTCTCCAATCTTATGGCTGTCAACAACTGTGGGTAAGCACTTTGTATTTCTTATTCTAGTAGGTGGTTGACTGTATGCTGACAGGCGGAGCAGCCTTGTAGAAATTTAGGAAAGATGAATGATCAGTATCAATCTCTGATTGGTATTTTTTTAAAAAGGGGGGGAGGAAAAGTATAATTGATACCATTAGAAGATTCCTAATTTTTTTCTTTGTATGCCCTATGCAGCAGCAGCCTCAATTTGTATTTATTTATTAATTATTATTATTATTTTTTTTTTTTTTGAGATGGAGTCTTGCTATGTTGCCCAGGCTGGAGTGCAGTAGCATGATCTCGGCTCACTGCGACCTCCACCTCCTGGATTCAAGTGATTGTCCCGCCTCAGCCTCCTGAGTAGCTGGGATTACAGGCATTCGCCACCATGCCCAGCTAATATTTTTGTATTTTTGGTAGAGACAGGGTTTCACCATGTTGGCCAGGCTGGTCTCGAACTCCTGACCTCAAGTGATCCACCCGCCTCAGTCTCCCAAAGTGCTGGGATTACAGGCATGAACCACCATGCCAGGCCAATTACTATTATTATTTATAGTTTTTGTTTTTGTTTTTGTTTTTGTTTTTTGAGACAGAATCTCACTCTGTCACCCAGGCTGGAGTGCAGTGGTGCAGTCTCGCTCCATTGCAACAGACACCTCCTGGATTCAAGCAGTTCTCATGCCTCAGCTTCCCAAGAAGTTGTGATTACAGGCATGTGCCACCATGCTGGGCTAATTTTTGCATTTTTAGTAGAGATGGGGTCTTGCTATGTTGGCCAGACTGGTCCTGAACTCCTGACCTCCGGTGATCTGCCTACCTCGGACTTCCAAAGCGCTGGAATTAAAGGCGTGAGCCACTGCACCTGGCCTATTTTTATTTATTTTTAATTTTTTTAGAGATAGGGCTGCAATGTGGTGGTGAAGTCCTAGCTCACTGCAGCCTTGAACTCCTGAGCTCAAGGGATCCTCCCATCTCAGCTTCCCAAGTAGTTGGGAGTACATGTGCATGCCACCATGCCTGGCTAATTATTTTTTGTGAAGACACAGGGTCTCACTTTGTTGCCCAGGCTGTTCTTAAATTTCTAGGCTCAAGTGATTCTCCTTCCTCAGCCTCTTAAAGTGCTGGGATTACAGGGGTGAGCCACCATGCCCAGCCAACATATTGTTATTTTAAATCTTTATCTTTTCTATGAAAGTGACAAAAGGTATATCAGGGATTAAATGACAATCCATACCTGTTTTTCCTAGGGGCTTTATGGAGAAAGTGAGTTTTAAAGAACCAGAATTAGGATATTTAGTCTATGGAAAGTTTGATGACCTTTTCTCTGTATTGGTTAGAAGGGCAGGTTTTGGTATAGTGGTAGACTCCATTGATTTCCAAATTCTAGATGCCAAGTGACTCTACTGAGTTGGGCAAAATTTTGCCTTTTTTTTTTTTTTTTTGAGATGGAGTCTCACTCTGTTGCCCAGGCTATAGTGCAGTGGTGCAATCTCGACTCACTGCAACCTCCACCTCCCAGGTTCAAGCAATTCTCCTGCCTCAGCCTCCTGAGTAGCTGGGATTACAGGTGCCCACCAGCATGCCTGGCTAATTTTTTGTATTTTTTTGTTGTTGTTATTGTTGAGACAGAGTCTTGCTCTGTTGCTCAGGCTGGATTGTGGTGGCGCGATCTTGGTTCACTGCATCCTCCACCTCCTGGGTTCAAGTACTTCTCCTGCCTCAGCCTCCAGAGTAGCTGGGATTATAGGCACTTGCCACCACCCCCGGCTAATTTCTGTATTTCTAGTAGAGACAGTGTTTCACCATGTTGGCCAGGCTGGTCTCGAACTCCTGACCTCAAGTGGTCCACCCTCCTCGACCTCCTAAAGTGCTGGGATTACAGGCGTGAGCCACTGCACCCAGCCTTGCCTTTTTTGTTTAATTCAAAATTCTTTTCCCATATGGTACCTGACATATCATTAAACATGTTACTGTTTTCAAATAAGATCAGATAGCTATGTGGAGTTTTGAACATTTTACATTGTTTGTTTTCTGGTTTTGTTTGTTTCATGTTACTCCTGGCAAGCTGTGATGTTTTCTGATACGTAGAGCAACTGCCATTTTTTAGCACAGTGTAAACTTGAAGGATGAATTAAATGTATTATTATTATTTACAGTTTTTTCAAGATGAAGTGATTATACCTAAGTAGGAACATATATATCTACTGTTTATATCCGTTTTCATGTTTAGTATCTTTGTGAACACCAGTTAGTTTTTAAATCTCCTTTCCCTGCTCTTTTTTTTTTTTTTTTTTTTTAAAAAAAGACTGGTTCTTACTCTGTCACCCAGGCTGGAGTGCAGTAGTGCAATCTTGGCTCACTGCAACTTCCGCCTCCTGGGTTGAAGCAATTCACATGCCTTAGCCTCCCAAGTAGCCGGGATTACAGGCATGCGCCACCATGCCAGCTCATGTTTTTGTATTTTCAGTAGAGATGGGGTTTCACCATGTTGGCCAGGCTGGTCTTGAACTCCTGACCTCAAATGATCCACCTGCCTTGGCCTCCCAAAGTGCTGGAATTACAGGTGTGAGCCACCGTGCCCGGCCACCTTTCCCTGCTCTTTAATCATGTAAATGCTGTGTTCTGGAGTTTCATTTGTCCACAAAGGAAAAGTCTAAATGTTTTAGAAATTAAGGTTGAAGTTTATGTTTATTTATTTATTTGAAACCTAAATATAGGGGAGGAATTCTCTTTTGGATGCTTGATCGTTCCCCTGCTTCAATATGATTTGTTTCATTGAACTAAAATGATCTCTCAGGGAATCTTCTGTGCAGCAGAATATTTTGACAAGGTTTATCAACGTCTCAAGAGAATGGTTAATATTAACATGAATAGCTCCATGTTTTTTTCTATTTTAGTCTTGCTGGTGGATGCCCTCCTTACTCCCCAATATATACGTCTTGGATAGACTGTTGGTGCATGCTACAAAAAGAGGTATTTCTTTTTCTCTGTCTCTCTCATTTTATTTTGTTTTATTTTTATTTATTTGTTTTCTTAAATATTGTCTCTGGAATCCCAAGTTAACTCTTGTAGCTCACTTTAGCTAGAGTTAGTCTAGTCTGCCAGTTAATGTACACTTTACAGTGTTCTGTGTTTTCACTTTGGCATAATAGTAAAATGTGATGTTTAGAAATCATGAGCAGGAGTAATGAAGAAGAAAGAATCCCTAGATGAGACCTAGAAGCCATTTGAGTGCCCACATTCAACTTACAAATACGATCCAGGTAGATTATTATCCTGGTAAAATGATGGCCTTGATTTTAGACTCTTTTTTTCCCCCAAACTCACCTTTCATAACCACTTATTTGTCACAGTGGTATTGACAGAGCTGGTCTTATACTTCTAGAGTCTTGTTAGTGGATGATTTTGCCTAGATACCAATTTAGGGTTTGTTATTACTATGAGGTGTATAATCTGCAACAAAAAATTATTTATTATCTAGGCAAAGCTTTATTGGAAAATAAAATAATGGGCTGGGTGCAGTGGCTCACGCTTATAATTCTAGCACTTCGAGAGGTCTAGGTGGGCAAATTGCTTGAGCCTAGGAGTTTGAGACCAGTTGAGGCAACATGATGAGACCTCATTGCTACAGAAAATACAAAAACTTAGCCAGGCATAGCACCTATAGTCCCAGCTACCCAGGAGGCTAAGGTGGGAGGATCACCTGAGCCCAGGAGGTCAAGGCTGCAGTGAGCCAAGATTGCATCACCGCACTTCAGCCTGGGTGACAGAGTGAGACCCTGTATCCAAAAAAGGAAAATAAAATAACGGCTAGGTATGGTGGCTCATGCCTATAGTTCCAGTTACTCAGGAGGCTGAGCCAGGAGGATCACATGAGTCCAGGAGTTTGAGGCCAGCCTGGGCAACACAGCCAGACGTGTCTCTTAACAAAAAACTACAGGCCAGGTGCAGTGGCTCACAGGTGTAATCCCAGCACTTTGGGAGGCCAAGGCGGGCAGATCACTTGAGGTCAGGAGTTTGAGACCAGCCTGGGCAACGCAGTGAAACCCCATCTCTACTAAAATACAAAAGAAATTAGCTGGGCGTAGCAGCGTGTGCCTGTAGTCCCAGCTACTGGGGAGGCTGAGGGAAGAGAATTGCTTTAACCCAGGAGGTGGAGGTTGCAGTGAGCCAAGATTGTGCCACTGCACTCCAGCCTGGGTGACAGAGCAAGACTCCATCTCAAAAAAAAAAAAAAGACAATAACAACAACAAATGGATTGGCTGTGGGCTAAATTTAGCACAGGATCACTTAAAATGATTATCAGTTTAAAGCTGTTTTTGAAGGGGGGTCCACTTCTTAAAAGATTGTAGAAGAAAGCGTATAAAGAAGCTCTTTGTTGCATTATTTTATAGCACTAGTGATATATAAGAGAAAGGCCTTTGAAATCTGAATGAAAAGGCCTAAGTGTTGTTTGTAGTTGCTCTTGCTTAGTGTGCCCACAAAGCCCCTCTGTGAATCCAAGCTTGAATACTTGAATGATTTCAGTACAGACCTACTATGAACATTGTGCATTTCATTCTGAGTTTTACTCTCTATTGTACAGTGTGGTCCCTGTTTAAATGGAAAAAATGGCCTTTCCTTCCTTCCTTTTCTGACTAACACTCTGTTATAGGAAGAAAGCAGACAGAGAATGGATTACGGTGTCAAACACACTTAAAGTAGGAACAGTTGTTCCTGTAGGTGCTTACAACAACAGCAAATCTTGATTGGGCATTTACTGTATACCAGATATCATGCTAAGAGCTTTTCTTACATCAGCTCATGTAATCCTCAAAACAGCTGTGTGAGAATAGGTGTCATTCTTAATCACCCATTTCACATATGAAGAAACTGGGGCTTAGAGCAGTTTAGTGCCAATTACATAATGCAAGGTCACATGGCCTATATTTGGGAAGGCTCAGATTTATACTCCAGAGTGTACTCAGTTGCACTCAGAACATTATTACTTTATTTTTATTTACTTATTTGGTTCTTTATTTTTTAGAGACAAGCTCTGTCGCCCAGGCTGGTGTGCAGTGGTGGCATCACAACTCACTGTAGCCTCAAACTCCTGGGGTAAAGCAATCCTCCTACCTCAGCCTCCCAAGTAGCTAGGACTACAGGCATGCTTCCACCATGTCCTGTTAATTTTTTTGTTTTGTTTTGTTTTTGAGACAGGGTCTCACTCTGTCACCCAGGCTGGAGTGCAGTGGCATGGTATTGGCTCACTGCAACCTCTGCCTCCTGGCTGAGGTCTCTGGCTCAAGTGATCGTCCCACCTCAGCATCCCAGGTAGCTTGGACTACAGGCACATACCGCTAAGCCCAGCTCATTTTTTTGTTTTTTGTTTTTTGTTTTTTTTAATTTTATTATTATTATACTTTTAAGTTTTAGGGTACATGTGCACAACGTGCAGGTTTGTTACATATGTATACATGTGCCGTGTTGGTGTGCTGCACCCATTAACTCATCATTTAGCATTAGGTATATCTCCTAATGCTATCCCTCCCCCCTCACCCCTGTTTTTTGTTTTTTGTTTGTTTGTTTTTTTGTTTTGTTTTGTTTTGTTTTGTTTGAGACGGAGGCTTGCTCTGTCATCCAGGCTAGAGTGCAATAGCACGATCTTGGCTCACTGCAACCTTCACCTCCCAGGTTCAAGCAATTCCCCTGCCTCAGCCTCCTGAGTAGCTGGGATTACAGGTGTCCGCCACTACGCCCGGCTAATTTTTGTATTTTTAGTAGAGATGGGGTTTCACTATGTTAGTCAGGCTGGTCTCGAACTCCTGACCTCAGGTGATCTGCCTGCCTCAGCCTCCCAAAGTGCTGAGATTACAGGCGTGAGCCACCATGTCTGCCCAATTTTTTGTATTTTTTGTAGCAACGGGGTTTTGCCATGTTGTGCAGGCTGGTCTCAAATTCCTGAGCTCAAGTGATCCTCCTGCCTTGGTCTCTCAAAGTGCTAGGATTACCGGTGTGAACCATCACACCCGGCCTTTAATTTTTTAATTTCTTGTAGAGATGGGGTCTTACTATGTTGTCCAGGTTGTTATTACTTTGATTATAAGATTTTATAAGTAGTCCTTAGAAACATGATTTCATTTCATTAAGAAATAAATAGGCCGGGTATGGTGGATCACACCCGTAATCCCTGCACTTTTGGGAGGCCAAGATAGGCGGATCACTTGAGGTCAGGAGTTTGAGACCAGCCTGGCCAATATGGTGAAACCCCACCTCCACTAAAAGTACAAAAATTAGCCAGGCACGGTGGCGCGTTCCTTTCCCAGCTACTTAGGAGGCTGAGGCAGGAGAATCGCTTGAACCTGGGAGGCAGAGGTTGCAGTGAGCCGAGATTGCACCACTGCACTACAGCCTGGGCAACAGAGCGAGACTCCATCTCAAAAAAGAAAAACAAAGAAATAAATGAAAGCTAGCACTTACTGAATGTTAGGCACTGTTCTACATGACTCATTTGCTAAGCCAGCTGGAAAGTGGCAAAGCCAGAATCCAACCTGGGCGTTCTGTCTGCCCAGAGTAAGAACTTAATAAGGAGAAATTGTAGTTAGTTCATAGTAGCTCAGCCTTTCAGAGAATACTAATCCTTGTTCTGTAGTGATAGTCCCAGTTTTGTCCTAGATTTAGTCACGTCTCCCAATTGGACCTCTCTGCTGATTTGGATTGGCTGATCTCATCTCGCTAGATATTATTTGTGTTTTGTTTTGTTTTGTTTTCCAGGGGAATATGAGCCGAGGAAATAGCTTATTTTTCCGGAAGGTCCCCTTTGGGAAGACTTATTGTTGTGACCTGAAAATGTTAATTTGAAGATGTGGGGCAGGGACAGTGACATTTCTGTAGTCCCAGATGCACAGAATTATGGGAGAGAATGTTGATTTCTATACAGTGTGGCGCGCTTTTTTAATAATCATTTAATCTTGGGAAAATTCAGGTGTTTGGTGTCTGCCTTTTTTGTTCTTTTTTCCAGCACAACATAACTTACCACTGATACTCCCCCTTTAGTTATTCTGAATTAGGATATTTTTGCTCCAAATTCTTATTTTACTTAACCAGAAGGGAAAAAAAGTTGTATTTTCCTGAAGCTACAGGCACTTTGTCATGTGATTTTTGAGTCTCAATTTAAGGCTTTGTAAAATGAAGAGTAGAATTCCAAGAAAAATGAGAAATAATTTTGTAAAACTTAACAAAATCACTAAATTAAACTATATGGGAGGTTATGAATTACTTTTTCTTGGGTAGACCCTAAAATGTCAGTAGCATGCACCAGAATCTGACTCCCATTATGCTTCTAAGCACATTTCATTGACCTTGTCTCTCATACTTCAAGAAAAGGACAGTACATTGCTACATTACCCTAGAAAGTCTGTGTGAGGATCTGCCCCTTCAGTCTGTTATTGCAAAGTAATAAAATGTCACCTACAGGGAGCCTCTGAGCCTACTCTAGTTCAAGAGGCTACCTGAAAAAAAATAAATAAGATAAAGGGTCAGCAACAACAAAGAAAAAGACAATTACAGAAAATAAGCAAGATTTGGAAAGGAAGTATAATGGCACTTTTTTCCTCAAAGGAAGTTCTTGTTTTCACATAAAATATGAAAAGCAGATCCTGCAGGAGTAACCCCCTTCTTTAAGAGCCAAGTATTTGCCAGTGCTTAAATTACACCATACAGTTCTAATTATATATAATCTTTTGTTCTTCAGTTTTTTGTTTTGTTTCCTTTTTGTTATTGTTGCCGAAGGTGAGTAGTTTTGCATTTCTGATGACAGCCTTGGAAAGTATATTTGTAACTCCATGTCTGGTAATGCCAACCCAAGTCGACATGGGTCTTAGGACACTGACCACCTCACATGCCATACCCTCAGTTAAGCATGTTAACATTTATAGGAGGAAAAAAATCACTTTGGGAGAAAATAAAATTCAACTCAAGCATAAAGCTTCTGTTTACTCAGGCCTTCTAAAAAGCAGGTTAAAATGCTCTAAAATGAGAAAGCCTGTGGTTTCACTTATTTATATAACTCACTGGGACATTGCCAAATGAGTAAGCACTTAATTCGCTGCTTCTGAGACTTCTCTGTCAAAACAGCCCCACTGATAATATTAGACAGAACGAGAATGCAGGGGTCTCTTCCCTCCCCTGGGGTTTAGGAAGCTCATGAGGAGCTCGGCTTAAAATGTCTTTGATGTCTCTTCCTTTGTCTCAAAAAGTAATGTCAATTTTATATACTATTTCAATATTACTATCTGCATTTGTTTTAATATAAAAATGTTTGCTGCCTACCTTTTTCTCCCAAAAAATCTTTAAGTAAAGATGATCTGGGAAAATGTGCCATGTTTATCCTGTGGCTTCTGTGAACTTTCATGCTTGCCTATTCCTAGTTGAGAAGCATGTCTGACTCTGATAACCAGTCTACCACCAGAGGACGCCAAGGCTTCAGTTTTTCCTGTGCAAGTTGGGTGGCTGAGAAATTTCTCCAAGGCCTAGGATTGCTCAAAATACTAGTCCAGCTGTTTCAGTCTTGCTGCATCCAAGCTAGAGGTCTAGTCAGAGTCCTATACCTATGATCCTCCATAATATCTTACTATAAGCTACTAACATAAAAGTCTAAAGATATTCAGGGGCTAGGAAATGCAGGTAGGTGCCATTAAGAAACACATGCGACCGGGCGCAATGGCTCATGCCTGCAATCACAGCACTTTGGGAGGCCGAGGCAGGTGGTTCACCTGAGGTCGAGAATTCGAGACCATCCTGACCAACATGAAGAAACCCTGTCTCTACTAAAAATAACAAAATTAGCCGGGCATGGTGGCACATGCCTGTAATCCCAGCTATGCGGGAGGCTGAGGCAGGAGAATCTCTTGAAACCCAGGAGGTGGAGGTTGCAATGAACTGAGATCACGCCATTGCACTCCAGCCTGGGCAACAAGAGTGAAACTCCCATCTCTTAAAAAAAAAAAAAAGAAAAAAAAAGAAACACATGCAAGAAATAATGAACTCAGTAAGTAATATGAACTTAGGCTGGTTGTGGTGGCCCATACCTGTAATCCTAACACTTTGGGAGGCTGAGGCAGGTGGATCACTTGAGGCCAAGAGTTGGAGACCAGCCTGGCCAATATATCTACTAAAAATACAAAAAAATTAGTCGGGCATGGTGGCACGCACCTGTAGTTCAGGAGGCTGAGGCAGGAGAATCGCTTGAACCTGGGAGCTGGAGGTTGCAGTGACCCAAGATTGTGCCACTGGGTGACAGAGTGAGACTCTGTCTCTTAAAAAAAAGAAAAAGAAAAGTAGGGGTTCTCTAGTAAGCCACTTGTGAAACTGGTTTTCCTTTGTGGTACCAAGCTAAGTTGCCACAAACTGTTCCTCTAGAGTATGTGGTGACCATTGAAACCTTGACTTAAGAAGAGTGTGGGGTGGGCTGGGGGCAGTGGATCACTTGAGTCCAGGAGCTCAAGACCAGCCCGGGCAACATGGTAAAACCCTGTCTCTATTTTTTAAAGAAATAAAGGGAGGAAAATTAGCTGGGCGTGGTGGCACATGCCTGTAATCCCAGCTACTTGGGAGGCTGAGGCATGAGAATCGCTTGAACCCAGGAAGCGGAGGTTGCGGTAAGCTGAGATCGTGCCATTGCACTCCAGCCTAGGCAACAAGAGTGAAACTGCATCTTAAAAATAAAGAAGGTATGGGTTTCCTGGAACTTTGGGGGATCATTATAAAAATACTAGGGTAAAAAAGCAACCTTAGTAATCCCAGCAATTTGGGAGGCCGAGGCGGGTGGATCATGAGGTCAGGAATTTGAGACCAGCCTGACCAACATGGTGAAACCCTGTCTCTACTAATACAAAAATTAGGCGTGGTGGCGGGCACCTGTAATCCCAGCTACTCAGGAGGCTGAGGCAGGAGAATCGCTTGAAATCGGAAGGTGGAGGTTGCAGTGAGCTGAGATTGCCCCACTGCACTCCCGCCTGGTCAACAAGAGTGAAACTCTGTCTCAAAAAAAAAAAAAAGCAACCTTAGGATGAAAGAAACATTCAACATAAGCCCTATATTCCATCATCTCTGTTACCTCAGCATACCTTGACTTAACTATAATTTCCTATTCTAGAAATGTCCTCCCCCTCTTGCCAGTGACATGTTTCTGTACTGTCAGATTCAGTTCTAGTGCCATCTCTTTGTGAAGTCACTGAGAGTCCCAACTGGGTGAGAGGGCTGTGCCTTCAAACTCTCCCTCCTTCAGAGCATGTAATGATAGTACAAACTAACTGACAAAAACTACATCCAACACCAAGTTCATGTTTTATACAGCAGGAGCATTACTTCTCTCTGATTTGAAAATCTGTGGGGGAAAAATATATATTTAGTCCTTTAAAACAGGCCAACTAAAACAGCCTGCTTGGATAATATAGTGAGACCTTTTCTCAACACAAAAATTTAAAAATTAGCCAGGCTTGGTGGTGTGCACCTGTAGTGCCAGCTACACAGGAGGCTGAAGTGGGACGACTGGTTGAGTCCTGGGAGGTTGAGGCTGTACTGACCTATGGTCGCACCACTGCACTCCAGCCTAGGTGTCAACTGAGAGCCAAAAAAAAAAAAAAAAAAAAAAAAAAAAAAGCCTCACTGGGCTTTATAGAAAAGCTAGTGGGGTCGTGGCTGGTCTAAGTGCAGCAGTATTGCAACTAGTTGATCACAACCAGTTAACAGATTTTTTTTTCCTTCTCCCTTTCCACTGCTTCACTTAGCCTTTAAAATGTATATTAAAATAAAAGACTGGGTGCGGTGGCTCACGCCTGTAATCCCAGAACTTTGGGAGGCCGAGGTGGGCAGATCACTTGAGGCCAGGAGTTCGAGACCAGCCTGGCTAACATGGTGAAACCCCATCTCTACTAAAATTACAAAAATTAGGTATGGAGGCGCATGCCTATAATTCCAGCTACTTAGGAGACTGAAGCAGGAGAATCGCTGAAACCCAGGAGGTGGAGGTTGCAGTGAGCCAAGGTTGCGCCAACGTACTCCGGCCTGGGCAACAGAGCAAGACTGTCTCAAAGAAAAAAAAGAGGCTGAGGCAGGAGAATTGCCTCAACGTGGGAGGCGGAGGTTGCAGTGGGCAAAAATGGTGCCATTGCACTCCAGCCTGGGCAACAAGCAAAACTCCGTCTCAAAAAAAAAGAAAAAAGAAAAACTAGCTGGTCAAGTGGTAGTAATTGTAGGTGGTCATTTTAAGGTACTGTGGCAGATAAGGGAGCAAGACAGGAGAACAGATTGGTTAGTAGTGACTGCCAAGCCTGTTGTAGAAGTTCTAATTGTCATGATTTTTTGGTAGGATAGGCATCCTCGTTTTATGTGAGACTCTAATTAAGCAACTCACTCGAAATCATAGTCAGGAATTTTCAGGGCTGAATTCAAACCAGGGTCTATCAAATTCCAAGGTTTTTTTTTTTCCTTAATAATTCTTCCAGGACATGAAGCCAGTCGAGGCATTTTTATTCTTTCGTGGAGGCTATAAAATGCTAAAATTGTAGCCAGTAAACCACATTGTGTTTTTGTGTTTGTTTGTTTGTTTGTTTGTTTTTGAGACAAGGTCTCTCTCTGTCTTGCAGTGGCTGATCTCGGCTCACTGCAACCTCCACCTCCTGGGTTCAAGCAATTCTCGTTTCTCACTCTCCCAAGTAGCTGGGATTACAGGTGCATGTCACCACCCGCGGCTCATTTTTTTGTATTTTTAGTAGAGACGGGCTTTCACCATGTTGGCTAGGCTGGTCTTGAACTCCTGACCTCAAATGATCTGCCTGGGCCTCCCAAAGTGCTGTGATTACAGGCATGAGCCACTGTGCCCAGCCAAACCAAATGTTATGTAAGCCATCCATCTGAGGAAAGTGGGCCTGCATTTGTAGTCAAAGCAGTGAACAAGCTCCCAACAGAGTAGAATGGTCTTAAATAAGGAAAGACAGATCTTGCCTCTGCAGAATTATAAATAGCGGAAACAACTGAAAATAGAAATGATCACCATTACTTTTCTAGACTATTATGATGGTTTATATAGATGAAAAGCTAAGTTACTGTATGGCAAGGATTTCTTCCTAGAGAAGAAATCTTCCTAGAGGTACCATTAGTTCAGTGTAGTAGAACTCCTAAGACATTTGGCTGGTAACATTTCTTGAAACTGATCTATGTGTCAGCACCTCTACTGGGTGCTTCTAAAACATCCTTGCAGAATGGATGGGTTCATTCAGGCTGCCTCCCAAGGTGGCATGGTAGTTTCTATTTTGGCATTTTTGTTTTTGTTTTTTTAAATACAAAGATATTTGTCTTACCTCCTTTTCAGAGCTCTGTTTAGGCTTTCCTAAAGAAGTCACAAGTGCTGGGTGCAGTAGCTTATGCCTGTAATCCCAGCATTTTGTGTTTTTTTGTTTTGTTTTGTTTTGTTTGTTTTTGAGACAGTCTCAAAAACACTGTGCCCAGCCAATCCCAGCACTTTGGGAGGCTAAGGTGGGAGGATCACTTGAGTTCTGGAGTTTGAGACCAGCCTAGACAACATAGTGAGATCCTGTCTCTACTAAAACTAAAAAAAAAAAAATTAGCCAGGCATGGTGGAACACATCTGTAGTCCCAGCTACTTGGGAGGCTGGGGCCAGAGAAACCTGAGCCCAGGAGTTTGAGGCTGCGGTGAGCTATCATTGTGCCACTGCACTCCAGCCTGGGTGACAGAGCAAGATCTTGACTTAAAGGAAAAAGTCACATGTGACATCTCATTTTATATTTTTCCCCCTTCTATTCATCTCTCATCTTATTTTTCCCTTTAAACTTGAAAGGAGTCAGAATCTTGCACTCTGATTTTTGCCCTGGAGGGGAAGTTGCCAGTGAGAGATTCTTTTACCACCAACCAAAAATTAGCACTTCTTTTTTTTTTTTTTTTTGAGATAGGGTCTCACTCTGGTTGCCCAGGCTGGACTGAAGTGTAGTGGTGCAGTCTCAGCTCACTGCAGCCTCCACTTCCCAAGCTCAGATGATTCTCCCACCTCAGCCTCCCAAGTAGCTGGGATTACAAGTGTGCGCCACCACATCTGGCTAATTTTTTTTTTGAGATGGAGTCTTGCCCTGTTGCCCAGGCTGGAGTGCAGTGGCACGATCTCGGCTCACCGCAACCTCTGCCTCCCAGGTTCACACCATTCTGCGTCAGCCCCCAAGTAGCTGGGACTACAGGTGCCCGCCACCACGCCCGGCTAATTTTTTTGTATTTTTAGTAGAGACGGGGTTTCACTGTGTTAGCCAGGATGGTCTTGATCTCCTGACCTCATGATCCGCCCATCTCAGCCTCCCAAAGTGCTGGGATTACAGGCGTGAGCCACCGCGCCCGGCCCACACATCTGGCTAATTTTTTTTTGTATTTTTAGTAGAGACAGGGTTTGCTATATTGTTGCCCAGGCTGGTCTTGAACTCCCGGACTCAAGCCATCTGCCTACCTAGGCCTCCCAGAGTGCTGGGATTACTGGTGTAAGCCACTATGCCTGGCCAAAAAATAGCTTCTTTTCAGGAGACTATCTTGGCTAAGAATGAGGATTAATTTTCTAAAGTGAGTGAAAGTTTTCCTTCTATCCAATCTTCCCCATATGACAGCTTCCTCATACATTTGCTGTCTAGAGAGAGGTCCTAGGGAGACCCCTTCCAGTGCATGAGTTAAGTGTTCTGGTCGCCAGTGTCCCATGATTATAAGATGGAATTGCAAAGAGCCCATCTTGCCTTGGTCTAAGTAGAGTCCTCTGTACTCTGGGCACCAAATCTCTTGTCTGGAACTAAGCAGATTTTGCATGAAAACTGTAATTGCTCTGGAATCATCTTATTGCAACTCTGAAAAAGAATGTTTTTAAGTAGATTCCGATCAGTACCATACCACAATACGGTTAGAGGTTGGTACTTGAGAGAGTGGAAGAAGAGGAAGAGAAACCAGTGTGACCTGCAGATGTTATTCAGGACTCAGCAGCTTCCTGAGAGGCAGCAAATAAGGAAACAAATCTTGTCCTCTCTCCAAGTCTCCAAGATGACACGTGGACGAAAGAAAAGTTTGTAACACCAGCCTCTGCCTCGCCAAGGCAGCCAAGAGAATGGACTATTCCCTGGCAGTGCCACATTTCCATGGAAAATCTATTAGGTATTGCTTTTATTTCCACACAGAGTAGCATGAAGAGCCAGAGGTTGGATAAGGACAAGCCAGCACTGCACCTACTCTGGCTGGCCATCTAGCCGGGGCCCTGCCCTTCTGGCATCAGACTGGTGAGAGTGTCCTTTGGCTGGAAAAAAGACAGAGGGTGAAGATGGAAACAACAGAACCATGCCTCACCTCAGACTGCTCACTTTTTGCTGGAATCTCATGCCTTTCCTCCCCCTGAGGGGCTCACATTTAGAGTTTATAAATGCAACTGTCAGTCATTAAGTGAGTAGCTTGGGCAGAGTTCTGTGCGAGGGGCAGCAGAGGATGCAAAGGCCTATAATCTCCCTGTCCTCTTTGGCGCTTACTGTCCACTGACAGGGAGGCAGAATGACAAGAACATAAAACTCTAGGAGTATTGGAGGATTAAGTGAAACCATATGTACAACAGTGAGGCCTGGTGCCCTGAAAGAAGGTATTCGTTGAAGCTCTTTTAACACTCTCTGATGATGGTTCTACAAAGCAGGATACGGCATGAGAAGCCGGAACCAAGCACCATGGGATGCACAGAGAGAAAGCTTACATCCATTTGGGGAGATCAGAGACTTCATGAAGAAGCGGCTCCGATTGTGGCTTTGTCAGGATAGTGGGGATCTTGGGTGGCAGGATGATGGGATGGCAGCAATTTCTAGCTGTCACTAGCTGTGAGACCTTGGGAAAGTTGGTCATTTTAAGCCTCAGGCTCCTCATGTCTAGAATGCAAAGTAATACTCATTACAGTTTTCTTTTCTTTTTGAGACGGAGTTTTGCCCTTTCGCCCAGGCTGGAGTGAAGTGGCTCGATCTCGGCTCACTGCAACCTCTGCCTCCTGGGTTCAAGTGATTCTCATGCCTCAGCCTCCTGAGTAGCTGGGATTACAGGCACGTGCCATCACACCCGGCTAACTTTTGTATTTTTAGTAGAGACGGGGTTTTGCCATGTTACCCAGGCTGGTCTCAAACTCCTGACCTCAGGTGATCCACCCTCCTCGGCCTCCCAAAGTGCTAGGATTACAGGGATGAGCCACCATGCCCACCCTAGAGTATTAGATTTAGTACCATGTCTGGCATAGAGTAAATATTTGGTATGTGATAGTTATTAGAATTTTAAGAATTAGAAGGGAGGGGCTACTTTCCAAGTATAGACAATAATATGGGCAAAGTTACGGCGTTAGTAAAGGCTAAAGCATTTGGAGGCAAGTGGAATTGCATCTCTTACTGTCCTAACCTTTCTTCAAAGCTGGATTTCTGCCATATAATGAGCACCTAGAACAGGGACTGGCACATGGTAGAGACTCCACAGATGTGTGTTGAACAAAGTCAGCTGCCTCCTAGCTGTATCCACTGAATATCCACTGAATGTCCTTGAGGATCCCCAAACTGAGTTACATCTCAAGCCCTCTTCCCAAGCCTGTGGTGGTACTTGCACTCTAAATTCTATTATAAACACAGCATTATGCCCCTATTCCCCAAGCTAGAAACCCTGGAGATGAGTTTGTGTCCTCCCTACCCCTCCCTCTGCTTCTAGAAAATCACTGCTGGATTCTCAGAAACGCCTCTGAATTTGTCACCTCCCTTTCTTTCCCGTCGCCTTTAGGCATCATCTCTGCTCAGCTGTTGCTGCAGCCTCTATCTTGTCTTCCTGCTGCCAGCTCAAGGCAGTAGGCAGTAGATAAAGCTGGAGTTCTACCATCTTTGACCAGGGTACAGAGGATGGCCATGACTCTCCTCTACCTACACAGGCTTCTGGCAGAGGATAAAATACTGCTTTTTGACCCAGGTTTCTTAAGATTTCTTTTCTTCTCTTTTCTTTTTTTTTTTTTTTTTTTTTTTTTGAGACAGAGTCTCGCTCTGTCACCCAGGCTGGAGTGCAGTGGCACGATCCCAACTCACTGCAACCTCCGTCTCCCGGGTTCAAGTGATTCTCCTGCCTCAGCCTCCCTAGTAGCTGGGATTATAGGCACCTGCCATGATGCCTGGCTTTTTTTTTTTTTTTTTTTTTTTGATACAGAATCTCACTCTGTCGCCCAGGCTGGAGTGCAGTGGCACAATCTTGGCTCACTGCAACCTCCACCTCCCAGGTTCAAGCAATTCTCCTGCCTCAGCCTCCCAAGAGTAGCTGGGATCACAGGTGCCTGCCACCACATCCGGCTAATTTTTTGTATTTTTAGTAGAGACGGGGTTTTGCCATGTTGCCCAGGCTGGTCTCAAACTCCTGACCTCAGGTGATCCGCCCGCCTCGGCCTCCCAAAGTGCTGGGATTATAAGCGTGAGCCACCGCGCCCGGGCTCCTTGAGATTTTTTTTTCTTTTTTCTTTTTTTTTTTTTTTTTTTTTTGAGACAGAGTTTTGCTCTTGTTACCCCAGCTGGAGTGCAATGGCGTGATCTCAGGTCACCGCAACTTCCGCCCCCCAAGTTCAAGGATTCTCCTGCCTCAGCCTCCCAAGTAACAGGGATTATAGGTGTGCACCACCACACCCTACTTTTTTTTTTTTTTTTTTTTTGAGACAGAGTCTTGCTCTGTCGCCCAGGCTGGAGGGCAGTGGCACGATCTCGGCTCACTGCAAGCTCCGCCTCCCGGGTTCACGCCATTCTCCTGCCTCAGCCTCCCAAGTAGCTGGGACTACAGGTGCCCACCACCACGCCCGGCTAATTTTTTGTATTTTTAGTAGAGATGGGGTTTCACCATGTTAGCCAGGATGGTCTTGATCTTCTGACCTCATGATCTGCCTGCCTCAGCCTCCCAAAGTGCTGGGATTACAGGCATGAGCCACCGCAATCGGCCAAGATTTCTTGACCTAGCGTCTTTAATCCTTCCGCCCCAAGCCCACATGCAGCCCCAGTTCCCCAACAGCCTCTGCTCTGTACATTTGTGCCGCACTGGCAGCTGCTCTCTGTGTCTGTTGTCTTCCACGGAAGCCTTGTGCAGGAGGAGCTGAGCTGAGAGACAGGGCTATTTATAAATAGAAAGTGGGTGTAAAGTTCTGCAGTCACAAGTGTTTTAAACAAGACTAATTCCATCATCTCCCCCAATCGAACTTTGAAATTTCTGTCCACCTCCTCATCTCCCATCTTTCTCAAAAGCCTGCAAGTTCTTCTCCTCTCCTTGGTCAAAGCCACCATAAGCCTGGATACCATGGTAGCTAAGAGATGTGACATGGAACAAAGTGTAGGAATTATATAGATTCAGCATAGTCAGAGTCAAAGCTACTGACATAACATAAATGTTCCTACCACCTAGTAATATTTAGTGATGGCTCACCATGTGCCCTGCCCATGTCGCCATTAGCTCCAACCCATAAAACAGCCATATAAGCTAAATACTGCTCCCATTTTAGTAGTGGAAAAGTGAGACTCAGAAGGGTTCATTGATTTGCCCAAGACTGGTGGTAAATAGCAAAGCCCAGATTCTGATATGGGTCTGCAAATCTGGAATTTCTAATATGGCACGCACATGCATTGCGTCCCAGTATTTTTCTGCATGATGATCGGAGCACAGATTTTAACGAAGAGTGAAGTATGAATCTTAATGAGAGGAGGGAACTCGTGGTTTTATTATAATAATGAAAGGATCAACATTGTATGCTCAACAGTTAGTTAGATGCCCAGAAGCCCAACTCAAACTGGCTACATTGGCTCAAGTAATAAAAATGGCCAGTGGTGAATCTGGGGGTTCAAACAAGGGCATCGGGATTCGGTCTTCCCACCCCTCGGCTGGTTTCCCTCTCCGACGGGCTCTCCACATGGCAACAAGATGCCAGCTGGCAGCTCCACTCACATGGCTTCTTAGAGCTTGTGATTCCAGAGAAAGAGCAAAATCACTTTGGAGAGCTCCAGCAAAAATCCCCAGGAGGACTCTGGCTTGAAACACACACCCATCTGTAAAGCATTTGGTGTGTCTGGGAGACGCTAGCCAGGCCTGAGTCACAGGCCCATCTGAAGGGGTAGAGGTCCAGGGTCAGCCCCAGAACCACATACATTCTGCTGTTCTGTTCTGTTTCCTGTCCTCCGCCCCCACACTCTTCTCAGAGCTGGACTGTTTTCTAGTGGGATGCATGGCTCATCCAAGGAAGGTTCACTGGGCAAAGACATACATTACACCCTGTCCAAAAGAAACAGTTTTAATAGAAAGGGAAAAAAACAACAGTTCACCCAGAACATGTGACACGTGAGACTCCATGAAGCTAAGCTGAGCACAGAAGCTGGTGTGTTTGAAACCTTCCATGCACAGGTACATACATATGTCAGCTCAATCACCCCATGAGCCTGATAATAGCCACTTTTTCTCACTTTTTAAGTGAGAGAAATGGAAGCTCAGAGATAAAGATTTAAGTGACTTGCTAGTAAATAGCAAAACTAGAATGCAAACCTGGGTATATTGGAGTCCACATCCTGCAAGCTTTACACCACAGCACACTGCCAAATTGGAGGAAACCAGGTGTTGAGGGTGAGACTGCTAGATGAGCTCGTGGAAGTCGTGTCCCCAGGGAAGCACACATCTGACTGCCTGACGTGCTCTGAGAGCAGCAGGCACTGAGCTGGAGACTGCCCTGTCCTGGTAACTACAGTCTCGCCCAGCTAGTCGCTGAGTGGCTGATAAACTCTTCACATTCATCAATGACAGTTTCCTCTCAGCTGGAAGAAAAAGCTGCCAGGGAGCTGCTCCCCCAACCTTCCTTCTGATGGGGAAAGACTCCCCTGGTGCTGTTGATGAGACAGGAACCAAAGGAGAAAGTTGGATTTGGAAGGAAGGGCATGTGGGCATGGGATGAATGGATGATTGGATAAATAAATAATCCCAGAAAAATGATTTGAAAAGTTAGAAAAAAGTTATGATTCTAAGTTTAGAGACAAGATGGCAATATGGCACAAGAGGGATAGGAAGCTCTGGGATAAATTAGGCTATCGCATTTGCTGAAAATCCCTGTGCAGAGAAAAGGAGAGCCAAAGAAACCAGTGTGGCTCTGTAGAGAGCTCTCTGATAAGTTCAAAATTTAAAAGGTGGGGTACAAGAGACGGAAGGAAAGGTGAAGTCCGTGATAAACTGAGACTTGGAAAAGGTGCAGACAATAAAAGATATTGCTGGTTATGTTCAAGCAAGAGGAAAAAGGAGAAGACAGGGTTCCATCTGGGGATGAAGATGTCAGGTTGGCAGTTTTCAGAGAAAGCAGAATACTCAACTCTGATTTTCCTCTTTCTCCCCCGAGGAAAAGCACTTCCAGACTGGGAAGAGTTCAGCAAAACAGGGGTTAGAGGACATTAAACCCCAAATAGAAGAAAAGATAAGAGAAAACCTAACCACCTAGCCATTCAAAATGAGCTGCAAATCCCAAGGTGATGACAGACCTTTGCAGATAAGATCCAGGGACCTTTGCCAATGTGGCTATGAAAGCTGCGGCGAAAAGGACAGGGGCCACAGTCCTGGACAGCTGCAAATACCCTGACAAAAAAGAAGAAAAGGGAGATCCTGGGCACATTTCCCTCAAAATCTATTCTAGAATATAACATTAAACCATGGATTTGAGAACACCTTGCTTGAGAACACCTAGAAAAATAAGTGGTATCTTCACAAAGAACAAGATGCGGCGAAAATGATAAAAATATCAACAATAATTTGTTACTTATTTACTCAGAAGGCCACTAGGAAAATTCCTTGGGCCATACATAGTGTTCCTTGTTTCCAGTTAGACATTGATTGTCTCACGATTGAAGAGGCTAGTAGGAAAATATCGATCTCAGAGACTGCCCAGTCAGGTGGATTCATGTAACTGCTGTGCTCCTTCACCCCAGTTGGTTATCCGATTGCTGCAGAGCTTGCTGAGGAAGTATCTCTAGTTCTGTGCTCCTAGACCCTGGTCAGCCTAGTAGTGGTCAGTGCCCACTACACTTGCCAAATTTGCAGAAGGCACCACTGTTGGGATGAAAAGCTAATATTTCAAAGTCAAGATTCTAAAATAACTTGAAACAGTGGGCTGAAACCAGCAGGATGAAATTTAAAAGAGTAAGTGGAGAGACCTGCATTTAGATTAAAAAAAAAAAATCAGCTGCATAAGCATAGGATATAGGAAGTTTGGTTTGCCAGAGGTGCCTGAGAAAAAGGCTAAGGGCTTGCAGCTGATCTCAGGTTGAATAGAAACCGGTAGGAATGGAGCAGCTGCTTAAAAAGATAGTGGCTCTCCCCACCTCTTGTTATTTTAGTTACAAAGGGGTGAAACAGTGAAAAATATGGGAGACAGCCGGGCACGGTGGCTCACACCTGTAATCCCAACACTTTGGGAGGCCGAGGCGGGCGGATCACGAGGTCAGATCTAGACCATCCTGGCTAACCCGGTAAAACTCTGTCTCTACTAAAAATACAAAAAAATTAGCCAGGCGTGGTGGCAGGCGCCTGTAGTCCCAGCTACTCGGGAGGCTGAGGCAGGAGAATGGCGTGAACCTGGGAGGCGGAGCTTGCAGTGAGCCAAGATCTCGCCACTGCACTCCAGCCTGGGAGATAGAGCAAGACTCCGTCTCAAAAAAAAACAAAAAAAACAAAAAAGAAAAATATGGGAGACATATTAACAGCAACTGCTGTTAATGGTTTCTAATAGATCCCCTCAGAGGTATTCATTCCAAGTACACATAAGCAAATGCATGCTTTTTATTTTTTCACATAAATGGTGGTATGTTGTGCACCTTGTTTTTTATTTCACTTAACTAACAGCATTTCTTAGCGATTATTTCATCAGTATACAAAATGATTCCTCATTCTTTTGTAGGGATGCATCGTATTCTACTGTATATATGTATCATAATTTATTGGTCCTTTTGCCGGACATGTAGATTATTTCCAGTATTTTGCTATTACAAACAATGCTGCAATAAATAACACGTCATTGCTATTACAAACTGTTTGCTATTACAAGCCATGCTAAAATGAATAAGATGTAATTCCCAACAAGTGGGCATGTATCTGAAAAACATCTCTTCAAGAAGTAAAATCACTGACTTAAAGGGCATGCACATTTTTAAACTTGGTAGATACTGTCCAATTGTGTCATTTTACCCTCCTACTAAAAATGTATGAATGTCTGTTTCTCTACATCTCACCAATAGAATGTATAATAAACCTCATTGATCTTTGACAGTTTGAGAGGTAAAAATAATAACAATAGCATCTTATAATTTTTTTTTTTTTTTTGAGAGAGAGGGTCTTGCTCTATTACCCAGGCTGGAGTGCAGTGGTGCAATCATGGCTCACTGCAGCTTCAACCTCCTGGGATCAAGCAATCCTCCCACTTCAGCCTCCTGAGTAGCTGGAACTATGCGTGTGTGCGACCAAGCCCAGCTAATTTTTTTCTTTTTTTTTTTTTTTTGTGGAGACGGGGTTCTCACCATGTTGCCAAGGCTGGTCTCGAACTCCTGGCCTCAAGTAATCCTCCCACCCTAGGGCTCCCAAAGTGTTGGGATTACAGACATGAGCCACCACGCCCAGCCCACAATACTTATAAGTTTGGTCTGACAGGATTGGCATCGGCATCCCCTGGCTTCCAGAATAAAGTCTGGATGGCATAGGCTGGCACTTGAAATCCTTCATGAGACTGGGTGTGGTGGTTCAGGCCTGTAATCCCAGCACTTTGGGAGGCCAAAGTGGGCAGATCACCTGAGGTCCGGAGTTCGAGACCAGCCTGATCAACATGGAGAAACCCCGTCTCTACTAAAAATACAAAATAAGCCAGGCGTGGTGGCACATGCTTGTAATCCCAGCTACTCAGGAGGCTGAGGCAGGAGAATCTCTTGAACCCGGGAGGCGGAGGTTGCAGTGAGCTGAGATCACACCATTGCACTCCAGCCTGGGCAAGCAGAGTGAAACGCTGTCTCAAAAAATAAAAATAAATAAATAAAAAATCCTTCATGATTGGATTCAACCACATTTTTCTGGGCCTATCTCCCATCAGTAGCTCCACATTCCATACTGCAGCCACACCGATATTATTACTCATTTTTCAAACACACCAAACAGTAGTAACAGCCAACACATACTGAGTGCTCACAGTATACCAGTCTCTGTGCTAAATGTCTTTAATCCTTGCAGCAATGGGGCATACTTTTATTATCCCCATTTCACAGGTGGGGAAACAGGTCATACAAATAATGAAGAAGCTGGGATTCAAACTGAAGCAGTCTGATGCCAGACACTACTCTTCACCATGATTCTGAATTGCCTAAGAGCGTTACCTCCTGCTCCCTGCTCCTTTCTCCCAGAATGCTCTTCAGTCTATTGTTACCTGTCAAAGTCCAGTGCAGCCTTCACTGCTTCGTTTAGGTGTTACCTCTCTGATTAAGCCTAGCTGCATTGCTCCACTTAGAATTAATTTCTCTTCCTAATTTCCACCCAGCCCACAAGGAATGGAGTGCAGGTGTGCCATCTTGGCTCACTGCAGCCTCCACCTATTGGGCTCAAGTGATCCTCCCACACTTTCTGGTTTGTATTTCTGCCTACTCTTTTAAAAACTGAGGGGGCACCCCGGCCAGGCGCGGTGGCTCAAGCCTGTAATCCCAGCACTTTGGGAGGCTGAGGCGGGCGGATCACGAAGTCAGGAGATCGAGACCATCCTGGCTAACATGGTGAAACCCCGTCTCTACTAAAAATACAAAAAATTAGCTGGGCGTGGTGGCGGGCGCATGTAGTCCCAGCTACTCGGGAGGCTGAGGCAGGAGAATGAACCCAGGAGGCGGAGGTTGCAGTGAGCCGAGATCGCGCCACTGCACTCCAGCCTGGGCGACAGAGCAAGACTCCGTCTTAAAAACAAACAAACAAACAAAAAACTGAGGGGGCAATGATAAATTGCTATAAGCCTCTCCCTGCCCCCTTCCCTCCTCCTCCAGCAGTTACTCAACTGGGTTGTAGATTATGTTTACATTCAAGTTGTCTCACCAGTCACTCAGGACTCTTCTGACCTACACTCTGGCAGGCACTACACTGGGGTGAACACAGACAAAGCAATTCAACACAACCCCTCACCAGTCAGAATCAGAATGTGACCAGACGTAGTGGCATGCACCTATAATCCCAGCTCCTTGGGAGGCTGAGGCAGGAGGATTGTGTGAGCCTAGGAGTTCAAGGCAGGCGTGGGCAACAAAGTGAGACCCTGTCTCAAAAAAAAAAAAAAAAAAAAAAGCTGGCCGGGCAAGGTGGCTCATGCCTGTAATCCCAGCACTTTGGGAGGCCGAGGTGGGTGGACACTTTGGGAGGCCAACGCAGGTGGATCAAGAGGTCAGGAGTTTGAGACCAGTCTGGCAAAGATGGTGAAACCCCGCCTTTACTAAAAAAATACAAAAATTAGCCGGGGGTGCAGTGGTGGGCACCTGAAATCCCAGCTACTTGGGAGGCTGAGGCAGGAGAATTGCTTGAACCCGGGAGGCGGAGGTTGCAGTGAGCCGATATTGCGCCACTGTACTCTAGCCTGGGCAACAGAGCAAGACTCTGTCTCAAAAAAAGAAAAGAAAAGAAAAGAAAAGAAAAAAAGCCACAGGGCTTCTCTCTGTTACTCACCTTGGCAGGACACAGCCTTCCTTTTCTCCCTTCCTGCAGGCCATGGAGACCCAAACACTGTCTCCTGCCAGTGCCAATACTACCACTGTTTCAGCTCACAGAAGAGTGGGTTTTTTCTCCAACCTCTCCAATTGAAAAGCTGACTTTTGTCCCCAAAGATGTGCAGATCTTGGTGTCAATGTGCAGCATTCCATAGCCAGACATAGGATTTGGGTCTCCTGTCAGTCTGGAGTTATTTGTGCCTCCAATGTCTTCTGCTAACATGGGTCAAGGAGAACATGCAACAACAGTTCAGGGAATGAGCCTGGGTATGGGGAGAAACTTGGTGGCTGTCCTGCATCTTCAGCCAGTTTTGATCAGGTCTGGTTACCCCAGTGTTCCAACTCTCTGTTGCTACAGTAACCCAAAACTTACTGGTTTAAAACAGCAACAGTCGGCTGGGCGCGGTGGCTCACACCTATAATCTCAACACTTTGGGAGGCCGAGGCAGGTGGATCACTTGAAGTCAGGAGTTCAAGACCAGCCTGGCCAATACGGTGAAACCCCGTCTCTACTAAAAATACAAAAAAAATTAGCCGGGTGTGGTGGCAGGCGCCTGTAATCTCAGCTACTCGGGAGGCTGAGGCAAGAGAACTGCTTGAACCCGGGAGGCAGAGGTTGCAGTGAGCTGAGATCGTGCCACTGCACTCCAGCCTGGGTGACAGAGTGAGATTCCGTCTCAAACAAACAACAACAACAAAAAGCCCAGCAACAATCATCTTTATTCCTTGTGGGTCTGGTGGAGTACTAGGTTCAGCTAGGCAGTTCTCATTCAGGGCCGCTCACACAGTTGCAGTCAGAGGCCAGGCCTGGTGTCCTCTTGAAGGCTTCCTCACATCCACATCACTTGCAGTGATGCTGGTACCGCAGCTGGGGCCAGGGCCAGCTTCGTGGCCCCACAACTTGCATGGCTGAGCAAGGTGCCACACTTGGAAGAGCCATATGCTTGGTTTAAAGCTCTAAATTCTTAACTTTTTAACAGTACCCTCCACCTTCTTTTTTTTTTTAAGACAGGGTCTTGCCCTGTCGCCTAGGCTGGAGAGCAGTGGTGCAATCTCGGCTTGCTGCAACCTCTGCCTCCCAGGTTCAAGCGATCCTCATGCCCCAGCCTCCCGAGTAGCTGGGACCACAGGTGAGTGCCATCATGCCCGGCTAATTTTTTTTTTTTTTTTGAGATGGAGTCTTGCTCTGTTGCCCAGGCTGGAGTGCAGTGGTGCGATCTCGGCTCACTGCAACCTCTGCCTCCCAAGTTCAAGCGATTCTTCTGCCTCAGCCTCCTGAGTAGCTGGGATTACAGGCACGTGCCACCACACCTGGCTAATTTTTGTATTTTTAGTAGAGAAGGGGTTTCACCATGTTGGTCAAGCTGGTCTCGAGCTCCTGACCTTTGGTGATCCACCCGCCTTGGCCTCCCAAAGTGCTGGAATTACAGGCGTGAGCCACCACACCTGGCCACTTTTTGTATTTTTTTTTTAGAGACGGGGTTTCGCCATGTTGGCCAGGCCAGTCTCAAACTCTTGGCCTCAAGTGATCTCCCTGCCTTGGCCTCCCAAAGTGCTGGGATTAAAGGCATGAGCCACTGTGCCCAGCCACTCCACAATTTCATTTTGCACTGGACTCTGCAAATGATGTAGCTGGTCCTGACTAGGACTGTTGGCCACAATATTTACACGTGGCCTTTCCATGTGACCTAGGCTTCCTCACAGTCTGATGGCTGGGCTCCAGGGATGAGGGTTTCAAGAGAGAGATCCAGGCAGCAGCGGCATCACCTTTCAATGACCTAACGTAACTCCTCCTTTTCATGAGGACTGGCAAGGTCACATTGTAAGAAGAGCAAGTGGGATGGGAGATGACACTGTCGCATTTGAAAATGCAATTTGTCACATCAGGTCATGAGCAGGTCACCTCCTGGTCCATCTGCAGAAGGGGCCCAGGGGATTCAGTTCTGCCTTCTAGGAAGGCCAGTGTTGGGATCTTAGAGCCCTGCTGGGAAAAAGGCCAGGGGAGAGTTGGGAACTTGGTCTTCACAAGCACTCCCAGCTTCCCCTCTCCGGGGTCATTTACCAAGTGCTCAGAGGAATTGGAACCAAGGGCAATGGGGCCAGGAGCGTGACCAGGAACCCTAAAGTCTGCTCCCCTGGAGGGCTGAAATCTCCGAGAAAGGCAGGGACTCAGCGCCCAGACGTATGTTTCTCCTGCTGGCATCTCTGCTTGGCTAACATTCCTCCTCTTTCATTTCTCCCTGGGGCATGTTGTTGTCTTTCTCATTAATTTCCCCTCAACTCCCAGCAAGGTCCCTAGACTGTGAGCTTTGCTAATTCCCTGTAATCCACTGGCAAAGCAGGAAGCTAATTAAATTGTGAGCTGTGTGCTCACTCTGTCAGTCTCTGAATCTCTCTTCTCAGTCCCTCTCCCATCTGTCTCTTCCTTTCTCACTGCCCCTGGATAGTTTACTTTCATCTGGACACTTTCAGTATCTTCTCACCCATCTGCCTTCCTCTCCCCTCTTCTTTCTCCTGCTTTTCAATCTGCAGAGTAATCTTCTTAAAATACAGCTTTGAGCACACCTTCTTCTCCTCTACTGTAAGGTAAAAGCTCCTTAGCTCAGCAGTTAAGCCCCACACTCCTTACCATAACTTCCCATCACAAACCCTTATCCACAACCAAGCCTGGTACATTTCCTTCCCTAAGCTCCACCTACGCCACCTCCTCACCTTGGTTCACATTCTTATCTTTGACTGGATCCCACCCCCTCACTCCTCCATCTCCACTTCCATCTCACCCTGTCAAAATCCTCACCATTATTTAGAAAGAGCCTCTTCAGGCCGGGCACGGTGGCTCACGCCTGTAATCCCAACACTTTGGGAGGCCGAGGTGGGTGGATCACGAGGTCAGGAGATCGAGACCATCCTGGCCAACACGGTGAAACTGTCTCTACTAAAAATACAAAAAAACTAGCTGGGTGTGGTAGTGCACACCTGTAGTCCCAGCTACTCAGGAGGCTGAGGCAGGAGAATCGCTTGAACCCAGGAGGCAGAGGTTGCAGGGAGCTGAGATCATACCACGCACTACAGCCTCTGTCTTAAAAAATAAAAATAAAAAGGCTGAGAGAGAATCAGAGAAAGGGAGGCTGCAGAGTATACTGGTTAAGGACTGGGTTTGGGAGCCAGATAGCTCTGAGTTTAAATCCTACTCCTGCATTAACTTTTCTGATCCAGAAGGGACACATGGCCCTAAGAAGGGCTGCATGGCCCTAAGAAGGGTTGTGGCTGCCCTAGGTTGGCTTCCAGCCTTCCCCAGCTCTCCTGCGGCATCCCTGTGTGGCTCATCCCACCCTTACCATGCCTCTTGTCTTCCCCATAGTCTTGGGGCCCAAGCTTTTCAAGCTGGTGAAGGAGAGAGTTGTGATCCCAAGAAGCGGAGTGAGCGAGCGGGGAAATGAGACAAAGAGAGGAAACAGAATAAAGTGCACAGATAGGCCGGGCGCAGTGGCTCACACCTGTAATCCCAGCACTTTGGGGGGCCAAGATGGGTGGATCACGAGGTCAGGAGATCGAGACCATCCTGGCTAACACAGTGAAACCCCATCTCTACTAAAAATACAAAAAAAAAAATTAGCCGGGCGTGGTGGCGGGCGCCTGTAGTCCCAGCTACTCAGGAGGCTGAGGCAGCAGAATGGCGTGAACCCGGGAGGCGGAGCTTGCGGTGAGCCAAGATCGCGCCACCGCACTCCAGCCTGGGCGACTGAGCGAGACTCCGTCTCAAAAAAAAAAAAAAAAGCGCACAGATACCAGTGGGTTTTCACCATGGAGAACTTAACTCTGCTGGAGTCTCTCTGAGTCTGAAACATGACCTGGAATTGGGAATTGGAATGCTCCCATCGAGGGACCAGAAAGCTGGGGTATTTACCCCTAACTCTGGACCATTGGCTGATGGTTGCTCTGGGGGTATTAACTCTACAGCCCTTTGGGCCTGCCCCACACTAACTCCCATAGCTGAAAATGCCCTCAGGAGGGACACAGGAAGTAGGCGCCTGGTCAGGAACTGTCTGTGGGTGCCCTCCTGGTAGGCCTGGAGGTGTGGGTGGGCCACTGACAGCATCTACTACACTCAGTGAAAGGAACCTGCTATTAAAATTATTGTTGTTGGCTGGGCACCGTGGCTCACGCCTGTAATCCCAGCATTTTGGGAGGCCGAGGCAGGTGGATTACTTGAGGTCAGGAGTTCAAGACCAGCCTGGCCAACGCCATCTCTACTAAAAATACAAAAATTAGCCTGGTGTGGTGGCATACGCCTGTAATCCCAGCTACTCAGGAGGCTGAGGCAGGAGAATCACTTGAACCCAGGAGGCGGAGGTTGCAGTGAGCCGAGATCGCACCATTGCATTCCAGCTTGGGTGACAAGAGTGAAACTCCATTTCAAAAAATAAAAATAAATAAAAATTATTGTTGTTTATTAGCTGCCACGTGGTGGCAGGCTGACGGGGGAGGATCACTTAAGCCCAGGCTGCAATGAGCCAAGATCGTGCCACTGCACTCCAGCCTGGGTGACAGAGTAAGAACCTATCTCAGCCAGGCGCAGTGGCTCACTCCTGAAATCCCAGCATTTTGGGAGGCTGAGGCGGGCGGATCACCTGAGGTCAGGAGTTTGAGAACAGCCTGACCAACATGCAGAAACTCCATCTCTACTAAGAATACAAAATTAGCCAGGGTGGTGGTGCATACCTGTAATCCCAGCTACTCAGGAGGCTGAGGCAGGAGAATCACTTGAACCTGGGAGCGGGAGGTTGCGGTGAGCCAAGATTGCTCCATTGCACGCCAGCCTGGGCAACAAGAGCAAAACTCCATCTCAAGAAAAGAAAAAAGAACCCGTCTCAATTTATATATATTTTAATGTTAATTTTTTTAACTTTTTTTTTAAGTGATGGGGACAGCTGGGCGCGGTGGCTCACGCCTGTAATCCCAGCACTTTGAGAGGCCAAGGCGGGCGGATCACGAGGTCAGGAGTTCCAAGACCAGCCTGACCAACATGGTGAAACCCCGTCTCTACTAAAAATACAAAATATTAGTCGGACATGGTGGCGCGCTCCTGTAATCCCAGGTACTCAGGAGGCTGAGGCAGGAGAATCGCTTGAACCCGGGAGGCGGAGGTTGCAGTGAGCCAAGATCGCAGCATTGCACTCCAGCCTGGGCAACAGAGCGAGAGTCTGTCTCAGAAAAAAAAAAAAAAAAGAGAGAGAGAGATGGGGTCTCACTCTGTTGCCCAGAGTGGTCTCAAACTTCTGAGCTCAAGCGATCTTCCCACCTTGGCCTCCCAAAGTGCTAATATCATAGGCGTAAGCCACCATGCCCAGCCATACCCGTCTCAATTAAAAAATAAATAAAATAATTGTTGTTTAAGACCAGCCTGGGCAACAGAGTGAGACCTCGTCTCTACAAAAAATTTTAAAAAAAATTAGCCAGGCATGGTGACCTGCACCTGTAGTCCCAGCTACCTGGGAGGCTGAGGTGGGAGAATCACTTGAGCCCGCAAGGTCAAAGCTGCAGTGAGCCAAGATCATACCATTGCACTCCAGCCCAGGTGACACAGCAAGACCCTCTCTCAAAAATAAATAAAATTGTGGCTGCAAAACAAGAGAGGAGGGAGCAGGGACTATAACCAGCCTAGGGCTTTTCTCTGGATCCTGCTGCCACCTCTTCTTAACTCCCATTCTGGAGCCCACCCATCTGCCTTACACCCACCAGCTCATGGCATCATCTTTCTCTATATCCCTTTCCCAGTGGCTTCCTCCCTATCCCAGTCCCCTGATGCAAATCCTGATGTCATCTGCCCCAGCCACCCATCTCTACCTCAACCCTCACTTCTCTGGTGAGAACTCTTGTGGATCCAGGGAGTGTCAAATCCCAGCCTGAACCAAACCTCAACTGAGATTATATTATCCTATAATATACCTTCTCCCCTCCCCTCCCCTCCCACCATTGGAATCACCCTCAGGAGAGCAGCTCCACTCTTCTCATCCAGAAGGGGCCCATGGCCCTAAGAAGGGCCATAGATTGCCATAGGTTGGCTTTTGGCATCCCCCAGCTCTCCTTCGACATCCCTGTGTGGCTCATCCCACCCTTACCCTGCTTCTTGTCCTCCCCACAGTCCTGTGGCCCAAGCTTTTCAAGTTGGTGAAAGAGACAGTTGTGATCTGACAAGGGCTAGACAGGTGCTTCACCCTCTGTCACCAAATACCCTCATTATCCAGCCCAAAACACCTCCATTCATTCCTTTCTATTCTGGCACATATTCGTTAATTCATTCCATCATTCACCTAACACCCTTGAAGCAGAGCCAATCACCTCTACCAACATCTTCCTAGAGACAAATAGATTAACTGGGGTGGGGTAAACTTTGAGAGCTCCAAAAGGAAAGCTCCAGAGGACGGGGGTTCTGCAGGGGTCCAGGCCTCTCAGGGACCACAGAGCAGACCTGCAGCAGAGGCAGAATTAGAGCCCATGGCTCTGGAGTCAACCAGGGCCAGGCAGAGGGCACCAGCTCTTGGCTGCTGAAAGTAGAGCTCTTCAAAAGTCATCCACTCAGTCAGCATCTACTGAGTGCCAGGCAGTGTCGTCACCTCTACAGCCGTCAGGGGAGAGAACAGCAGCCTAGAGAAAGGGAGTCTGAGCCCCCATCCCACGGGCTCGAAGCCCAGAGTAGAGGCCAGCACTAGTGCCTCTGGTGAGTATTACCATGGGAAGACCGCTGTTCCCAGCCCGGGTGCCCTGCTGGACTCTTGCTAGCCTGGCCCCAGCGAGGCAGGGCATCAGTTTCCCTCTCCAGAGGCCTTTCTTCCCCACCTATTGCCCTCTCAATCCTGTCCCTTCTTGCAGGAGCAACCTTCCCAGCAGAAAATTCCATTCTGCCCCAAGGACTCTCCTCCTTACTGCCCCTCACCCCGGGGAACGCAGGCTGCCCCTCTGATGCCTGCAGACTCCCTTCTCCCTCTTTCCTAACCGACCGTGGGCATTTTCCAATTTGGAGGTGAGGAGGAAAAACTAGGTTATTTTCAGCTCTTCCTTTACTGGCAACATTGACCCATTTATCCTTCTCTTCCTTCAGACCTCTCCCCCAAGGCCACTTAGCTTGGACATCTGTCCCAGCCAAAATCTCACCTTCCACTGTCCTTGCAGCCCAAAGGCTAGTCCAGCCTCTGAGTCCAGCTCTAGCCCTCTCTCCCCACACTAGGAAGGAAGCTGGACTGTAGAGCGCTCTGGGCCACCCCGCGTTAGCTGCTGCCTCTGGCCTCAGTTTCCCCAACTGCTCAGATTAATGATGCCTGCTCTCTAGACCCAGAGGACGAAGCTCTAAGGAGGTCACAGATGAGGAAGGGTCCAGTGCTCGGCGCAGACTCCGTGCGGAGCCCCTAGGCCCCGCAGCTCGCCCCTCCCTCTCCCCTACTCCCCTCCTCTCCCCCTCCCGTCTCTCCCCCGCCTCTTCGCTCTCGCTCGGCTCCCTCTCTAGCTGACCTTCCCTTTCCCTCACGCCTCCCCACGCCCGGCCCCTGGCCCCAGCACCCTGTCCGCTGCCGCCTCAGAGCCGGGAAAAGCAGCCGGAGCCCCCGCCGCCCCTGCCGCAGCGCGGGCGGTCAGCGCGCAGCCCGGCACCCGCAGCCTGCAGCCTGCAGCCCGCAGCCCGCAGCCCGGAGCCAGATCGCGGGCTCAGACCGAACCCGACTCGACCGCCGCCCCCAGCCAGGTGAGGGCAGCTGAGGGGAGGCAGGGAGCCGAGGTTCCCCCTTTACTGGAAGCGAGGGCTGGGGAGGCGCGGGGAAATTGGGTCCTTTTTCCTTGAAAGGAGGACCTGGGAGCCTTTTCGTGAAACAGGCACAAGGGCTTTCATTCCAAAGGGATGGATGGATGGAGGGAAGGTCTCGGGGGAGAGGGATTGGTTTTTGTTTTTTAAAAATAAGGATTAATTGGCTTCTGTGAAAGTGGGACTTCTTGGAAGGATGAGGGGCTTTCAAGGTAGGTTGGGGAGGGGGCTCTGGCAGGGCTTGAGGGAAGGGTTAACTGGTGAGTGGCAGGGCAAGGGGGAACTCTGCGATCCCCTCAGCCTGACATCGCTGCACCTCCCGCCTTGGCTCCGGGGCTCTGGGTCTCTCCAGCTCTGTGTCCCAGTTTTTCTCTTTGAAGATGACTATTTTGAACCCCACCTGGACAGAGCCAGGAACAGCCATTTCCTTCCCTGGAGCTATGACACCCACCTGACACACCCTCCCACACCTCTGACCTGCTCAGGGAAGGGGGTTCAGGGAAGGACGAGGATCCAGGGATCTGGGAATTGGGCAGTGTGGGTGAAACGGAGGCTGGGTACTGGGTGCACAGGAAGACCCTTGGCACTGGTGGGGTGCACCAGCCTTGGTCAGGAGGTTGCTGGGCAGCTGCTTCTGGGGCAGGACCCACTAGGAAAGCAGCGGTATGGAAAAGCTGAGCTGTTTTCCGTGTTCCCAGAAGACAAAACACTAGAGAATGTGTTTGCTTGCTTTTGTTTGGTTTTGCTTTCTGTCTTCCTCACCCTGGATCCCAAGACTCATTCCTCTGATCTCCTCTCCTAGTTTTGCAAAAAGGTAAACTGAGGCACAGAACAAATTGGCTGGACATACCTGTGTCTAGGAGGGAAGAGTGACAGGAAGGCATACGGAATTTGAGTCAAAAAACCTCAGTGCTCCATGGGTGACCTTGGGCCAAAATGCTTTCCCTTGTTGGGCCTCAGCTTTCTCATCTATAAAATGGGAGACGGCCCACCTGTCTTGTAGGTTTGCCAAGACCATGTGTCTAAAAGAACTTTGTAAAAGGGAATGCACTGGACACTTGTGAGGTGCCATCTTCACCACTGTGGATGGCCCCTTCCCTCCTCCCTGTCCTAACCAAGGGACACCTAACTAATCCATAGGACACCTTTGTGAGAATTACAAAAAGCACCTCCTCTGGAAGGAGACAGCATTCAGTTGGCTAGCAACTTGGGGTCTTTAGTATGAGAATGAGAAGGTGGCATACTTTACGCCAGGTGCTGCTCTAACATGTGGAGTGTGAGCTAGATTCTAGCTGGGACGTTCTGCACATCTACACCTGACAACCCTTCTCAGCAGGTCCCTGCTGTCTCTAAGAGACACAGAGCTACACATACAGGGCATTTTCTAAAGCAGCCCACATCCCAGGCTGTCTCCAGCTCATTTCTTTCCTGTTTTGTTTCCACATCAGGGCTTTTGGGTATTCAAGCCCCAAAGCACGTGCCCTACTAGGAAGCAGGATGGAATCCCTACATCAGAGAGTGACTCCTTTGAGTTAAGCAGTGCCTTCACCAAGCTCTCAGGGGTAGGAGTGACTGAGTCCCTAAACCCTTACGTCAAGAACTGGACCAGATCACTTTTGTCAGGGCAACCGACAGAAGCATCTGCACACCTCAGCACTGCCGTTGACAAACCATGTTCACACCTATCTCAGCACACCCCCACAGCAAGCCTGTGTGTGAGGTCTCTTCCCCATTTACATGGAGGAAGCCATGCCCAGAGAAGTTAGGGAACCTGCCCAAGGTTTCACAGTGTGAGTGGTAGAGCCAGGACCTGAACCCAGATCTGGCTATCTGTCCTCTCCAATCCATCACTCCCAAGGAACAAAGCTGCTGACTTCACAGCCTTGCCAAAGCCCTGCTGGAATTGTTGCTGTCCCTGTCCATCCCCAGTAGCCCCTGGCTCGCCACTCCTTCTTCTGAGTAACCAGCCTCCAAGCAAAGAGAAAGGAGTCACCTTCTCTTTTACTCTGATTTCAAGGGGGAGGAAGCTACCTCAAAGCCCAACTGTTCTCGCCTCCTCTGTGCAGGAAGGGCCCCTGGTGAGGCCAGGAAAGGGGTCAGGGAGCAGCGATTTCCTTTCCTGCTCAGATGGGGCTTAAACAGTAACGGTCATGCAGAGCGTTGACACAGAGAGCCAGTGCCTGCGTGAGTGGCAGACCAAGGACCATAAAATAACCACAGGAAAATGCAGCCAACTGGAGCTGAGGGGAACTCAGAGACTCCCCTGAATCCCCCGGGTTACCAGGGCCCCTGAGTGTCAAATGGGAGGTGTAGGGGCAAGCCCAGCAGACAGGGCTGTAGGCCTCTTTAACCAGAGTGTTTCTGCTAGTCTGTGTTCAAGCTTTCACTTAAGAAAGGGGTTTCGGCCGGGCGCGGTGGCTCACGCCTGTAATCCCAGCACTTTGGGAGGCCGAGGCAGGCGGATCACAAGGTCAAGAGATCAAGACCATCCTGGCCAACATGGTGAAACCCTGTCTCTACTAAAAATACAAAAATTAGCTGGGTGTGCTGGGTGCAAGCCTGTAGTCCCAGCTACTTGGGAGGCTGAGGCGGGAGAATCGCTTGAACCTGGGAGGTGGAGGCTGCAGTGAGCCGAGATCAAGCCACTGCACTCCAGCCTGGCGACACAGCCAGACTCCGTCTCAAAAAAAAAAGGGGGGGGGGCGGGGTTTCAAGGCCAGGCGCGATGGCTCACGCCTGTAATCCCAGCACTTTGGGAGGCTGAGGCAGGTGGATCACTTGAGGTCAGTTCAAGACCAGCCTGGCCAACATGGTGAAACCCCGTCTCTACTAAAGATACAAAAAATTAGCTGGGCGTGATGGTGCGCACCTGTAATGTCAGCTACTCAGGAGGCTAAGGCAGGAGAACTGCTTGAACCCGGGAGGTGGAGGTTGCAGTGAAACGAGATCGTGCCACTACACTCCAGCCTGGTTCACAGAGCGAGACTCCATCTCAAAACAAACAAACAAAACAAAGAAATGCAAATTATCAGGCCCATCACAGACCTACTGAATGAACTCTGGTGATGGGGCCCAACTATGTATGTTTGAACACGCCCTCCAAGTGACAGTGAGGCTCGCTAGAGTTTGAGAATCCAAGGATGTAGGAAAATTGAAACCTACTTGTGGGTCAAGGGCAGGGCTGGGAAGAGAACCCTTGTCTCCCGGTGGAGAGCCGGGCGTTTGGAAGCCGCCCCTGCCAACACTCCACTCTCGCCCCTCCGTCTCCCTCCCAGGCGCCATGCTGCCGCTTCTGCTGGGCCTGCTGGGCCCAGCGGCCTGCTGGGCCCTGGGCCCGACCCCCGGCCCGGGATCCTCTGAGCTGCGCTCGGCCTTCTCGGCGGCACGCACCACCCCCCTGGAGGGCACGTCGGAGATGGCGGTGACCTTCGACAAGGTGTACGTGAACATCGGGGGCGACTTCGATGTGGCCACCGGCCAGTTTCGCTGCCGCGTGCCCGGCGCCTACTTCTTCTCCTTCACGGCTGGCAAGGCCCCGCACAAGAGCCTGTCGGTGATGCTGGTGCGAAACCGCGACGAGGTGCAGGCGCTGGCCTTCGACGAGCAGCGGCGGCCAGGCGCGCGGCGCGCAGCCAGCCAGAGCGCCATGCTGCAGCTCGACTACGGCGACACAGTGTGGCTGCGGCTGCATGGCGCCCCGCAGTACGCGCTAGGCGCGCCCGGCGCCACCTTCAGCGGCTACCTAGTCTACGCCGACGCCGACGCTGACGCGCCTGCGCGCGGGCCGCCCGCGCCCCCCGAGCCGCGCTCGGCCTTCTCGGCGGCGCGCACGCGCAGCTTGGTGGGCTCGGACGCTGGCCCCGGGCCGCGGCACCAACCACTCGCCTTCGACACCGAGTTCGTCAACATTGGCGGCGACTTCGACGCGGCGGCCGGCGTGTTCCGCTGCCGTCTGCCCGGCGCCTACTTCTTCTCCTTCACGCTGGGCAAGCTGCCGCGTAAGACGCTGTCGGTTAAGCTGATGAAGAACCGCGACGAGGTGCAGGCCATGATTTACGACGACGGCGCGTCGCGGCGCCGCGAGATGCAGAGCCAGAGCGTGATGCTGGCCCTGCGGCGCGGCGACGCCGTCTGGCTGCTCAGCCACGACCACGACGGCTACGGCGCCTACAGCAACCACGGCAAGTACATCACCTTCTCCGGCTTCCTGGTGTACCCCGACCTCGCCCCCGCCGCCCCGCCGGGCCTCGGGGCCTCGGAGCTACTGTGAGCCCCGGGCCAGAGAAGAGCCCGGGAGGGCCAGGGGCGTGCATGCCAGGCCGGGCCGGAGGCTCGAAAGTCCCGCGCGAGCGCCACGGCCTCCGGGCGCGCCTGGACTCTGCCAATAAAGCGGAAAGCGGGCACGCGCAGCGCCCGGCAGCCCAGGCCCCTGCGCTGTCTTGACTGCGACGCATTCGCCGGCGGCAGGCGGGAAGGTGCTGACTACTGCGGGCCCGCAGGCCCGGGGAAGGGGTTGGAGGTTGGAAAGCAAGGTCCCCTTGGACCCTGGGAGGGTGAGGAGGTGGGAATTTGATGGAACCACATTCGCCTAGTCCGTTGGGGGCCTCCCTTTTATATCCCTACCTCGTCTAGCCCTCTGACTCATCATTGACCTACGACCTCAGCCTTAGCCCCCGGCTGATGCCTTTCTGTGACAAGGAACAGCACCCCATTACCCCACAGGGTGCATGGGATTCAAGGAAACAGTGCATTCCTTCTTCCAGCAGGGCGTGGGAATGAGATGAGGAGTTGATACCTGGTTGCCCTGACTCTTGCCTTCCCGGGATGGGGAGAGTGATTTGCCCAGAGCAGGGGTTAGACGCTTATTCCGACATAGAATGACACAGGCTCCAGGAGGCCGAAACAGAACATTTTATGAGAAGAGCAACACAGAATCAGGGCCACACCTGCTCCAGCCCACCTCCGCTTGTCTCTCCTTGGTCTCCCAGCCTTACTCCCCCCTCTGAGGTATTCACCCGACGCTTGTTGAGATATTGCCTCCCTACCCCAAAAGAGATAATGTTCCTCCCTCCCCCTGCTTCCCTCCACTCTTCCAACTGACAGAACTCAAAAAGTCGATTCTCCCAACCCAGATGGGAACTTGGAGGCTCAGAGACCCCAAATCCTTGGTTGTGCCTAAAAGGGGATGCTCAGCACCTAGAGGATTCCTGTGAATTCCACAGGACCTGTCACAGACTGCCAGGGTAGGAGTTGGAAGGTCTGACCAGGCCTTACTTGGGGCAGCTTCCCTTCAGCATCTCTTGAACACACTTCTCAACCCTGACCCCTGATCTCCACACACACACACACACACACACACACACACACACACTCACACACACACTGCCTGCAAGTCGTGCCCTTAGCTCTGTGCCCACTCCTTGCGCACTCCTTGCGACCCAGAGCCTGGGTTCTTAGCCTCTCAAGATCTAGGAAACAAGATCTGGTCGGGGTAAGCAGAGAGGGGGTGTCCAGGGTGCAAGCCAAGCCCAGAGATCTGAACACGGTGAAAAGAATCAGATGCCAGACAGAAGCCCCTGCGCAAGATGGGTCTGCCTGGGGGGTTGAGGAGGAGATGGGAGGGGGTAATGGCAGGTGAAAGAACAAAAGAGGAGGGTCAGGGGAAGGGGTCAAGGATGGAGGCCCAGGACCCCAGGGAAGGGGGCCGGTCCTGGGGGCAGAAACCTTTGCACAGGTCCCAGAGTGTTTCCTGTGCCAGGAGAGCGAAGACCTGGGCCCAGCGGCCCCGTTCCTCAGCCTCACTAGCTGCGTGGAGCCGGTAGACGCAGGACAGGCCTGTGAGGAGCAGATGTTCAAAGTCCCAAGTGCTAAGAGGAGGCCCCTTCCGCAGGTCCTGGAGCTGCTGCAGCCACTGCTCAGTGCCCTCCAAGTCACTGGGCACGTGGTGCTGCAGGAGGAGTCTGAGTCGGCGGCCTGGGTGTGTGGACGCTAGTTCCTCATCCTGGATGTGCAGCTGCCCCATGACATCCAGCTCCAGCCCAGCCCAGAGCAGCTGCAAGGGGAGCCATGTAAGGGGTGGGCTGTGGCCTGGGGAGCAGGGCAGGGAGCAAGAGTGGGCTGGGGGAAGGGGCAGAAGCAGGCAGCAGGACGCATGCTGGCTTGCCCCACCCAACCCTAGCAGGTCCACCCTGAGACATCCCCCTTCCCAACCCTGAGCTTAGGGACCTCTGGACGTGCCCACCCCCATGTCCCAGGCTGGGAGGAAAGACCTCAAACATCACTTCCGGGGCCTCTGGCTCCTGCAGGCCACCTCCCACGCTGGTGCTGTCCATGGGCTGCCCTGGGGCAGCAGAGAGGAGTCAGGCCCCTGCCATGCTACACCATGAACACCCCAGCCTCCCAGAAGTGCCCCTCTGCTGCCTGGTAGAGGTCCCGAGTGCTTCATCATTCTACAAAAGGGCAGGAATGCCATCCCATGCCCTCCTTTCCCCTCCCTCTCACGCACACACATGCACATTGACATTCACCCTCCCAGGCATAGGTCCTCTGATCTCAAAAGCATCATTCCAAGCCCAGTTACCATGTTGGCAAATGCCCAGGACACCTCCTTTAAATTGCACAATGCCCTTGTTAAAGAGCTCCAGGCCAACGGGTCACAAGACCCTTCCCCACCCTCCTCCCCTCCCTATAGTCATCTGAGGATAAAGTCACCTAAAACAGTGCCAGTGACTCTCCCAAGGACAAAGACCTCTTTGGAAAGAGCCTACTCTCCCTGCTCCTCCTCAGCAGTAAGGGAGGGAGGAGGAAGACAGGGCAGGGAGGACAGAGCAGGGGAGGATGTGAGGCAGGGAGGACGGGGCAGGGGAGGATGTGAGGCAGGGAGGACAGAGCAGGGGAGGATGTCTGTGGCAGCTCCGTCCGGCCCACACCTTGGGGTGTTGCCTCACCCTTGCAATGTTTGTTCCAAGCCCAGGCAGGTCAAGAGACCCTGCTTTGGGCATCAGTGGGAATGAGCCCAGGGCCAGCATTAAGAGCACCTAGGGCTATCTCCCTAGGTGTCACCTGTACCTTTCCAGTTCTGGGGGTGGGGCCCACACTGTCACCCACCACAGCACACATCAGCCTGGTACCCACCATGCCCACGCTTCTATGCCCGACTAGCCTCAAATAGAGCCAACTGTTAACTGCTGTCAGCCAGCAGCCTTGGCTCCTCTCCACCCACCCTGAAGCCTGGTACCTGCATGGGGCTGGGTTGTAGTCACACCAGAGAGGAGACAAATGGCTACCACCAGGCAAACCAGGAACTGCAGGGTCGCAGCCATGCTCAACCACGTCCTCTGAGTCTCACTCTGTTCAGCAGTTCTCTGCTCCCTCATCTGCCTGCCACACACCTCAGCTCCAACTTTCCACTGCGGGCTGCTCCAGAGCTCTGTAATGCGTGTCATTCTTCAGTGCTGAACAGGGAGGGGCTGGCTGTGGCCTCGGTCACCTCCCAGGGGCTCTTTCCATCCTTTAGAAATGGGGAATCTTTGGTTGTTGGCAGGAGCCTGGCTCCCTGCTTGTCAGGCCCTCAGCCTGTTCCTGCCCAGCTGGGCGGTATGCTTAGTTAATAGGAAAAAGGTGTTTGGTAGCAAATAGCTGTAGCTTGGCCCTCCCAAAGGGTAGGAAAGAGCTCAGGCAGTAAGACCATCTTACTGTCTGCGCCCTCAAAATATCCTGCGACTGAGGCCAGCCCCGACACCCAGTCTGGCCCAGCCCAGCCTCCAAGGAGCCCCTCAGCTGCCAAAAGCATCAGCTGCAAAGTCTTCCAACTGCATGGTGGGCTGGCTGGGCGGCCCCACAGACAGGCAGAGCCAAGCACTCCCCTCTCAGGCACTCTGCCGCAGGCTGGACAGACAGATCAGCTGGGCTAGGGCGTATTGTCCCCTGGCAGACAGACAAATCTGCAGCTCCTGAGTGGTTTTTGCCCCAGCCCTGGGACCTCTTGTTTCCTAGCAACATTCTTAATTCAGAGCGGGCACGGTGGCTCATGCCTGTAATCCCAGCACTTTAGGAGGGCAAGACAGGAGGATGGCTTGAGCCCAGGAGTTCAAGACCAGCCTGGGCAACATGGTGAGCCCTCATCTCTACAAATAAATTAGCTGGGTATGGTGGTACACACCTGTGGTCCTAGCTACTCAGGAGGCTGAGGTGGGAGGATCACCTGAGCCCAGGCAGTCTAGACTGCAGTGAACCACGATCACACTGCTGTACTCACTCTAGCCTAGGTGACAGACCAAGACCCTGTCTCAAAAAACCCCCACCAGCCTGGCGCGGTGGCTCACGCCTGTAATCCCAGCACTCTGGGAGGCCGAGGCGGGCAGATCACCTGAGGTCGGGAGTTTGAGACCAGCCTGACCAACATGGAGAAACCCCATCTCTACTAAAAATACAAAATTGGCCGGGCGTGGTGGCGCAAGCCTGTAATCCCAGCTACTCGGGAGGCTGAGGCAGAGTTGCTTGAACCCGGGAGGCGGCGGTCACAGTGAACCAAGATCATGCCATTGCACTCCAGCCTGTGCAACAATAGCAAAACTCCATCTCAAAAAAAAAAAAAAAAGAAGAAGAAAAAAAGAACCCCACCATTCTCAGCTCAGGCCAGAAACCAGGGAGATTCCTGTAGCCCAAGAGTGATTGGCTACCATGCCACACCCATCCTGAACCCTGTGGACTGTGAGAACTTTCAGTTACAGCTCCAGAATCCCTCTCAGAAATACATCCATGCCTGCAGGCCACCACGTCTGCAACTACACTCTTTAGTCCCATTAAAATAGACCTCCGGCTGAGTGTGGTGGCTCACGCCTATAATCCCAGCACTTTGGGAGGCCAGTGTGGATCATTTGAGGCCAGGAGTTCGAGACCAGCCTGGGCAACATGGTGAAATCCCATCTCTACAAAAACTATAAAAACTAGCTGGGCGTGGTGGCGTGCATCTGTAATCCCAGCTTCTTGGGAGGCTGAGGGGGGAGAACCGCTTGGGCCTGGGAGGTGGAGGTTGCAGCGAGCTGCGACAGCACCACTGCACTCCAGCCTGGGTGACAGAGCGAGACTCCATCTCAAAAAAACATAAAAGAGCTGGTCACAGTGGCTCACGCCTATAATTCCAGCACTTTGGGAGGCCGAAGCAGACAGATCACCTGAGGTCAGGAGTTCAAGAACAGCCTGACCAATATGGAGAAACCCCGTCTTTACTAAAAATACAAAATTAGCCAGGTGTGGTGGCACACACCTGTAATCCCAGCTACTCGGGAGGCTGAGGCAAGAGAATTACTTGAACCCAGGAGGCGGAGGTTGTGGTGAGCCGAGATCACGCCATTGTACTCCAGCCTCGGCAACAAGAGCGAAACACTGTCTCAAAAAAAAAAAAAAAAACCCATCAAAGACTCCCTGGTTTAGTAGTGCCTCTCTAAGAGAGCAGGGAAACACCCCTGCCTGCCTGTGTCCCCCCCAAAGCATCACTTCTCCACATTACAAGCACACACAAAGTGGTAAGTCTAAGTAGGAATTTATTTACACGGACACTCAATCATAGATAAGGCGCTGTCTAGGATCCACATGCGTTCCCTGGAGCTACTTGGCATCAGGCTTCTTGTCTCCGGCTTCAAGCTTGAGACTCTCCGGGGGTTGGCGATAGACTGGGAAAGCCTCCCAGGGGCTGTTCAGGTCAAATTTGCGGAACTCTTGGGCCAACTCCACCGGCTCTGCCACCACCCGCTTCACTTCATCATCATAACGTAACTGCAGGAGCAAAAGGCAGGCTTGAGCACTAAGGAAGTCCTTATTATAGCTACACAGGAGCCTACTTTTCACAAGGCTATTGGTGACTTCCCCAGCCCATTCCTCTCGGTTACTGACTCCTGTCCCAGCCTCTGTCAGTAAGTCTCCATCCATACCTGTGTTACCCGTCAGATCACATCCCAACCAGCTAGAGTGTGTGATTCCAAAATGTAGGATACCTCTCATGCCCTGCCAGCACCAGTCAGATTCCCCTGCTCACCACTCCCACATCAGGAGCTCCGAACTGACTGCTCACCCACCCACACACTCTTACAAGGTAATGGTAAGCATTTGCCCAGGATTAGGGAGTAGTCGGTGGCTGAAAAGAGTAAACCTAAACTGGCAGATACACAACCTCAGGCCCGGTGCCCTTGGCATATTCACAGTCCAGATCTAAAGCAGTACATTTGACACAGCTTTTCTTGTTACTTGGGGATCAAATGGATAAGGTAAGGATCATCAGGTGCTAGAGTGAAGAGGCAAACCAGGTGAGGCAGATAGCAGGAGTGGGGTGAAAGGGAGAAGCGAGGGAGATAGCCCTGCCCAGAAGTAGCCCAAGAGGGAAATAGGAGCATGCAAAGCACTAACACAGCAGGAGTGACTGGGAACTAAAAGAGCAGGGCTGGAGCACCACATCTCTGCATTTCTAAACAGTTACTTTGCTATAAAATTCACGAGTGATAATATTACACACTATCTTCCTGCAAATAACCTGCAGCACCACTGAAATTCTTTATTCACGTTACTGGTCCCACCTCAGAGGTAATTTTTGAGGGCTAAGCATCTGGTGTCTTCCCCGTCACTGCCTTCCCAGAGAGTCAGGGCAGGGTAAAATAATCCTCTACTTTCAGGTTTTAGGGACAGACTGTGTCGTCAAGGCTGCCTTGATCATTAAAATGATCATTACAATAATGGATAACACTGGCCAGGTGTGGTGGCTCACACCTGTAATCCCAGCACTTTTGAGAAGCTGAGGCGGGCAGATGACTTGAGCCCAGGAATTCGAGACCAGTTTGGGCAACATGGAGAAACCCCGTCTCTACAAAAAATACAAAAATTTGCTGGGCATGTTGGTGCATGCCTGTAGTCCCAGCTACTCGGAGGGCTGAGAGGTGGGAGGATTACTTGAGCCTGGGCGGTCAAGACTGCAGTGAGCCATGATCGCACCACTGCACTCCATCCTAGGTGACAAGAGTGAGACCCTGACACACACACACACACACAGCATCAATTGAGCCTTTACAATACAGCAGGCTTCATACATCATTTATTTATTTAGAGACAGGGTCTCACTCTGTTGCCCAGGCTGGAGAGCAGTGGCGTGATCTCGGCTCACTGCAACCTCCGCCTTCTAGGCTCAAGCGATCCTCCCACCTCAGCCTCTTGAGCAGCCAGGACCACAGGAATGCACCACCATGCCCCGTTAATTTTTCTATTTTTTTGTAGAGAAGAGGTTTCACCATGTTGCCTAGGCTGTTCTCGAACTCCTGGACTCAAGCACTCCTCCTGTCTTGGCTTCCCAAAGTGCTGGGATTACAGGCGTGAGCCTACACATACATTATTTAATGCCAGCCACAAATCTATTAAAGTGCTATTATTATTGCCATTTTAAGATGAGAAAACTGAGTTACAGTCAAACCAAGTAACTTGCCCCAGGTTACAAAAATGAAGCTAGGATCTGAATCCAGGGCCCATGCTCTTAAACCACCACAATCCACAGACCGTATTTCTTGCCATTCCCAGGGATCCCCTGGGTTCTCTGCAAGTCCCTCCCTGAGGCTGCTGTCCCAGTTCCAAGGCTCCTACCTCAACATAGCCAGATAGAGGAAAGTCTTTCCGGAAAGGATGTCCCTCGAAGCCATAATCTGTCAGGATCCTTCTTAGATCAGGGTGGTTAGCAAAGAAGACTCCAAACATGTCCCAGATCTAGGAAAGAGACCACCTCAAACAGCCAATCCATCAAGACTAACAACAGGGGGAAGGGGCTACACTGCATCCCGTAGTCTGAACCAGTTCTGCAACTGTGGCCCAGAGGCAGGTCCACCATATCCGGTAACTCACCTCCCTTTCATACCAGTTGGCTGCCTTGAACACAGAGACAGCAGACTCAATGGGCGTCAGCTCATCTGTGTAGGTCTTCACACGGATCCGTGAGTTGAAGCGCAGAGACAACAGGTTGTAGACAATCTAGGGAGAACAGAAGGATCTGGAGGGCTGAGATGGGAGTCCCTGATTGGGAGAGTTCTGCCCTGTGACCCTGCCTTCTATTCTGAACCTCAAAACCTCAAGATTCTCCTATGCTTACAACTACTTCCAAAGGCCCAGGCCACAGCTGTAGCTTAGCATGTCAGCATGCCTGTGTTTGCTCATGCTATTCACTTTGTCAGGAATATTTCCCTGGTCCATCTCACAAGGCTACCTGGTCTCCTACTCATATTTTAGATTCAGCACAAACATTCTCTCTTTTCAAAGAAGCCTCCCAGACAGGGCCAAGTGCCCCTCCTGCTTTCTTAAAGCATCCCTCTAATATCCTTTGTATTATATGTTACTACAGTAAGCTGTTTAGGTGTCTTTCTCCTTCACTAGAGTGTAGGGGACTCCTGGAGGACAAATACTTCATGTTATTTCTCTCTCCATCCCAGAGTCTGGCAAACAGTAGATAATCAGTAAAATATTAATAGCTAAATGTATTGAAAACACTGTGTGCAAGCAATTTACTTGAACTATCTCATTGGATCCTTATAACCATTCTATAAGATAAGGACAGCTTTATATTTATTTTCCCGGTAAGAAAATGAAAGCTCAGAAAGATTAAACAAGGGCCGGGCATGGTGGCTCATGCCTGTAATCCCAGCACTTTGGGAGGCCAAGGCAGGCAGATCACGAGGTCAGGAAATTGAGACCATCCTGGCCAACATGGTGAAACCCAGTCTTCACTAAAAAAATACAAAAAATTAGCCGGGCGTGGTGGCATGCACCTGTAGTCCCAGCTACTCAAGGGGCTGAGGCAGGGGAATCGCTTGAACCTGGGAGACGGAGGTTGCAGTGAGCCAAGATCATGCCACTGCACTCCAGCCTGGCGACAGAGCAAGATTCCGTCTAAAAAAAAAAAAAATTAAACAAAATATTTGAGTTATCTGAGGTCCCACAGCCATTTAGTGGCAGAACCAAGATCCAACTTCAGATCTACTTGACTCTGAAGTTCCAGTTTAACTGCTGTGTTCTATTGTATGTTACAAACTGAAATTAATATCCTTACCCCCAAAACCTTCTCAGATCTCCCAACTGACCTCAAAACGGTTTTGCCGAGTTGGGACGTCCACTGCTGTCAAGTCAACCAGAGATTTGAACTGTGCATTGGTGTGATCCCTGAGGAAAGTCAGCACTGGGATGACGCCATCAGGATGGATACAGACCTCTAACTCATTGAAGCAGGACACCTGCACACATGAAAGTGAGGGGAGAGGGAACAAAGAGCTACTGAGGGAACAGCTAACTTCAGCTGGAGTCACCTGGTTTAATGCTGAGAGAAAAGTCCAAGCTTGGGATGGAGGAATCTGTAGTTTCTTTGAAACAAGTCTGCCCACTCCCACATGCCCTGCGAACATGGTTCTTTCTTGACCCAGACCCAAATAACATTAGTAAGTATTACCTGAACTTGTTGGACATACTTGGGCAAGATTTCAGCCACATACTCTCCAAAAGCTGAGAGCTGCTTGTGGGCCACATCATTCCGTGGTCTGACAGTGGCTGGAAGGAAAAGGCATATTTAAAAAAGAAATGGAGAAGGCAAAAGCCAGCCCTGCATGCAGTCTCTTAGGCTTGTAAGGGATGTCAAATCCAGGAAAGGCTCCCTGAAGCACCTTGAGAAAGGTGCATGTGAAAGGTTTCCCTTCTAGGGAATACAGTGATGAAAACTTGGGGAAAGTGCCACCTTAACTACACGGTCCTCAGAAAGACTCTTACTATAGCAGCTGGGGTGTTCACCTCTTCTCAAAATTACTCCACAGTTCTTCCCTCACATTGCCTGCATTTCTGCTAAAGCAGTAGTCTCAGTTCTCCTGTCAGACTAAGAGCTGTTTGAGGATGGGAACTGAACTTTTGCCTCTCTGTAGCTCCTTAGCACGCAAGTTTATACCAGGTTCTCAAGCTAAGAACTTCAGGGCTTGAAGATCCCTCACAGACTCTCTCTCTCCTTAAAAGTGTGTGTGTGTGTGTGTGTCAATGAGAAAACTGAGGCCCAGGTGTGTGTGTGTGTGTGTGTGTGTGTGTGTGTGTGTGTGTGTGTGTCAATGAGAAAACCCAGGAAAGGAGAAATGCCAGGTCTCCTAACTCCCAGTCCGTGTATCTTGACTGTAACATAATATGTACATACTCATTCATGCAACCCTAAACCACTGAGCAATCACACATCACAAGCTACAGAATAATGGTTAGGTGTTTCTGCCTCTGGCAGCAGGCAGGCCTACTTTGTCATTCACTAGGTCTTTGACCCTGGGCAGTTTAATTCTTTGGACTGTTTCCTGATCTATAGTAAGAAGAGTAAGATGCTATCTACCCCATAAGGCTGTTGTGAGGACGAAATAAGATCATTCACTAAAACGCTTAGCGAGGTTCCAGGCACACATTAAGCACTCAATTAACGCTAGGTACTATTATTACAGGGCTCTGAGGCCTAAAGGTTATATTGCTTGCTTTCAAAGAGCTGACAGTTTAATCAGACAAAAAGGGGATGATTGAAATGGACAAGGAACAATCAGGGCCATAACAGGCCTAAGGGCACAGGGAGGGCTCGATTCTGCATGCAGGGTGAAGACCACTGCAAGTCAGATCTCCAAGATTTGCCAGGAGGACGTAGGGAAGGGCATCCTAGGGCAAGGACAGGCATCTAAGGGGCCCCGCCGATAGTTCAGAGAAGAGCGCTGCCCGCACATACTCACGGCGCGTGTCGGCCCCGGCGCTCTCCCGCCTCACCGGCAGCAACAGAACGGAGGGTCGCCCAGTCCCTGCACAGGGAGATAAAAGGCACAGACGCGCGGGATGAGCCCTGAGGAGCTCTCTGCACTGGGCACGCCGCTGCGCCTGACCCCGGTCTCAGCTGGCTGCCCGTGCTCACCCCTGGTCAGCGCCGAGGCCCCCAAGATCCCGCGCCACCACAGCCTGGCTACCGCCGCCGCCGCCATGTTACTCAGATGCAGACTAGGCAGCGGACGGAAAGACAGCAGGACACGGAGCCCCAAGGGCACGGACCGGAAACGGAAGTGTGCAGCAGATCTTCTTCCGGGCGGACGTGGAGCCGGAAGCGGAGGTTCCGGGCTCCGGGATGAAAGGAGGGAACGCAGGTGAGAAAGCGAGACAGGCAGGTAGGGAAATCGTGAGGTGAGCGTGGTCCTAGCTCCTTGTGGCAGAGCCTAGAGAGAAGGCGAGGACGCTGAAGAACCAGGCGGGTGAGAGGAGGGGAGGGGGCGGGCGTTTTGGGTTCTACGCTACACACCCCTCCCCCGCTCTCTGAGCCAAGCTTTTGACGAGGGCGGGCGGGCCTGAGCGGGAAGAACGGTTTCCCTGGCGACCGTTTCCAAGACGACTCAAGGTGGAGCGGGGACATTGCACAGGGTGATGGGCCTCCCAGTGCCCCGGCCTGGGGGCGGATGGACTCAAGTTCTGGGACGCAGCCATAGGGAGTCTTTCGAGCGAGCGGGGAAGTGTGGGGGAAGCAGCTCAGAAGAGAGCAAATGTAAGACCCACGGATATCCCAGGCTAGGCTTCATATGGAGCGTCTTAACTCCATGCGCTGGGAAGGAGAGGACCTGGCCACTAGGCCGGGGCCAGGGGTCCTTTTTGTCTGATTCTACTGCCCCTGAGCTTCACTAGTTTTATGCCCCAGTTATTTGGTTAGTAAGGCTTTTACGATCACAGGCCTCTCCCAGCCCTTTGCTTTCATATATTGACCTAAATCCCAAGTCTTTTGTTAACATTATGGAAAGGAATTATTCCGTGTTTTCTCAGGAAAACACCCAGAGTTGGAACTTTTATTTATATCATTAGCGGAGGGGCGCCACTGGGGATAACGAACCCAGATTTGGTTAAAGGATAGCGTCAGGGACATCATGGACAGGGCCAGGACTAAGGCCAATCTGGACCCACTTTGCTCTCACTTCTTCCTTTTCCCTCCCTGAGTTGGACAGTTGGATTCACAGACTATGGCTGTGAATTCCTCAGGTTACTCAAGATGGTGTTGCTTTGCAGACAGCTGGCAGAGAGAGAAGTTGGCTAGCATGGAATCACCAGAGGAGCCTGGAGCATCCATGGATGAGAACTACTTTGTGAACTACACTTTCAAAGATCGGTCACATTCAGGCCGTGTGGCTCAAGGCATCATGAAACTGTGTCTAGAGGAGGAGCTCTTTGCTGATGTCACCATTTCGGTGGAAGGCCGGGAGTTTCAGCTCCATCGGCTGGTCCTCTCAGCTCAGAGCTGCTTCTTCCGATCCATGTTCACTTCCAACCTGAAGGAGGCCCACAACCGGGTGATTGTGCTGCAGGATGTCAGCGAGTCTGTTTTCCAGCTCCTGGTTGATTATATCTACCATGGGACTGTGAAACTTCGAGCTGAGGAGTTGCAGGAAATTTATGAGGTGTCAGACATGTATCAGCTGACATCTCTCTTTGAGGAATGCTCTCGGTTTTTGGCCCGCACAGTGCAAGTGGGAAACTGCCTTCAGGTGATGTGGCTGGCAGATCGGCACAGTGATCCTGAGCTCTATACGGCTGCCAAGCACTGTGCCAAGACCCACCTGGCCCAGCTGCAGAATACAGAGGAATTTCTCCACTTGCCCCACCGCTTACTCACAGATATCATCTCGGGTAAGTTTAGGGAGGGGACACACCATACCCAGTTACTTGGCTATGATGTTCAGTGAATGTTCTAGTTTAGGAGAAAAGAACCCTCAAGCTTCCTGGTGTTAGTTTACATTATTATTCCTGCATTCTTACTGAGATAACCTGCTGAGAAAGATTGAGGTGAGATTCAGTGTAATTGCTGTCAGAGACACAGTGCGTTAGAGGAAGAAGTCAGGAAAATTAAAGCACAACATTTAACCACACAGAGTAGTGAGGAGTGATTTGTATTATACTCTAATTTATCCTGTACTTCGTATGTCCCAGTGGGTCTAATTACCTATGTAAATTGGTGATGGGGCAAGATATCTAAGACTAAAAACTTTTTTAGTGATGGGCCAACGTTAGGAAACAATCCTAACCTTGCAAGTGAGATATAGCCATACTTAAGGTGTGAGGTTGGCCAGGCATGGTGGCTCACACCTGTAATCCCAACACTTTGGGAGGCCGAGGTGGGTGGATCACCTGAGGTCAGGAGTTCAAGACCACCCTGGCCAACATGGCGAAATCCCGTCTCCACAAAAAATACAAAAATTAGCTGGGCATGGTGGCTTGCACCTGTAGTCTCAGCTACTTGGGAAGGCTGAGGCAGGAGAATCACTTGAACCCGGAGGCAGAGGTTGCAGTGAGCCAAGATCACGCCACCGCACTCCAGCCTGGGCGACAGAGCAAGATTCCATCTCAAAAAAAAAAAAAAAAATGGTGTGAGCTCTGTAGCTTAGTAGGTTGCTTCCATGGCAGATGGGAAAATATCGAGTCATCCATTTTGATTTTAAAAAAGCAAGGCACATACTCTGGTTTCTCTTCAGATTGTATAAATCTTTTACCTTTTACTAAAGATTTCCATGGAGAGGAACGGTTATGAGTCTTTACCCAACTTTTTGAGGGCTCATGTAACACATGAGACTATCTTTAAAAAAGAGCAAGGTACGGGCCAGGCGCAGTGGCTCACGCCTGTAATCCCAGCACTTTGGGAGGCCGAGGCGGGCAGATCACGAGGTCAGATCAAGGCCATCCTGGCTAACATGGTGAAAGTACAAAAAATTACCTGGGCATGGTGGCAGGCGCCTGTAGACCCAGCTACTCGGGAGGCTGAGGCAGGAGAATGGCGTGAACCCGGGAGGTGGAGCTTGCAGTGAGCCGAGATCACGCCACTGCACTCCAGCCTGGGCAACAGTGCAAGACTCCATCTCAAAAAAAAAAAAAAAAAAAAAAAAAAGCAAGACCCGCCAGGCATGGTGGCTCATGCCTGTAATCCCAGCACTTTGGGAGGCCAAGGAGGGAGGATCCCTTGATGGCAGGAGTTTGAGACCAGCCTGGACAACAGTGAGACCTTGTCTATACAGAAAATAAGAAAATTAGCCAGGCGTGGTGGTGCACACCTGTAGTCCCAGCTACTTGGGAGGCTGAAACAGGATTGCTTGAGCCCAGGAGGTTGAGGCTATGGTGATGGTGATTGCGCCATTGCACTTCTGCCTGAGCGACAGGGTGAGACCCTGCCTCAAAAAAAAAAAAAAAGCAATTTTAGGTTAATTTCATGTATATGTGTATGTATGCATGTACACATATACACATGCCCAGCAGTAGTCTAATAAAGTGGTTCACATCTTTAAAGTCCCTTACTCTGAATTTCTCTTTCGGATTGTCATTGACCATGCCTTTCCTCTGGCTCTCACAGATGGAGTTCCGTGTTCTCAGAACCCAACAGAGGCAATAGAAGCCTGGATCAACTTTAATAAAGAGGAAAGAGAGGCTTTTGCAGAGTCACTCAGGACAAGCTTGAAGGTAAGGCAAATCTCTTAATTGTTGAGACTGCATACTCTCCATGCATTCTTGCCATCAGTTAATTTGGCCTCTTTTTTTTTTTTTTTGAGATGGAGTCTTGCTCTGTCGTCCAGGCTGGAGTGCAGTGGCGCAATCTCGGCTCACTGCAAGCTCCGCCTCCCGGGTTCACACCATTCTCCTGCCTCAGCCTCCCTAGTAGCTGGGACTACAGGTGCCCACCACCACGCCCGGCTAATTTTTGTATTTTTAGTAGAGACAGGGTTTCATCGTGTTAGCCAGGATGCTCTCGATCTCCTGACCTCGTGATCCGCCCGCCTCCGCCTCCCAAAGTGCTGGGATTACAGGCATGAGCCCCCGCGCCCGGCCTTTTTTTTTTTTTTTTTAAGACGGATTCTCACTTTGTTGCCCAGGCTGGAATGCAGTGGTGCAATCTCAGCTCGCTGCAACCTCCACTTCCCAGTTTCAGGCTATTTTCCTGCCTTAGCCTCCCAAGTAGGTGGGATTACAGGTGCTGCCACCACGCCTAATTTTTGTATTTTTAGTAGAGATGGGGTTTCACCATGTTGGCCAGGCTGGTCTGGAACTCCTGATCTCAGATAGTCTGCCTGCCTCTGCCTCCCAAAATGCTGGGATTACAGGTGTGAGCCACTGTGCCTGGCCTAACCTGGCCTCTTTGTGTGTCTGTGTGTGAGAGAGAGAGATGGGAGTTTCGCTCTTGTTGCCCAGGCTAGAGAGAGAGAGATGGAGTTTCGCTCTTGTTGCCCAGGCTAGAGTGCGATGGTGCGATCTCGGCTCACTGCAACCTCTACCTCCTGGGTTCAAGCGATTTTTCTGCCTCAGCCTCCCGAGTAGCTGAGATTTCAGGCGCCCACGACCACGCCCAGATAATTGTTGTATTTTTAGTAGAGATGGGTTTCACCATGTTGGCCAAACTGGTCTCGAACTCCTGACCTCAGGTGATCCACCCACCTTGGCCTCCCAGAGTCTTGGGATTACAGGCATGAGCCAATGCGCCTGGCCTAACCTGGCCTCTTTTTGATGGCCAGATTATGAATGGTCGTCTCTGTTTTTTGTTTTGTTTTGTTTGTTTGTTTTTGAGACAGAGTCTTACTCCGTCTCCCAGGCTGGAGTGCAATGGCATGATCTCAGCTCACTGCAACCTCCGCCTCTCAAATTCAAGCAATTCTTCTGTCTCAGCCTCCCGAGTAGCTGGGACTACAGGTGCATACCACCACGCCCGGCTAATTTTTGTATTTTTAGTAGAGACAGGGTTTCACCATATTGGTCAGGCTGGTCTCGAACTCTTGAGCTTAGGTGATCTGCCCACCTCGGCCTCCCAAAGTGCTGAGATGACAGGTGTGAGCCACTGTGCCCGGCCATCTCTTGTTTTTTTAATTTTTTGTATTTATTTATTTATTTTTGAATAAGTTATCTCTGGCTTGAAGTTGATATGAGCTGGGGAGAAGGATGTCTTTGTAACCCCAGTACCACCAATCTATGAGCTTTCAAAGTTCCTTGAGAACTACTGTCATCAAGTTAACAATCTTAATCACCCTTTGTCTGAAGCACTAGCTTATGAGAGTTTTTTAAAAGCTACAAGGATGAATACAACAGATTCTCCGCCCGGCATAAATTGCCTCAAAGAAAGTGACTAGAGGAGAGTTGGATGCCATACAGTAATTAGAGAGTAGTATGATAAAGCTAGGAACAAGTGTGAGGGCCAGGATCTTAAGGATATGTGTCTTAGCTGAGCCTTAGCCTAGAATTTAACAGCTGTCATATAATTTTAATTTTGCCAATAGGAAATTGGGGAGAATGTGCACATTTACCTGATTGGGAAAGAGTCATCTCGTACCCACTCGTTGGCTGTGTCCTTGCACTGTGCAGAAGATGACTCCATCAGTGTAAGTGGCCAAAACAGTTTGTGCCACCAGATCACTGCGGCCTGCAAGCATGGTGGAGACTTGTATGTGGTGGGAGGGTCCATCCCACGGCGCATGTGGAAGTGCAACAATGCCACCGTTGACTGGGAGTGGTGTGCTCCTTTGCCTCGGGACCGGCTCCAGCACACCCTGGTGTCTGTGCCCGGGAAAGATGCCATATATTCACTGGGTGGCAAGACACTGCAAGATACCCTCTCCAACGCAGTCATTTATTATCGCGTAGGTGATAATGTGTGGACAGAGACAACTCAGCTAGAGGTGGCTGTGTCAGGGGCTGCTGGTGCCAACCTCAACGGGATCATCTACTTACTAGGGGGGGAGGAGAATGATCTGGACTTCTTTACCAAACCTTCCCGACTCATCCAGTGCTTTGACACAGAGACAGACAAATGCCATGTGAAGCCCTATGTGCTGCCCTTTGCAGGCCGCATGCACGCAGCTGTGCATAAAGATCTGGTGTTCATCGTGGCTGAAGGGGACTCCCTGGTGTGCTACAATCCCTTGCTAGACAGCTTCACCCGGCTTTGCCTTCCTGAGGCCTGGAGCTCTGCCCCATCCCTCTGGAAGATTGCCAGCTGTAACGGGAGCATCTATGTCTTCCGGGACCGATATAAAAAGGGGGATGCCAACACCTACAAGCTTGACCCTGCCACTTCAGCCGTAACTGTCACAAGAGGTATTAAGGTGCTGCTTACCAATTTGCAGTTTGTGTTGGCCTAAGGCTGTGGGGAGGGGAGGAGAACTGCTCACTCCTTTTCCCTCCCCATACAAACTCAAAGTCCCCTGGGCCCCAATTCAGAGTTATGTTTTTTTTGGCACATACTAGAAAGGCAGTGCCTCAGCCCTTCCCTGAATCCATGGAGGTGTTCTGTTTGGGGCTTTTTAGACTGCTGCTGCTCAGCTGGTTGCTTGAACTGACAGTAGGCCAGCCTGTTCTCTGCCATTCCCTAGTCATCCTGTGCCTCACCACAGCTTGCTTAGAGCAAGCCTTTTCTCAGACCTTAGGCACAGCCTCTCCTCTTTACCTGATCAATGTTAAATGTAAGCACCCCTGATCCCAGGACATAAGGAAAGATGCCCAATTGTACTTTTGTTCTATAGCCTGTGAAATGGCTAGTTGATCATTTTTCCACAAAGAATTAGGTGTTAAGAGTTTTCCTTCAGGCTTTACTTAGGAGAATGGACTAAGCTGAAGGTGTACTTCACCAGCAAGAGTCAACTCTAGAATTCAGGATGTTCCTTCTATTGTTTTCTTATCCATCTGTCAGGAAATGTAACTTTGGTTTTATTTTTGGCTTATTCCAAGGGGTAAGCCAGAAAATAGAAATGATTATTTCTGATTAATAGCAGAAACTTTTTCAATCTCAAATATATAAGGTGTCTGCTCTTTTAAAAGCTCTAAGCTAAGTCAAGAGCTAGGAACTGTTGATACAAATAAAAGTTTTTGAAGGGATATGTGTGTCTGTGTTGAATTCCAAAGGGGTGACTTTGAAGGGGTGAGGGTGTTTCATTCCCTCAGGGGAACTCATTACGTACCATCACATGGCTCAGTCTGCAGCAGTCCTGACTGCAGCCCATGCTCCCACTTCTCCAGATAGGATCCCTACTCCACAGGGCCAGTGAGATTCAGATTCTGACAGTGGCAAAGAGCCAGAGGTGAGTCTCCTTTTTTCAAGTGCTAAATGTTTTTTGAGTTGTGGTGCTAAATATTATTAGGCACAATATTAGGTACATAATAGATTTTTGTTAAAATACTTCTTTAGCCCTATTCAAGAAAAGATGATAGCCCCATCCCTGTCCTGTATCCCATGAATACAAGCCACACTAAATCTTTTCCTTTCTAGCCACACAACAGTGTTATTTCAAGAAAACAAAACAAGTCAGAGAAAGAAAAATTACCTATTACCTATTGGCACATTTCTGTTACGTCAAGTCTGGGCTTAAGCCCTGTTGGTCCTGTTAAGCTCTTTTTGTTCTGTATCAAGCAGGAGTGTCTTGAGTTCTTTCTAATCCCCATACATCATGTCTTTGAAATGACAAAAGTCCCATCCTTTGTTGCCCGTGCAGTAATCTGCTTGTGGAACTCTTTAAGAACATCCAGCTGGCCAGGCCTGATGTGGATGTATGACCGGATCTTGGCGATGGCTCTTACAGCCTCCTCTGGACTCCATTTGTGCACCTGAAGTACAGGGTTGGGAAATCAGCAGAGAAAGAAAGAAGCAGGTGTCAAGGTGCCCTTGACCCATGAGCAGGTGCTAAAGGACTCTGAGATTTCATTTCTTTGGAAACTCTATTTTGCAGGCATTAAAAATCATGCTGCTTGTATTATAAATGGGAGAGTACTGTAACCACTGCAGTCAGCCAGTCTCACAATACTATGCAACAGGTCAGGTGGAAAGTCAGTCTTTCTACCCAATTCTTGCTCTGCCAAATCCTAGAAAAAGGAAGTTGCACATGGGAAGCTGAGATCCTAAGTTCAAGACTGCCTCAGCCTACTCCACGTCCTCTCCGAGCTGGGCTTTTGGTTACAAGAATTTCTAGGAACGAGTATGCAATAGATGTTTTTATGCAACTTGTCACCATGGCTAGAAAAACAAGTAACTCATAATTTAAATAGGAGGGTTAACATGTCCTAAGGATACTCATTGGTTTAGAACTCAACAGAACCAAGAAAATACAGATTTCTAACTTGCTAGTTCAATTCTCACTTGGTGCAAAATACCCTCCTGAGACCCTGCTTCCAGCAGAGCCCTTATGACCAAAATTTTAATATTACTCAACTATATACACACTAGTCCACAGTAACACAAGGCCAGACTTAGCTATTCACATGACTTAGAAAATGCTCTGTGGGAGCCAGACATTTTGTAACTTAGGTTACAAAATGATGATGGACTACAGGGTATTTGTTTCTCCTAAATATTTTTAAAGCATCCCACCTGCCAATTATGACACATTAATAGGCAGAATCCAGTTTGGAGCCTGTTTCCAGAAACTAATATCCAGAACTTTACTCTGGAATACTTGAAGAAACTTGAGTACTATAAAGCTGAAAATGATCAGCACTATTATCTATGATATTGTTTCCTGACATGGTATTAGAACAAGTGTCTAGCCTTTTGCTGGGGTTGAATGGCTTTTGCAACTCCGTTTTTAGAGTGCCCGCTATAGGCCAGCACTTGATGTAATTTCTTATTTAAACTTCATAATACATTTAGTTTGAGAAAACATGTTGCATAAGGCAGAAGTCACTTTTGCTGATCCTCACTGGCAGGCAGCAGAGCCCCAGGTTACCCTGTCACAAGGCTCAGGTGCTTTCCATCATACCAAACCACCTCCCAACAGCCTGAAATCAAGCACACAGCTCCTTCCAACAAGGCCCACCAGTAGACCATGCTATTGAAGTTCTGGAAATCTGCTATAAATGGGACCAGAAAGACTTTTTTTTTTTTTTTTTTTTTTTGAGACAGTTTCACTCTGTTGGCTATGCTGCAGTGCAGTGGCACAAATCACGGCTCACTGCAGCCTCTACCTACTGGGCTCCGGTGATCCATCTCAGCCTCCCAAGTAGCTGGGACTACAGGTGCACACCACCACACTGAGCTAACTTGTTGTATTTTTTGTAGAGACGGTTTTGCCATGTTGCCCAGGCTGGTCTCAAACTCCTGGGCTCAAGCCATCCTCCCATCTCAAGCCTCCCAAAGTGCTGGGATCATAAGTGTGTACCACGATGCCCAGCCCAGAAAGAACTTTGGTACCTGAATCAGGTATGCTGCCACCATAGTGGCACTCCTGGAGCGCCCAGCCTTACAATGCACGTAAACACACTGGCCCAGCGACTGGTACTTGAGAGCAAATTGGACTCCCTTCTGGAGGTTGTCCAAGGTGGGGATCCCAGTCATGTCTACTGTGCTGAGCCGCAGCTGCTCGACTCCTAGTCTCTTCCACTCCTGGAACCAGGTCCACCAGTATGAAAAAGAGAATGAAAAAAAACTATGTGGGTGGGATGATAAGGGGCTCCCAAGAAGCAGCAAAGCAACAAGGAAGTTTCAGGGTTTACTACAATGGGAATACACTGTTGCCTGTTTTCTAAAATAGAAACTTCTTACAGAAATGCTTTTTTTTCCCATTCCAGGTGAGGACAGAAATGTCTTTAAAATGGCTGGCCTACATGGTTGGTTTTTCATCAAGCAACAGCTATGCTGCTGAGTTAGAATTATGTCCAAGATTTAAAGTGTTCCTTTTTTTTTTTTTTTTTTTTTTAAAGACAGAGTCTCGCTCTGTTGCCCAGGCTGTAGTACAGTGGCGTGATCTCAGCTCACCACAACCTCCACCTCCCAGTTTCAAGCGATTCTCCTGCCTCAGCCTCCCGAGTAGCTGGGACTACAGGCACGCGCCACCAAGCCTGGCTAATTTTTGCATTTTTAGTAGAGACGGGGTTTCATCATGTTGGCCAGGCTGGTCTCGAACTCCTGACCTCAGGTCATCCGCCTGCCTCAGCCTCCCAAAGTGCTGGGATTACAGGTGTGAGCCACCACACCAGCAGGTAAAGTGTTCTTAAACTACCCTTTGGGTACTTGAATATTTAGCTGCAAGATATTAGCTATATACATTTTAGCTGCAAAAAATTCAGCTGCAAACGTCTTAACATTTTATTTTGGCCGGGCATGGTGGCTCACGCCTGTAATCCCAACAGTTTGCAAGGCCAAGGCGGGCAGATCACCTAAGGTCAGGAGTTTGAGACCAGCCTGGCTAACATGGGGAAACCCTGTCTCTACTAAAAATACAAAAATTAGCCATGCGTGGTGGTGGATGCCTGTGATCCCAGCTACTAGGGAGGCTGAGGCAGGAGAATTGTTTAACCCTGGAGGGAGAGGTTGCAGTGAGCAGAGATCGCACCATTGTACTCCAGCCTGGGAGACAAGAGCAAAACAACATCTCAAAAATATATATATATTTTATTTTAGAGACACGATCTTGCTATGTCACCCAGGTCAGAGAGCAGTGGTATGCAATCATGGCTCCTTGCAGCCTCAAACTCCTAAGCTCAAGCAGTCCTCCCACCTCAGCCTCCCAAGTAGCTGTGACTACAGCTGCATGCCACTGTGCCTGGCTAATTTTGTTATTTTTGTGTGTGTGCAGATGGGGGTCTCGCTATGTTGCCCAGGCTGGTCTCAATCTCCTAGCCTCAAGCCATCCTCCTGTCTCAGCCTCCCAAAATGCTGGGATTACAGGCATGAGCCACCAGGCCCAGCCAGTGTAATTTTTTTGCATAATTTTGGCACCTGTGTAGTGATTCAGCTGCAGATTTGGGGTACAATATTTTGCCAAGGCTTTCTATTTCTCTGTCCATAAGTCTCTTTTTTACCACTGTTTTTTGAGGGAACATATGGTAGAAAATAGGGTTATCATTTTAAAATTAAAACAATGGGCCGGGCATGGTGGCTCATGCCTGTAATCCCAGCACTTTGGGAGGCCAAGGCGGGCGGATCACGAGGTCAGGAGATTTAGACCATCCTGGCTAACACGGTGAAACCCCGTCTCTACTAAAAATACAAAAAAATTAGCCGGGCATGGTGGCAGGCGCCTGTAGTCCCAGCTACTTGGGAGGCTGAGGCAGGAGAATGGCATGAACCCAGGAGGCGGAGCTTGCAGTGAGCCGAGATCGTGCCACTGCACTTCCAGCCTAGGCGACAGAGCAAGACTCCGTCTCAAAAACAAAAACAAAAATAAAATTAAAACAATGCACTGACCTTCATTAGTGCAATGTTATCACTTAGAAGAAATAGGTGGCCAGGTGTGGTGGCTCACGCCTGTAATCCCAGATTTTGAGAGGCCAAGGTGGGCAGATCACCTGAGGTCAGGAGTTCGAGACGACTTTGGCCAGCATGGCAAAACCCTATCTCCATAAAAAATACAAAAATTAGCCAGGCATGCTGGCAGGCACCTGTAATTCCAGCTACTTGGGAGGCTGAGGCAGGAGAATCACTTGAACTGGGAGGCAGAGGTTGCAGTGAGCTGAGATTGCACCATTGCACTCCAGCCTGGGCAAGGGAGTGAGACTCCATCTCAAAAAAAAAAAAAAAAAAAGAAAAGAAATAGAAATAAGGTCTCTGGCAACTGGGCAAACTTTATGCTTTAAGACTTCAGATATGCTCCAGCTACTCTTGTTATTAACCTCTTAATAATGAGTATCAGAGACTTTATGGTTCTAAATGAAGATCAGTAATTCTTTTTTTTTTTTGAGACGGAGACTCACTCTGTCGCCCAGGCTGGCGTGCAGTGGTGCAATCTCGGCCCACTGCAACTTCTGCCTCCCGGGTTCAAGCGATTCTCCTGCCTCAGCCTCCCAAGTAGCTAGGATTACAGGCGCCTGCCACCACGCCCGGCTAATTTTTTTGTGTGATTTTAGTACAGACGGGGTTTCACCATTTTGGCCAGGCTGATCTCAAACTCCTGACCTCAGGTGATCCACCCACCTCAGCCTCCCAAAGTGCTGGGATTACAGGTGTGAGAGCCACCACGCCTGGCCAAGTCACAAATATTTTCAAGGTTTCAAAAAAATCCTCAGGTTGAAATAATAGTATCTTCATCATGCTATATCAGTAAAACAAATGAGAAAGATAATTGTTTAGTGCTATTAGATGCCAAACGCTATAAAGATAGGGCAACATTAAAAAAAAATCAAATAGCTCAGATTGTAGATAACATCTTCTAATAACCATTGTGGAAGATTCCACAAACAGGCCAGTCACATTTAATGAAAGTTATGTTTTAGGCCTAAACTTTGTTATGAGAGAACTTTGGAGTTCCACCATGATTTCTAATATATGACTAAAAATTCCCCCAAATCAGAGCCAAATGAACTCTACAGTTTTCAATGGATAGTTTTATGAAAAATCTGGGGAGGGGAGAGTGTTAAGGGGGTGCTTTTCGTCTTACAGTTGGCAGGGCCTTCATCTGGAATCCCTAACACTGGGAATGCTGACCCATACTCAGAGCTCAAAGTATAGAAAGAATGAATGAAATCAGGAAGGCATGGGAAAGTTGCCTTTCAATTTTAGTTTCTGATTTTGGTTACCGAAATAAGAATACATTACATTTGTTCACAAAGGAGAAATCAGGCTTTGTCAACTTCCACTTTTTTTTTTTTTTTTTTTGAGACATTGTTTCACTCCTGTCGCCCAAGGCTGGGCTGGAATGCAATGGCGAGATGTCGGCTCACTGCAACCTCCACCTCCCGGGCTAAAGTGATTCTCCTGCCTTAGCCTCCCAAGTAGCTGGGAGTACAGGCGCACGCCACCACTCCCGGCTACTTTTTGTATTTTTGTAGGGACGGGGGCCTCGCCATGTTGCCCAGGCTGGTCAGGAACTCCTGGGCTCAAGTGATCTGCCCGCCTCCTCCTCCCGCCTCCCAAAGTGCTGGGATTACAGGCGTGAGTCCCCGCGCCCGGCCCAACTTGAACTTTTAAATAAACGCCTTTCACAGCTTCTAGCCTACCTCCAGGTGCCATTTAGAGGCACAGACCGGAGGCAAAGCAGCTTGAGACACCTGGCTCCGGTGCATGGTGACCTCCCCCACACTTCTCTAGCCGTCCCAGGCTCAGGGCGGTGGGCGAGGGGGAGCGGGCCCCCGAGCCTGCCCCTCGGCCCGGTCCCTCACCTGTGAAGAGTTGCACAGGAACCTCGTCTCGTACTCCTCGTTCATGGTGATCACCCCGCGCACGTTCTCGTCCTGTACCAGCTGCCGAGGCAAAGAGGTGGCTCAGCAAAGACGGTGGAGACCCCAGCGGCCCGACAGGGACGGAGCGGCGGGGACGGGGCAGGGGCCCGGGCTCCCCGGCCCGGCTCACCTGGCGCGTCAAGCTCCGCAACGGCAGCGCGCCCAGCAGCACGGTGGGGTCGATGCGGTGGTACCAGTCCCGGTGCGCCCGACCCGGCACCTTCCCGCGGAACAGGGTGTAGAGCAGCGTCGGGTAGAAGAGCACCCGCGCCAGGCCGGCCTCCAGCAGCGCGGTGGCCGCCATCCCGGCCCGGCGCAGCGGCGACCCGTCGGCCCCCGCGCTCGCGGTCCGGACCCGCGAGAAGAGCAGGCGGGTGCCGGGGCGGGGCTGCCAGCTGCACTAGGCCTCTCGCGGGCTCGCACCGGGTGACGGCGGGGACTGGCCTGGACTCTGGGGGACTGGCGGGACTCTGGAGGAGGGCCCGGCGGCCTCGGAGGAGGGACCGAGGTTTCCTGGGCGGGAAACTGGGACCCCGGCGAAGGGAGAGCGCGTCGCAGGCCAGACACGTGTGAGCCCTGTAGCGTGGGAAACTGAGGCCCCCGCCTGTGGCCGGTGACCTCCCTCCTCCGAGGGAGGGGGGTTGTGACCCCAGGTGAGAGGGGCAGGAAGGACCCCTGCGTGTGGAACTGTGACTCCGGCCGAGGGAGGAGGGGACACTCCCCCCAACCCTCGACCAGAGGAAGGGGGCAGTGACCCAGGTGCGGGTGTGACCCCGCCAAAGGGAAGACAAGACAAGGAGAGGCTGTGTGGCGGGGTAGCCCTGAAGAGGACAGTGGAAGGGCTTAGAGCTTTCAAACAGAGGAGCTACCTGGGTGAGGGCCTGATCCCAGGGTGAACAGGGGTCCTGGGTTGAGGTCGCCTTCCTCCTCCCCTCCCCTGTCCTAGGGCAGGGCTCCCTCCTTCATCTGACCAAACAGCAGTGTTTACATAGCAGGAAAAAATAGGAAAATATACATTATATTAATATATCCTTAAGAAAAATATTATGAAGAGCTCAAATATAAAACCTGCAACCTACAAAAAGGTAAGAAGAATGGTTGTAATGCCAGCTATTTACTTTTTGTTTGTTTGTTTTGAGACGGAGTCTCACTCTGTTGCCCAGGCTAGAGGGCAGTCGCAAGATCTCAGCTCACTGCAACCTCCGCCTCCCGGGTTCAAACGATTCTCCTGCCTCAGCCTCCTGAGTAGCTGGGATTACAGGTGCATGCCACCACACCCAGCTAACTTTTGTTTTTAGTAGAGACGAGGTTTCACCTTGTCAGCCAGGCTGGTCTCGAACCTAAGGTGATCCGCCCACCTCAGCCTCCCAAAGTGCTGGCATTACAGGCATGAGCCACTGCACCCGGCCCAAGCATCTGGTGGAGTTTTTGTTTTTTGTTTTTTGTTTTTGAGACAGAGTTTCACTATTGTCACCCAAGCTGCAGTGCAATGGCGTGATCTCAGCACACTGCAACCTCTGCCTCCCAGGTTCAAGCAATTCTCCTGCCTCAGCCTCCCGAGTAGCTGGGATTACAGGTACATGTCACCACGCCCAGCTAAGTTTTGTATTTTTAGTGAGATGGCTTCAACATGTTGACCAGGCTGGTCTCAAACTCCTGACCTCAGGTGATCCATCCCCCTGGCCTCCCAAAGTGCCAGGATTACAGGCATGAGCCACCGCGCCCGGCTTTCTTTTTTTTTTTTTTTTTTTTTTTGTATTTTTAGTAGAGATGGGGTTTCACCATGTTGGCCAGGCTAGTCTTGAACTCCTGACCTATGGTGATCTGCCAGCCTCAGCCTCCCAAAGTGTTGGGATTACAGGCATGAGCCACACGCCCGGCCCAAGCATCTGGTGGAGATTTTGTTTGTTTGTTTGTTTTTAAGATAGAGTTTCACTCTTGTCACCCAAGCTGGAGTGCAATGGCGTGATCTCAGCTCACTGCAACCTCTGCCTCCCAGGTTCAAGCAATTCTCCTGCCTCAGCCTCCCGAGTAGCTGCCACCACGCCCAGCTAAGTTTTGTATTTTTAGTAGAGACAGGGTTTCACCATGTTGGCCAGACTGGTCTCAAAGTCCTGACCTGAGGAGATCCGTCCCCCTCGGCCTTCCAAAGTGCCGGGATTACAGGCATAAGCCACCATGCCCGGCCCATCTGGTGGTTTTAAAAGATTCATTTTCTTTTTTTTATATTTTGTTTTTGAGACGGAGTCTCCTTCTATTGACTAGGCTGAAGTGTAGTGGCGCCATCTCCACTCACTGCAACCTCCACCTCCCGGGTTCAAGCAGTTCTCCTGCCTCATCCTCCCCAGTAGCTAGAACTACAGGTGCCCGCCACCATGCCTGGCTAATTTTGTGTGTGTTTTTAATAGAGATGGGGTTTCACCATGTTGGCCGGGCTGCTCTTGAACTCCTGACCTCAGGTGTTCCACCCGCCTTGGTCTCCCAAAGTGCTGGGATTACAGGCATGAGCCACCGCACCCAGCCTAATTTTAGAATATTTTCATTGCCCTCAAAATAAGCCCCTTATGAATTAGCAGAGACTCACCATTTTCTCCCAATCATCCTCCAGCCTTAGGCAAACACTACTAACCTGCTTTCTGACTGTATAGATTTACATGTTTAGCATGTTGAGGGCATTTCTTCTTTTTACTTTTCTTTTTTTTTTTTCTAGGAAACAGGGTCTCACTGTCACCCAGGCTAGAGTGCAGTGGCAGCGTGATCATGACTCACTGTAGCCCCGACCTTTTGGGTGCAAGCAGTCCTCCTACCTCAGCCTCCCAAGGAGTTGAGACTACAGACGTGTGCCACGATACCTGGCTAATTTTTTATTATTTGTAGCGATGGGGTCTCACTATGTTGCCCAAACTGATCTCGGGACTGGGCACAGTGGCTCACACCTGTAATCCCAGCACTTTGGGAGGCGGAGGCAGAGGCAGGCAGATCACCTGAGGTCAGGAGTTTGAGACCAGCCTGGCCAACATGGTGAAACCCCGTCTCTACTAAAAAAATACAAAAATTAGCCAGGTATAATAGTGGGCGCCTGTAATCCCAGCTACTTGGGAGGCTGAGGCAGGAGAATCACTTGAACCCAGGAGGCGGAGTTTGTGATAAGCCAAGATCGCGCCACTGCACTTCAGCCTGGGTGACAGAGTGAGACTCCATATCAAAAAAAAAACAAAACAAAACAAAAAAAAACTGATCTGGAACTCCTGGGCTCAAACAATCCTCCTGATTTGGCCTCCCAAAGTACTGGGATTACAGGTCTGAACCACTGCATCCAGCCTAGGGTATTTCAAATAAATGGAGTCATACAATATGTGTTCTTTGTATCTGGCTGCTTTTTTTTTTTTTTTTTTTTGAGATAGAGTTTCACTCCTGTTGCCCAGGCTGGAGTGCAATGGTGTGATCTTAGCTCACTGCAACCTCTACCTCCTGGGCTCAAGCAATTCTCCCACCTCAGCCTCCTGAGTAGCTGGGACCACAGGTGCGTACCACCACACCTGGTGGCGAATTTTTGTATTTTTGGTAGAGACAGGCTTTCACCATATTGCCCAGGTTGGTCTCGAACTCCTGGACTCAAGCGATCTGCCTGCCTCAGCCTCTCTAAGTGCTGGCATTACAGGTGTGAGCCACCCCACCCAACTTTTTTTTTTTTTTTTTTGAGATGGAGTTTCGCTCTTGTTACCCAGGCTGGAGTGCAATGGCACAATCTCAGCTCACCACAACCTCCGCCTCTCAGGTTCAAGCAATTCTCCTGCCTCAGCCTCCCTAGTATCTGGGATTACAGGTATGCACCACCACTCCTGGCTAATTTTGTATTTTTAGTAGAGACGGGGTTTCTCCATGTTGGTTAGCCTGGTCTCGAACTCCCGACCTCAGGTGATCAGCCTGCCTCGGCCTCCCAAAGTGCTGGGATTACAGGTGTGAGCCACTGCGCCCAGCTTTTTTTTTTTCTTAATAGATATCACTTGTGTGTTGATACCTGTCTTATGCTTAGAATGTTTTCAAGGTTCGTCCATGTTGTAGCAAGTATCAGGACTGTCCTTCTTTTTATTGCCAAATAATATTTCAATGTATGGACAGACCACATGTTTTTCTCCATTTATCAGTTTATGAACATTTGAGTTGTTTCCACTTTTGGCTATTTTGAACAATGCTGCTGGGAACATTTGCATACAACTTACGGACATAGGTTTTCATTTCTCTTGTATATTTGACTAATCATGGAATTGTTAGGTCATAGGGTAGTACAGTGTTTAACCTTTTGAAGAACTGTCAGTTTTCCAAAGTGGACTGCACCTTTTTGCATCCCCACCAGGAGAGTATGGAGGGTTCCAATGTTGCCACATGGTTGCCAACACTTATTATCTGTCTTTCATTATAGCCATTTTAGTGGGTGTGGTGTCTCTTTGTGGAATAAACTTTTTTTTTTTTTTTTTTTTTTTGAGACGGAGTCTCGTTCTGTCGCCCAGGCTGGAGTGCAGTGGTGCGATCTCGGCTCACTGCAAGCTCCGCCTCCTGGGTTCATGCCATTCTCCTGCCTCAGCCTCCCAAGTAGCTGGGACTACAGGCGCCCGCTACCACACCCGGCTTATTTTTTGTATTTTTAGTAGAGATGGGTTTCTCCGTGTTAGCCAGGATGGTCTCAATCTCCTGACCTCGTGATCCACCTGTCTCGGCCTCCCAAAATGCTGGGATTACAGGCCTGAGCCACCTCACCCAGCGAAATACACTTTTTTTTTTTTTTTTTGAGACAGAGTCTCACTCTGTTGCCCAGGCTAGAGTGCAGTGGCATGATCTCCACTCAATACAAGCTCTGCCTCCCGGGCTCATGCCATTCTCCTGCCTCTGCCTCTCAAGTAGCTGGGACTACAGGCGCCCACCACCACGCCCGGCTAATTTTTTGTATTTTTAGTAGAGACGGGGTTTCACCATATTAGCCAGGATGGTCTCGATCTCCTGACCTCGTGATCTGTCCGCCTCGGACTCCCAAAGTGCTGGGCTTACAGGCGTGAGCCACTGCGCCCAGCCAGAATAAACTTTTAAATGTGGAATAATTTAGATGCACAGAAAGGTTTTAAAAATAGTACTGAGAGTCCATTATGCCCACCCCCCTCCAATGTTAACATTATTTTTGGGAACAGCTTTATTGAGGTATAATGCATATGCCTTGTCACCCTCCTAACTATACAATTCAGTGTTTGTTAATATACTCACAGGGTTGCACAACTATCACCAATATCTAATTTTAGAGCATTTCATCATCCCAAAAAGAAATCCTATACCCATTAGCAATCACTCCCCATTCCCTCATTCCCTGACAACCACGAATCGACTTTCTGTCTCAGTGGATCTGCCTATTCCAAACATTTCATATACATGGATTCATACAACATGTGGTCTTTGTATATTCATGTACACATATTGATAAAGATCATTATAACCATATAGATGAAATGTTTTGTTTTTTGTTTTTGAGACAGTCTCACTCTGTCACCCAGGCTGGAGTGCAGTGGCGCATCCTCCACTCACTAAAACCTCCACCTCCTGGGTTCAGGCGATTCTCATGCCTCTGGCCTTTTCTGTTCTTTTTTTTATTGAGACGGTCTCACTCCCATCACCCAGGCTGAGAGCAGTGGTGTGATCTTGGCTCAGTGCAGCCTTGACCTCCCAGGCTCAAGTGATCCTCCCACCTCAGCCTCCCCAGTAGCTGGGATTACAGGCGTGCACCACCACGCCCAGCTAATGTTTGTACAGATGGGGTTTTGCCATGTTGCCCAGGCTGCTCTTGAACTCCTGAGCTCTAGCAATCTGCCTGACTCAGCCTCCCAAAGTGCTGGGATTACAAGTGTGAGCCACAACGTCTGGCTTTTTTTTTTTTTTTTTGAGATAGAGTCTTGCTCTGTCACCAAGGGTGGAATACAGTGGCATGATCTCTCCTCACTGCAACTTCTGCCTCTTGGGTTCAAGCGATTCTCCTGGCTCAGCCTCCTGAGCAGCTGGGATTATAGGCATGCACCAAAATGCCTGGCTAATTTTTATATTTTTAGTAGAGATGGGGTTTCACCACGTTGGCCAGGCTGGTCTCGAACTCCTGACCTCAGGTGATCTGCCCGCCGCAGCCTCCCAAAGTGCTAGGATTACAGGCATGGGCCACTGCGCCCGGCCTCTGCTTTTTTCACTCAGTGATATCTGTGAATATTATATTGTCGGTGCAATAGAGGTAGATTTACTTTATTCTTTTCAAAAAGTTACATAGGCCGGGTGCCATGGTTCACATCTACCTGAGGTGGGATGATCGCTTGAGCCCAGGAGTTTAAGATCAGCCTGGGCAACAGAGTGAGACCCCAGCTCTATAAAAAATTACCTGGGCATGGTGGCACGTGCCTGTAGTCCCAGCTACTTGGGAGGCTGAGATGGTAGGATCACCTGAGCCTAAGAAATCAAGGCTAAAGTGAGCAAGCTGTGCCACTGCATTCCAGCCTGGCCACAGAGTGAGACCTTGTCTCACAAAAAAAAAAAAGGCCAGGCGAAGTGGCTCATGCCTATAATCCCAGCACTTTGGAAGCCTGAGGCGGGCAGATCACAAGATCTGGAGATGGAAACCATCCTGGCCAACATGGTGAAACCCCATCTGTAGTCTGCGTGCCTGTAGTCCCAGCTACTCAGGAGGCTGAGGTAGGAGAATTGCTTGAATCCGGGAGACGGAGGTTGTGGTGAGCTGAGATTGCGCCACTGCACTCCAGCCTGGGAGACAGAGCAAGACTCCGTCTCAAAAAATACATATATAATATATATTATATTATTATATATTATATTATTATATATAACATATTATATTATTATATGTAACATATTATATATTATATATAACATATATTATGTATAACATATATTACTATATATAACATATATAATATATTACATATTATATGTAATATATTACATACCGCATTATATACAATATATTATGTGTTATATATTGTAGCTGGGACTACAATTATATATTATATATACATTATATTATATTGTATATATATATTATTGGCTGCAATATATATTGGCTGCAATATATATATTATTGGCTGCAATATATATTATATATATATTATATATACAATTATATATATTATATATATTATATATACAATTATATATAATATATGTCATAATATTATATATTATGACATATATTATATATAATATATTACATATTATATTATGTAATATATTATATCTAATATATTACACATTATATTATATATTATATTGCACATATTTTATACATATATAATATAAATATATATATATATTTATATATTATATATAAATATATATAATATAAATATATAAATATATACATATACATATATTATTTATATAATATAATATATTAAATATATAATATATATATGAGGGTTTCATCTAATATATTATATATATATATAATATATATATGAGGGTTTCATCTAATGCTTTTATCCATTGATGGCTATTGACTAGATCCATTATTTTACCAAAATGCAGATTTTCTGATTATATATATAAAACACTCATAGGAAATTTGACCATAGAGGGATCAGGCTCGGGCCACCTCAACCACTGATGAGTCTGTGTCAGTAAAAGCAGGACAGACAACTTGACATCATAGGCTATAGGCCTCCAGATGTGATGCAGTGTGACGCTCGCAGCACCGCCTGAATGTAACCAGGCCTTAAGAGTTTTCTTTCCGGCCATGCGCGGTGGCTCACGCCTATAATCCCAACACTTTCGGAGGCTGAGGCGGGCAGATCACCTGAGGTTAGGAGTTCAAGACCAGTCTGGCCAACATGGTGAAACCCTGTCTCTACTAAAAATACAAAAAATTAGTTGGGCATGCTGGCAGGTACAGGTAATTCCAGTTACTCGGGAGGATGAGGCAGGAGAATCTCTTGAACCCAGGAGGCGGAGGTTGTAGTGAGCCGATATTGCATCATTGCACTCCAGCCTGGGCAACAAGAGCAAAACTCCATCTCAAAAAAAAAGAGTTTTCTTTTTTTCTTTTAGAGACAAGGGCAGGGCGAGGTGGCATGTGCCTGTAAGTCCCAACTACTCTGGAGGCTGAGGCAGGGGGATCACTTGAGTCCAGAAGTTCTGGGCTATAGTGCAGTATGTCAATCAGGTGTCTGCACTAAGTTCTGCATCAACATCGTGACCTCCAGAGAGTGGGGGACCACCAGGTTGCCTAAGGAGTGGTGAACCGGCTCAGGCTGGAAAAGAAACAGGTCAAAACTCCCATGCTGATCTGTAGTGGAATCATGCCTGTGAAAAGTCACTGCACTCCAGCCTGGGCAACGGAGCGAGACTCCGTCTCAAAAAAAAAAGAAAAATAGGCCGGGCGTGATGGCTCACCCCTGTAATTGAAGCACTTTGGGAGGCCAAGGCGGGTGGATCATGAGGTCAGGAGATCGAGAGTACCCTGGCTAACACGGTGAAACCCGTCTCTACTAAAAATACAAAAAATTAGCCGGATGTGGTGGCATGTGCCTGTAGTCCCAGCTACCCGGGAGGCTGAGGCAGGAGAATCGCTTGAACCCGGGAGGGGGAGGTTGCAGTGAGCTGAGATTGTGCCACTGGACTCCAGCCTGGGCCACAGAGCCAGACTCTGCCTCAAAAAAAAAACAAAACAAAACAAACAAAACCAAGAAAGAAAAGTAAATAGGCCGGGCGTGGTGGCTCCCGGCACTTTGCGAGGCTGAGGCGGGCGGATCACTTGAGGTAAGGAGTTCAAGGCCAACCTGACCAACATGGGGAAACCCCGACTCTACTAAAAATACAAAAATTAGCTGGGCGTGGTGGTGTGCACCTGTAATCCCAGCTACTCAGGAGGCTGAGGCAGCAGAATCGCTTGAATCTGAGAGGCAGACATTGCAGTGAGCCAAGATGGTGCCACTGTACTCCAGCATGGGCAACAGAGCAAGACTCCGTCTCAAAATAAATAATAAATAAATAAATAAATAACCAAATAGAGACAGGGTCTTACTCTGATGCCTAGGCTGGAGTGCAGTGTCGTGATCATAGCTCACTGCAACCTGGAACTCCTGGGCTGAAGGGATCCTCCTACCTCAGCTTCTTAAGTAGTTGGAACTGCAGATGTACATGCCACCATGCCAGGCTAACATTTTTAAATTTTTTATTTATATGGAGATGGTGTCTTGTTATGTTGCCTGGGCTGGTTTTGAATTCCTGGCCTCAAACAGTCCTCCTGCCTTGGCCTCCAGGGTAGCTGGGATTATGGGAGTATGCCATCATGCCTGGCTATCATCATTTCCTCTATATTTATCTATTATTATATGGCTATGAATGAACCATAATTTATCAATCTCATTTTGTATCAAATTTTATGCTGTTTAAACAATGTTATGGTCAGGTGTCATGGCTCGCACCTGTAATCCCAAAACTTCGGAAGGCCGAGTGGGGAGGGTTGCTTGAGCTCAGGAGTTTGAGATCAGCCTGGGCAACATAGTGAGACCCCTGTCTCTACAAAAGAAAAAAAATTAGTTGGACATGGTGGCACACACCTGTGATCTCAGCTACTCACAAGGTTCTGGTGGAAGGATCTCATGAACCCAGGAGTTCAAGGTTGCTGTGAACTATGATAGCACTACTACACTCCAGGCTGGGTGACAGAGCAAGACCCTGTGTCTAGAAAAGTAAAATTAAAAAAATAAAAAATGTTACAATCTCTGCCATTATCCATGAATATTCCCTTAGGATAAATTCCTAGAAAGGTATGTAAAAGTTTAGATTCCTCTAGGCAGATTATCTGAACTTTACTCCCATCACCACTTGGAGAAGGCTATTTCTCTGCACTCTTACTAACACTGGCTTTTTTTTTTTTTTTTTTTTGAGACAGAGTCTTGCTGTGTCGCCCAGGCTGGAGTGCAGTGGTTCGATCTCGACTCACTGCAACCACCGTCTCCCAAGTTCAAGCTATTCTGCCATCTCAGCCTCCCGAGTAGCTGGGATTACAGGCACCCGCCATCATGCCTGGCTAACGTTTGTATTTTTTAGTAGAAACAGGGTTTCACCAGGTTGGTCTTGAACTCCTGACCTCAGGTGATCCATCTGCCTCGGCCTCCCAAAGTGCTAGGATTACAGGCATGAGCTACCGCGCCTGGCCGACATTGGCTATTTTTTAAAAAAAATAAATCTTAATCTATTTGTAAGGCAAAACATGAAACAGGAAGCTTTACATACTCTTAAATCTCACACTAGGCTTTTTTTGTATTTGGACTGTTTAGCATTTTGTCTATGTTGCTGAAACCCTTTGAAGTTACAAGATCTATTTGTGTTCTTCATGTAATTGTTCTTCCCCCCAACCTTGGGCTAACAGTCTGTGGCCTTCCTTGGTAACTAAATGCAAGAGTGATATTAATACCTTACAAGTTCCTCCCTTGCAAATGGGAGCCCTAAGTCAAGGCACAGATAGAATAGGAAAAAGCTTCTGGTTGCTCTTCAAGAAGTTTATCGAGTTAGATACAGTGAAAAGCAATGGAGATATTAGGAGAATAACAAGATGGGCATGGAAGAGTTTCTGTTTGCTCTTCAAGAAATATCTATTGAGTCAGATATTGTGAAAAGCACTGGAGATATAATAAGACGGGCATGGTGCCTTTCCTTATTTAGCTCATGGGCAGGTTCCAAGAAGCTTCTAAAGGCGCAACATTTTGTTTTCCATATCTGGCACCTAGATATACCTATTCAGTAAGTCAACAATATTTATTGAGCATGTACTATGGATTAGGCATTATCAAGGCCCTGAGGATAGAGCAGTGAAATAAAACAGACAAAACCTCTATCCTCATGAAGTTTACCTTTGGTTTACCTTCTGGGCTACTGTCAATAAAACAAGTAAAATATATAAATACAAAATATACTGTGAGGCCGGGTGCAGTGGCTCACGCCTGTAATCCCAGCACTTTGAGAGGCAGAGGCGGGCAGAACACTTGCAGTCAGGAGTTTGAGACCAGCCTGACCAACAGGGGTTGAAACCCCGTCTCCACTAAAAATACAAAAATTAGTCAGGCATCGTGGCACGCGCCTGTAATCCCAGCTACTCGGGAGGCTGAGGCAGGAGAATTGCTTGAACCTGGGAGGTGGAGGTTGCAGTGAGCCGAGATCGCGCCACTGCACTCCAGCCTGGGTGACAAGAGCTAGACTCCGTCTCAAAAAAAAAAAAAAACTGTGTTAGATAATGATAAATGTTTTGGATAAAAATGAAAGTGGGATTGAAAGCATGGGTGTGTGTGTGTGTGCACATGCCATGCATGCAAGCAGTGTAAAATAGAGTGCTTAGGGAAGACTGGACTGAGAAGGTGACACTTAAGTCAAAGTCTGAAGGAGGTGAGGAAGTGAGCCATGTGGATATCCACATGATTCTATGGAGCACAAAAGGAGACAGACTCTCTGCTTGAAACATTTCTACAACCTATAGCAGCAAATATATGGTAATATTTGTGACAACATTCTGTAAGCTATAATGGTCTATAAATATAGGATGTTTTCAGTCAACTACACATAAAACTATTAACAAGAACAAGATCATATATCAGCATTATGAATGTATATAAAACTACCCAGTACAATTAGGGAATATGATCATGTACAATTTAAGGACTATATGGTACCAGAAAAACTCTGGTTAGTTTTTTTCCCCCCCAAAGGCGAAAGAGGAAAACCCTTGAGGCTTCTGCTTGGAAGCCCACTTGTTGTTTGTGGTAAGGTAGGATATAATCAGTATTTGTGGGTATAAAAATTATATTCTCTGGGAAGCCAGATGATGTTAGAGAGAAACCATCCCATGAGTTATTTGCATGTTGATGGGGCCAAAAGCTTCCAGAACAAAGTTTTCTTTCTTAATCTGCATTTAACTGCCTCACAAGGTCTGGAACCTAGGAATAAATGTTGGCTTAAACAACAACAACAACAACAACAAATTGTACTGCTTGCGTTCCATCTAGACCCAGGGATTCCAGAGTAACTCAGGAGGAAGTCTTTAGAGACCTAACCTGAGTTAAGAAAAAAAAATATATATATATATTTTTTTTTCGGTAAAAGCAGGTTATGGCTGGGCAATCGGTCTCTTAATAGAATCTTTGTGAACTTCCTTATGTCGCAGCGATCGTTGCCAGGTTGTGCGTTCACACTGATTATCTTGCTAAAAAGCACTCCCTGCACTTGGAACACACATATTCACATCCCAGCAAAGAAGGAAGGCCTGGATGCTGTTGCTTGTCTGCTGGGGCAAAAAGGGGCGTGCCATGTGCCCAACGCTGGCCAAGCACCAGTCACTCACTCATCCATTTATTCAACAAATATCTTATTATGCTCCTATTCAGTGCCCAGTAGGGGTGCCTCCTTGCCCACCAGGGTCATCTAGAGCTCCTGTGGGTGCGATGGGCGGAGTCGAGAACTTCAGATTCCCAGGCCTGGCTCTTCCCTCCAGTAGGGATCGGAGACAAAGAGATGCGCCCCTGCAGCTCCCTAGGTTGAGGGCTCCGCCCGCGGCCCCAGGGGCTTAGGTGCGGCTGCTCCTCCACTTCCCAGCCCGAGGGGGCGCTGCAGCGCCCGGCGCTCGGCCCGCCCCTACGCCGCGCTCCGCTCGCATCGGCGCTGCGGGCGGCGCCGCGGTGATACGTTCCCCCTCGCCGCGCTCCCCCTCCTCCTCTGCCCTCCCCGCCGGTGGTAGGTGCCGGAAGTGCCGCCATTTTGGGGTGTTCTGCTCTGGCGGCAGCGGCAGCGGCGGCGGGACGCGGAGGCTCCCCCGGGATTCGGCCTCAGCAGCGAGGCGGCGGCGGCGGCTGCGGAGGCGCAGGCAGCAACTGAGGCAGCGGCAGGCTCAGGTGCAGCCGCTGGTGAGTGCTGCGGCCGCAGGATAACGGGCCGCGGGAGGGAGGGAGGGGAAAAAAGGCAAGAGGGAGGCGCCGCGGGGCGGGTCCGGTTAGGGAGGCCGCGGGTCACAGGGCCCTCCGGGCGCGGCCTTTTCTCGTTCCCTGCGTCCTGGGGTAGGGCTGCGATCTCCTCCTGCATGTCGGGGTCCCCGGCTCCCCGGGTCCTGTCGCGTTTGCCCAGCGCGTGCCCCCGCGCCCAGGGAGACCCGCCCTCCTCGTGGCTTTGCTTCCTCTCCCCGCGCCCTTTACCTTCACTCTCTAGGCTCAGAGGCCTCGTGCCCTGCCCAGGGCCAGCTCCGTTTTCCTCGTCTTTCTGGCTGCCGTGCTGGACCCAGGCTACCTGCCCGGGACACCCCATCTCTGCCCCTGTCGTCTCACGTGTTCTTAGTGTCCACTCCTGTGGGTGCCGAAGGGTCCGCGCCCCTAGAAGGCAGCGCTTTTCCCGAGCCTCGAGAGCCCCTCGTTCCTCGCCCCAGATCCGCTACGGCCTTGGCTCGCCCTCCCCCCACATCAGGTGCTCACCCAGTCGTGGCCTAGTAGCTGGGCAGGAATCTCGCACCCGGGAGCGGGAGGAGCACATTAAAGCGCTTTCTTCGCTAGGGACCAGGCTTTGATTTTAAAGCCAGTGGTGTCGTGGTTGTGGTCCTCCGGGTAGGATGTTGTTGTAATTCTTGGAGACCATTACACATGCACCAAGGAGCTTCTCATTGGTTTAGGCTCATACCCATAGTTGAGGGGAATGTGGTAAGATTTTGACTGGAATCTGTTTCCGCAAAATGGAATCTCTTTCTCGCCAGGAGAGAGCTGTAGGTTTATTACCTTCGAGTAAAAAGGCTGTATAACAGTTTTAAAGAGCATGAAATGCTTTATAATGTGTGCAGTGTAAGAGGTTACAAATAATGAATCTTTTACAAGAACTTCATCTTTTTTTTTTTTTTTTTTAAGACGGAGTTTCGCTCTTGTTGCTTAGGCTGGAGTGCAGTGGCGCTATCTCGGCTCACTGCAACCTCCCCAGGTTCAAGCAATTCTCCTGCCTCAGCCTCCCAAGTAGCTGGGATTACAGGCATGTGCCACCAGGCCTGGCTAATTTTCGTATTTTTAGTATAGACGGGGTTTCACCATGTTGATCAGGCTGGATGGTCTCGAACTCCTGACCTCGGGTGATCCACCCGCCTCGACCTCCCAGAGTGCTGGGGATTACAGGCGTGAGCCACCGCCCCCGCCCGGAACTTCACCTTTTAAAGTTCTTTTCACTGTCTTTGATTACCCATGAATTGGGAAGGCTTTAATTGGATGCTTTCCCCTTGCCCACAAGTGTAGCTTCTCTCCAAGCGCTTTGGAAGTTTCAGCCTCTCTATTAATCCTTGGTGAGAATGAAGGCGTCTCAATATAGAATCACCCTTTCTGTTTTAGCATTAAAGAGTCCACTTAGAAAATCATGGAATTACAATAGCATGCACAAACTGTTGCTACAGTGATTTTCTTCTCATGTTAATTTTTATATTCTTCAGGCTTTACTTACCTAGTATGTGGTTTCTGATCATGAGTTAGCCAAGATTGAAGCAGCACTGTTGGTAAAGCAAAGCTGGAGCTTTCAGTTGTTGCTTTAACCAGGAAGGTTATGGTTCCCCTAGTGGTTCTTTCCTCATGACAGTCCACCACCTGTTTCCATTAAGAATGGCCTTTGGCCCAGATCACAGGCCTCAACTTCTATTCAACCATTCATTCTGACCCCTTTAAAGAAAACCCAGGGTTTTCTTTAGAGATTGTGCTATCTAGACTTAAGATCTGGTAGCAAGAGGGGCTGTTAGAGATGGAATATCTTTTCTAGAACCCCTTCACTTTTTGGATGAGGAAACTGAGGGCCCTAGAAATTAAGTGACTTACTTGCCCAAGGTTATGTTTTTTTTTTTTTTAAACAATATCACGAGTAATAATGCAATCTTCCCTTTGAGGTGTAATGAAATGGGAAAGGACCCTGAATTGAAGTTAGAACTAGGCCTGGATTGTAATGCTTGCTCTGTCATTTACTGGTTACACAACCTTGGCAAGTCACTCAACTGTTCTGCTCCTCAGTTTATTCGCACCTGCAAAATGAAAGAAACAGCATCTGTCTCACATGGTATTAGTTCAGCTTCAGTAACATGGTGAAATACCCATGATGTAATAGGCAGACAGTGAAGTTTTTAGCCAAAATGATTTTTTTCTAAAGACTTCCGTGTATTTTTCTTAATACAGAAGTTACAGATTCACTATAAAAAAAAAACAGGTAAGTCAAAAAATGAAGAAACTCACCCATAGTGCCACCACTCAGAGATGATTGTTAAATATTGGGTCTTTATCTTGCCCATCCTTTTCATATGCTATAGAAATGCCTATCTTCCCAAAATAGGCTTATCTTAGTCACAGTTTTGTGATGTGGGTCCGGTCCCCCCCAACCCCGCCATGGAGTCTTGCTCTGTCAACCATACTGGAGTGCTCACTGCACACCCTGTCCCCCGGGCTCAAGCAGTTCTCCTGCCTCAGCCTCCCGAGTAGCTGTGATTACAGGCGCCCACCACTGCGCCCAGAGGGTTTTTGTATTTTTAGTAGAGATGGGGTTTCACCATGTTGGCCAGGCCGATCTAGAACTCCTGACCTCAGGTGATCTGCCCACCTCAGCCTCCCAAAGTACTAGGATTATAGGTGTAAGCCACCGTACCCGGTGTTTTTTTTTGTTTGTTTGTTTTTGTAGAGACAGGGTGTCACTGTTTTGCCCAGGCTGGTTTTGAACTTCGGATTACAGATGTGAGCCACTGAGCCTGGCCTACATTTTAAAATTGTGGTTAAAAACACAAAATTGGCTGGGCGCAGTGGCTCACACCTGTAATCCCAGCACTTTGGGAGGCTGAGGTGGGCGGATCACGAGGTCAGGAGTTCGAGACCAGCCTGGCCAATATGGTCAAACCCCATCTCCACTAAAAATACAGAAATTAACCAGGTGTGGTGGCATGTGCCTGTAGTCCCAGCTACTTGGGAGGCTGAGGCAGGAGAATCCCTTGAGCCCAGGAGGTGGAGGTTGCAGTGAGCTGAGATTGCACCACTGCACTCCAGCCTGGGCAACAAGGCAAGACTCTGTCTCAGAAAAAAAAAAAACAAAAAAAACCCACAACATTTACTAACTTAGCCATTTTTAAGTGTTCTGTGACATTAAGTACATTCGCACTGTTGGAAAACAGATCTGTGAGTTTTTCATCTTGCGTATCTGAAACTCTATGCCTGTTGGACAACAGCTCCCCTTTTCCCCCTCCTACTAGCCCCTGGTAACCACCATTATTTCTGTTTCTACCAATTTGACTACTTTAGATAACATCATGTAAGTGGAATCATACCATGTCTGTTTTTTGTGACAGACTTATTTCACTTAGTGTAATGTCCTCAAGACTCATCCATGTTGTACTGTGTGACCGGATTTATTTCCTTTTTAAGGCTAATACTCCATTGTGTATATATATATATCATATTGTTTATGGACTGCATCCACTAATGGACTTTTGGGTTGCAGCTACCTCTTGGCTATTGTGAATAGTGCTAATGTGACTAGGTGTGCAAATAGGTATTCCAGCCTCTGGAACAATATCAGTTGTTTTGGATATATACCCCAAAGTGGGATTGCTGGATCAAGTGATAATTCTGTTTTTAATTTTTATTATTTTGAAAGAATCTAGGCCACTGGAATAGTGTTTTTTTATTTGTTTGTTTGTTTTTTGAAGAACCCCTATACTTTTTTCTATAGCAGTTGCACCATTTTACAGTCTTGCCAGTAGTACACAAGGGTTCCAGTTTCTCTACATCCTTGACAATACTTTTTATTTTTTCATGGCCATCTTAATGGGTGTGAGATACCTCACTGTGGTAGTTTTGATTTGTATTTCTCTGCTGACTAGTGATGTTGAGCATCTTTTCATATGCTTGTTGGCCATTTATATATTATCTTTGGAGAAATGTCTGTTCAAGGCCATTTCCCAGTTTTTAATCAAGTTTTTTGATTTTGTATTGTTGAATTATAGAAGTTCTTTATATTTTCTGGATTTTTTTTTTTTTTTTTTTTGAGATGGAGTCTTGCTCTGTTGCCCAGGCTGGAGTGCAGTGGTGTGATCTCTGCTCACTGCAACTTCCGCCCACTGGGTTCAAGCCATTCTCCTGCCTTGGCCTCCTGAGTAGCTGGGACTACAGTCATGCGCTACCACGCCCGGCTAATTTTTGTATTTTTAGTAGAGAGGGAGTTTCACCATGTTGGCCAGGCTGGTCTCGAACTCCCAACCTCAGGTGATCCGCCCGCCTCGACCTCCCAAAGTACTGGGATTACAGATGTGAGCCACCGCACCCAGCCTCTATTTTCTGGATATTAACCCCTTATTAGATAGATGATTTGCAGATATTTTCTCCCATTCTGTAATTTGTCTTTCACTTTGTCGATTGTATGCTTTGATACACAAAATATTTCATGTTCGATATAGTCCCATTTGTTTATTTCTGGTTTTGTTGCCTGCGCACTTGGTGTCATATCCATGAAATCATTGTCAAATCCAATATCATGAAGTTTTTCCTCTATATTTTCTTCTAGGAGTTTTATAGTTTTAGGTCTTACATTTAGGTTGTTTTAACCTTTTTTTTTGAGACGGAGTCTCACTCTGTCACCCAGCCTAGAGTGCAGTGACTCGATCTTGGCTCACTGCAATCTCTGTCGCCCTGGTTCAAGCGATTCTCCTACCTCAGCCTCCCGAGTAGCTGGGATTACAGGTTCCTGCCACTGTGCCTGGCTAATTTTTGTATTTTTAGTAGAGACGGGGTTTCACCATCTTGGCCAGGCTGGTCTTGAACTCCAGACCTCGTGATCCACCTGCCTCAGCCTCCCAAAGTGTTGGGATTACAGGCTTGAGCCACCGTGCCCGGCCCGTTTTAACCATTTTTAAGTGTATAATTCAGTGACATTAGTTACATTGAGGTGTTGTGCAATCATCACTGTGATCTTTCCAAAATGTTTTCATCACCGCATACAGAACCTCTGTAACCATTAAGCAATAACTCTCAATTTTCCCCTCCCCCCAGCCTCTGGTAGCCTCTAATCTATCTTTGTTTCTGTGAATTTTCTTATTCTAGATATTTCATGTAACTGGAATCATGTAATACTTGGCTTTTTGTGTCTGGCTTATTTCACTTAGCGTGTTGTTTTCAGGGTCCCTGCATCATTTTGTAGCATGTATCAGGACCTAATTTCCTTTTTTTTTTCTTTTTTTTTTTTTTGAGATGGAGTTTCGCTCTTGTCGCCTAGACTGGAGTGCAGTGGCGCGATCTCGGCTCACTGTAACCTCCGCCTCCCGGGTTCAAGCTGCCTCAGCCTCCTGAGTAGCTGGGACTACAGGCATGAGCCACCTAGCCTGGCTAATTTTGTATTTTTAGTAGAGATGGGGTTTCACCATTTTGGCCAGGCTGGTCTCAAACTCCTGACCTCAGGTGATCTGCCCGCCTCGGCCTCCCAAAGTGCTGGGATTACGGGCATGAACCACCGTGCCCAGCCCTAATTTCCTTTTATGGCTGTGTTCCTTTACTTCTTGAGGTCAGGAATGTCTCCTTTATTTTGCTATCTTCTCCTCTCTTGGAGTTCTATAAAGGTTCAATTGATTACAATTCATGCTCTTCATATGGATTGCCAATCACAGAGAGACGTCCACTGACATATTCAAACTTCTTGAAAATACAAATATGTCAGCATGTATAAAGTGGTCTATAACGATAATCCAAATCACTGTTTATAGCATTTTAAATTTCTAATCTAGTCAGATTTTCCTATCTTTGAATATACAGCATTTTCTTTCTTTCTTTTTTTTTTTTTTTTTTTTTTTTTTTTGAGGTGGAGTTTCGCTTTTGTTGCCCAGACTAAAGTAATGGCATGATCTTGGCTCACCACAACCTCTGCCTCCCGGGTTCAAGTGATTCTCCTGCCTCAGCCTCCCAAATAGCTGGGATTACAGGCATATGCCATGACCCCCAGCTAATTTTTTGTATTTTTAGTAGAGACGGAGGTTTCTCCAGGTTGGTCAAGCTGGTCTTGAACTCCTGACCTCAGGTGATTCACCCACCTCAGCCTCCCAAAGTTCTGCAATTACAGGTGTGAGCCACTGTGCCTGGCACAGCGTTTTCAAAAAATGTGTGCTGAAAAAGTATCACATGAAGAGGATAAGAATTGACAAGTTCCTGCCTTTGCTTTATACCTATAATATATGAATGGCTTTCTTAGGTGGACCAATTTCTAGGTATCTTATGTTGTGCACAGATAAATTTGTAAATCTGTCATTAATGGCCTAGTTAGAATAATACTTTCAGGTATGAACATTTCAAAGATACTCATAGGTCTCTCAGTTTGTTCTAGTGTGAAGAAAGTTGGCCCGGCGTGGTGGCTCATACCTGTAATCCCAGCACTTTGGGAGGCCAGGGTGGGCGGATCATCTGAGAAACCCCGTCTCTGCCAAAAATACACAATTAGCCAGGTGTGGTGGCGCATGCCTGTAATCCCAGCTACTTAGGAGGCTGAGGCAGGAGAATCGCTTGAACTAGGGAGACAGAGGTTGCAGTGAGCCAAGATCAAGCCACTGCACTCCAGCCTGGGCTACAAGAGCAAAACTCCATTCCCTCCCCCGCCCCCGCCCCCGGCCCCCGCCCAAAAAAAAAAAAAAAAAGATACTGAGAGTATCTGTCAATTGCATGAAAGGCCTTTCTCCTATTTTTCTCCCTTAAAAAGATGTAGGGAGGCCGAGGCAGGCAGATCACAAGGTCAGGAGATCGAGACCATCCTGGCTAACACGGTGAAACCCCGTCTCTACTAAAAATACAAAAAATTAGCTGGGCATGGTGGCAGGCACCTGTAGTCGCAGCTACTTGGGAGGCTGAGGCAGGAGAATGGCGTGAACCCGGGAGGCGGAGCTTGCAGTGAGCTGAGATGGCACCACTGCACTCCAGCCTGGGTGAGAGTGGGAGACTCCATCTCAAAAAAAAAAAAATATATATATACACACACACACACACACACACACACACACACACACGCAGACACACACACACACACGTATACATATGAGAGAGAGGGGCTGGGCATGGTGGTGCATGCCTGTAATCCCAGCACTTTGGAAGACTGAGGCGGGCAGATTGCTTGAGCTCAGGAGCTTGAGACCAGCCTGGGCAACATAGCTAGACCTCATCTCTACAAAAAATACAAAAATTATTGTATTTTCCTACAAATTTTGTAAAACTTTTCTACTAAAAAAAGAAGAAATAGAAATAAGGTCTCTGGCAGCTAGGCAAACTTTATGCTGTAAGACTTCAGATTCACTCCTTGTTATTAACCTCTTAATGCTCCTTGTTATTAACAATATGTTCCTTATTAACCTCTTAATAACCTCTTAATAACTCTTGTTATTAACCTCTTAATAATGAGTATTGGAGACTTTATGGTTCTGAATGAAGGTCAGTATTTATTTGTTCTTTTGAGACAGAGTCCCGCTCTGTCGCCCAGGCTAGCGTACAGTGGTTCAATCTCGGCTCACTGCAACCTCTGCTGGGAGGGGTTCAAGCAATTCTCGTGCCTCAGCCTCTCAAGCAGCTGGGATTATAGGTGCCCGCCACCATGCCCGGCTAATTTTTGTATTTTTAGTAGAGATGGGGTTTCTTCATGTTGGTCAGGCTGGTCTCGAATTCCCGACCTCAGGTGATCCGCCCACCTCGGCTTCCCAAAGTGCTGGGATTACAGGCATGAACCACTCCACCCGGTCTTAATTTTTGTATTTTTATTAGAGATGGGGTTTCGCCATGTTGGCCAGGCTTGGCCAGGCTGATCTTGAACTCCTGATCTCAAGTTATCCGCCTGTCTGGGCCTCCCAAAGTGTTGTGATTACAGGCATGAGCCACCATGTCTGGCCTATTCTTTGATTCTTGATTTTTTTATTTTTATTTTTTTGAGAGTGAGTGTCACTGTTGTTACCCAGGCTGGAGTGCAGTGGCACCATCTCAGCTCACTGCAACCTCCACCTCCTGGGCTCAAGTGATTTTCCTTCCTCAGCCTTCCGAGTAGCTGGGATTATAGGCATGTGCCACCATACCTGGCTAATTTTGTATTTTTAGTAGAGATGGGGTTTCTCCATGTTGGTCAGGCTGGTCTCAAACTCCTGACCTCAGGTGAACTGCCCGCCTCAGCCTCCCAAAGTTGATTGCTATTAATATAATCCTATAGTTACCAGAACACGTATACTAGAATTACAGTACACTGAAATGGTCAAAAGGCAAATAAAATAGAAATAAGAAAATTTTGATGAAAATCTGGAGAATTAAGTCTTTCTGTAATTGAGAGTTGATTTTTTGATTGTGGAATCCTTGAAATGGTTTGAAAGAATGATGTGACTTGAATGGGCTTTATAAACACAGCCTGGTAAGGATAGCTGTGACAGCTTGGGACAGTGGATTTGGGGTACCACCAGTTAACATTTCTGGCCCTGTTTTCCTGTCTTTAAAGTGGAGATACCAACTCAGAATAGTAATGTGAGGATTAATTGAGGTAACTTATGCTAGGCACTGAACAGTGCCTGATACAGTATTGATAATGCTGTTTCTTTTTCCATGTGTAAAATGGGCATACCACTAGTCTCTTGGGTCAGTAATGCATTTCAGCCAAATGAAATAAATAACACAGGTGAACTGCCTAGGAGTGCCATACATAGATGAGCAGTAGCTACTATGTCAGTGTTCCTTTTGTTCCCTTTTATGAGTGCATTTTGTTTTGCATTTTCTTGTGTCTGTTGTGGCTTAAGGGATAAGATTTGTGTGTCTGAAATGCTGTGCTAAACAGGACGTTGTTCCTTGTGGAATACTTGGGTAATATGGTTTCCTAGATTTCATATTCACTATTTCTACTTTGAGAGTCTACTGTTAGGAGGCTTCTGTGTTCAAAGAAAACTGAAAATTATAAATGAATATTTTGGATTTGTAATAGGGGACACTTGGGTCTCTTCGTAGTTTCAAGTGACAAGTTGAGGCGGGGAGGAGGGCTCTAATATTTAGAGTTGTAATGCAGATTTAAGACTTAATCAGTTTTAGCTATTTGCTTTGTAAACTATATTGTATCAAGAGTCCTTATTTGCCGAAAACAGCTTTCTTTTTTTTTTAGAGACGGGGTGGGGACAGGGGTCCACGGGTCCGCTATGTAGCCCAAACTGGTGCAAACTCTTGAGCTCAAGCAGTCCTCCTGTCTCAGCCTCCTGAGTAGTTGGGATTGATTACAGGAGGGCAACATCATGACTGCCTTGAAGACAGTTTCCTTGATGAGACCTTTGTAAAATAACTTTGGTCTTGTCATAGAATTGGCTTAGAATCTTCTTAAAGTAGAGGTTTCTTTATAGAATTCTATAGTTATTTTTTAACCTCTGCTGTGCTGTGGAGGCCATGAGTACATATTTGTTTATTTTACACTTCATTAAGTTCCAGATTTGTAAAGTTTGGGGCTTTTTTGGGCTGTTGTTTTCCGAGACAAGGTCTCATTGTGTCACTCAGGCTGGAGTGCAGTGGCGTTATCGTGGCTCACTGTAGCCTCAACCTCCCAGGCCTCAAGTGATTCTTCCCCACCTCAGCCTCCCAAGTAGCCGGGACTATAGGTGCGCAACACCACGCTTGGCTAATTTTATTTTTTGTAGAGATGGGGTCCCACTATGTTTCCCAGGCTGGTCTTGACCCCCTGGTCTCTAGCAATCCTCCTGCCTCGGCCTCCCAAAGTGCTGGGATTACAGGCATGAGCTACCATGCTGGCCTTCTTTTCCATTAGAGACAGGATCTCTCTTTGTTGCCCAGACTTGAGTGCAGTGGTGCAATTATAGCCTGGAACTCTTGGGCTCAAGCGATCCTCCAGCCTCAGCTTTCCGAGTAGCTGGGACTACAGGTGCACACTGCTACACCTGGCTAATTTTTGTAGTATTTGTAGAGACGGGATCTCTCCTAGTCTTGAACACCTGTCCTCAAGTGATCCTCCTGCCTTGGCCTCCCAAAGTGTTGGGATTACAGGTGTGAGCTGCCGCACCCAGCCCTGTTGATATTTTCTAAAGATGAGCACAGTCCAGCCCTGTTGATATGTTGTAAAGCTGAGCACGGTGGCTCACGCCTTTAATCCCAGCACTTTGGGAGGCCAAGACACGCGGATCACGTGAGGCCAGAAGTTTGAGACCAGCCTGGCCAACATGGTGAAACACTGTCTCTACTGAAAATACAAGACTTAGCCAGATGTGGTGGTGCGTGTCTGTAATCCCAGCTCCTCAAGTGGCTGAGGCACAAGAATGGCTTGAACCCAGGAGGTGAAGGTTGCAGTGAACTGAGATCACGCCACTACACTCCAGCCTGGGCAACAGGGAGACCCTGTCTCAAAAAAAAAAAAAAAAAAAAATGGAGAAAGTATCAAGAATGATGAGGTTTTTTTAGTGATTGCATTGATACCTAATGGATCTCACTTAATCAAATTTGATGTGCCACTTTTAGATATGTTCATGGGTGCAGATACGGCTTTATTTATTTGAGACAGAGTTTCACTCTTGTTGCCCAGGGTGGAGTGCAGTGGTGCGATCTCAGCTCACTGCAGCCTTCGCCTCCCGGGTTGAAGCGATTCTTCTGCCTCAACCTCGAGTAGCTGGGATTATAGGCACCTGCCAGCATGCCTGGCTAATTTTTGTATTTTTAGTAGAGATGGGGTTTCACCATGTTGGCTAGGCTGGTCTCGAACTCCTGACCTCAGGTGATCCACCTGCCTCGGCCTCCCGAAGTGCTGAAATTACAGACGCACGCCACCGCGCCCAGCCCAGTACGGCTTTAGAAAGAACTCTCCACTAACTTTATGACCTCCAGGTCTTCTTTTTATAGCTACATTCAGCTTTGACAAAATGGAGTTGAATAATTTTACTTTCTTTCTAAGTTATAACTCCATTAAAACTGTGTTTTGGGGGGGAATGTCTTTAGTTTGGGGATTATGCAAAATGAAGTTTTTTGATTCCTGGGCTGTGTAATTTTGTACTGTTATACTTTTAATTTCGAAGGGTCAGTAGTTTCCATTTTCTTTCTTTCTTTCTTTCTTTCTTTCTTTCTTTCTTTCTTTCGTTCTTTCTTTCGTTCTTTCTTTCGTTCTTTCTTTCGTTCTTTCTTTCTTTCGTTCTTTCTTTCGTTCTTTCTTTCTTTCTTTCTTTCTTTCTTTCTTTCTTTCTTTGACAGTCTCGCCCTGTCACCAGGCTCTGGAGTACAGTGGTGAGATCTTGGCTCGCTGCAACCTCTGCCTCCTGGGTTCAAGCGATTCTCCTGCCTCAGCCTCCCAAGTTGCTGGGATTATAGGCATGCGCCACCACACCCAGCTAATTTTGTGTTTTAAGTAGAGACGGGGTTTCACCATGTTGGCCAGGCTGGTCTCAAACTCCTGACCTCAGGAGATCCACCCGCCTTGGCCTCCCAAAGTGCTGGGATTACAAGTGTGAGCCTCCACACCTGGCCAAGTAGTTTCCATTTTCATAGTAACATTGCTACTCTTTAGCAAAATAATCATTAAGTTAGAAACTGTCACCACTTTCTCCTTGTTCTTTTACCTTTTTGTTTCCTGTGAGATTGAGTAAGCTCTTGCAGACTGTGTGAATATGTATGATATTGGTGATAATGTGAGGTGACTAATAGTCTACTGTGAGTAGATTGTCTTTTTTAACCCAGTATTATTTGGACATCTGTTAAGTTTTTGTTAATTTCTGTTTTGTACAGATAATTTGCTGTACGCTTTTTCCAGTTGCTTTGTACTTCTAGCTTTTGTGTATGGGAAACATTCTACTTTTCAGCTCCAGCCGCTTTCCCTCACACTGCAGTCACATAGCTCAGCTAGTGTTTCTTTCCTGGATGAATTCTGTCTGGGTGTTGCTGCTGCTAACTTACCATGCTAGATCGGGTGGGATATTCTCAGTGAGAAACACCTGTGCCATTTACTGGCTGCTTGCCTGTTTTTTGTTTTGTTGTTGTTGTTGTTGTTGTTTGAGATGGAGTCTCTCTCTGTCGCCCAGGCTGGAGTCCAGTGGCGCGATCTCGGCTCACTGCAGCCTCCACCTCCTGGTTTCAAGCCATTCTCCCTGCCTCAGCCTCCCAAGTAGCTGTGATTACAGGTGCCCACCACCATGCCCGGGTAATTTTTGTATTTTTAGTAGAGACGGGGTTTCACCATCTTGGCCAGGGTGGTCTTGAACTCCTGACCTCGTGATCCACCCACCTCGGCCTCCCCAAAGTGCTGGGATTACAGGCGTGAGCCACCGCGCCCAGCCTGCTTGCCTGATTTTGAGTGCTCTCTGAGCAAGAGTCTCGTGGGGGCCGAGGAGTGAAAGGAAGTCAGGGTGGTGATGACAGCTTGAAAATGCATAACTGTTTGACATTTGTCAGCTAGTGGGTGATTACTGCATGATGAAGCAGCACTGCTTTGTGTTCAAAGTCATTTTATAGCAGGCTTTCAACAAGGATATTTTACTGGAAGCTGTTTATGTGGTAAAAGATTATTTATCCCTTAGGTCTGTATTTCCTAGATGGCTAGAGCAAGAGGAGCAGACATCACATTTCGTGTTTAGGAATGCTCTTCAGCCCCTCCATGCTCATGATTCAGTATTTGTCATTTAGTGCACAGCTAATCTTTTTCATGAGGCTTTTCCTGTCCATTCATTCCTGTACCTGATTTAGTATTTTATTATTTCAGCAAGATTTTAAGCTTTTTGAGGATGGAAACTGCCTTACTGCTTAGTGTATTGCATATACTTTAGGGGAGTGGTTCAGGCATATAGTCCCTACTCTAATTATACCTTGTGATTTAGCCCCTCTTGTAATATCTTATTGCACCAGAGGTGGACACCTGGCCCAAGCTGGGCAAATCACTTTGTCCTAGGAATTTGAGATTAGAACTGAGATTCAAGTCTTTAAGATACAAATAGTCACCTACATTCAGAGAACTCAGGACATAAAATCAGATGCTGGTATGCAGCCAAGTTCAGGCTCGTACAGGTGGAAGCAGTGAAGGTCATTCCGTAGGGAGGGAGAAGTAAGTAGATTTCATCTGGAAAGAAGCATAGATGAGAAATGCAGCTCTGGAGAGAGGGCAGCCATCCACATGCAGAGCAAAAATCTGGATGCCTAAAGACTTTCCAGGTGTGGGCCTGTTTGGAGTTCTTGGAGTGGTCTAGTACCCTTTCAGTTAACTCTAGTTTTTATGTAAGCTTTCTGTTATTTTCAGCCGAAATAACTTTGAGTTAGACTTAGTACAGAGCTCTGCACAGCACTTGTAAAATTTGAAATTTAGAATCATCTTGTCAGGGATCATGGCTCTTTGGAAGAGTAGCTGGGATTACAGGTGTGTGCCACCATTCATGCCTGGCTGATTTTTTGTATTTTTAGTAGAAACAGGGTTTCACCATGTTAGCCGTGACTGGTCTCGAACTCCCGACCTCAGGTGTTCTGTCCGCATCGGCCTCCCAAAGTGCCGGGATTACAGGCTTGAGCCACCACACCCAGCTGTTGGGAAGAGTGCTTTTTCCCCCATACCCTCCTTAGCCCCAGGCAAAAGGCCGCTGGAGGTCTTGACTCCTTCAGTATATATATTTGCATTTGGTGTTTAGAATGCTTTGCCAGATCAAGATTATGAGTTTATTTTTTTAACAAGTTTTTTATAATTATTTGTTTTTAATTTTTTTAGGAATATGAGCCTGTTAAAAATAATACTGCTATTTCAGATAGGAAACTTAAAGTGAGCCATCAGTTTTAGAGAATTTTTGTTTGTGAGGCATATGGATTCAGTCTTTTCTTCATTTCTAGTTAAGTGGCGTTTGTTTTAGTTTCCTGATTGTTTCCTCTTAAAAAAATGTTGATGGGCTTGAGTGGAACACAATAATGTGGGTTGAATGGCTGTTGAGACTTTAAACAAAGGGTAATGGTGAATGGCTGTGTGCCCAGTTGATGGAGTCTCTCTGGTCCCAGCTCAGTAACTTCATGAATGATCTGTGAGAGGAGCATCACAGTGGTGTTTTTCTCTTTGAGAAATGTTAATAAGGGAGAGGGGGAAGCTCTGAGAAAGACAGTTTAGCGCTTCTAACGTGATTTTGTTTTTTTCCTGTGATATTTTGGTTTGTTAGGTTGAAAGACTTTATTCCAGAGAAATGTAAACATTCCCTGTAATACTAATGAGCAGGAATTAAAAAGAGACAAGCTAGTTTTGAAATGGAGATTTTTTTTTTTTTTTTTTTTGAGACGGAGTCTTGCTCTTTTGCCCAGGCTGGAGTGCAGTGGCGCGATCTCGGCTCACTGCAAGCTCTGTCTCCCGGGTTCACGCCATTCTCCTGCCTCAGCCTCCCGAGTAGCTGGGAGTACAGGTGCCCACCACCATGCCTGGCTAATTTTTTGTATTTTTAGTAGAGACGGGGTTTCACCGTGTTGGCCAGGATGGTCTTGATCTACTGACCTCGTGATCTGCCCGCCTGGGCCTCCCAAAGTGCTGGGATTAGAGGCGTGAGCCACCACGCCCAGCCAAAATGGAGATTTATATACAACCTGGTACACAGCCAACATCAAGATTCTGTCTTCCATATATAGATAATGTAGGATAGAAAAAGCTAGAAGATATTATTTGATATCAGAGATCAAATGATGATTGCAAATATATCTAAACAATATTATGGGCCAGGCATGGTAGCTCATGCCTGCATTACCAGCACTTTAGGAGGCTGAGGCAAGAGGATTGCTTGAGGCCAGGAGTTTGAGACCAGCTTGGGCAAATACAGGGACTCTGTCTCTACAAATAAAATTATTTAGCCAGGCATGGTGGTGCACACCTGTAGTCCTAGCTATTTGGGAGGCTGAGGCAGGACTCAACTCCTTGAGCCCAGGAGGTTACAGAAAGCTATCATTGTGCCAATGTACTCCAGCCAGCCTGGGTGAAAAAGTGAAACACCTTTCTTTAAAAAAAAAAAAAGAAAAGAAAAAAAAGAAAACAAAATGATTATGCCTTTATGTGTTGTGTGTATCGTACTAAACCCAGTGCTGTGCATAGAGGAAATTTTACAGTCTATAGTGTTACATAAGTACTGGGGCCTTGCATAAAGTAGATATCTGGTAATTATTTGTTGACTACTCCATGTCTAGTCAAATGGCACTTTAATTTTATGTTTTGGAACAGTTCAGTATTAAGGATTAGTAATAGGAAAAAGACTTAACATTTTAATTCTGTGAATTTAAGTCATTGTCTTCTGAAGATGGAGTACTTTAAAAGCTCCAAGGAGTTATCTGGAAAAAAAATGTAAGCAGCTTTCCATCAAAAGACATTATGGTTAAGGTTTGTACTGTAGGCCTGGTGTGGTGGCTCACGCCTGTAATCCCAGCACATTGGGAGACTGAGTCGGGTGGATCACGAGGTCAGGAGATCGAGACCATCCTGGACAACATGGTGAAACCCCGTCTCTACTAAAAATAACAGAAATTTGTTGAATGTGGTGGTGTGTGCCTATAGTCTCAGCTACTCAGGAGGCTGAGGCAGGAGAATTGCTTGAATCCAGGAGGTGGAGGCTGCAGTGAGCCAAGATGGCGCCACTGCACTCTAGCCTGGGCGACAGAGTGAGACTCTGTCCCAAAAAAAAAAAAAAAAAAAATTTGTATGGTAAAAACCTTGTGGAGCTCTGATCTTGAAACTTCGTAATTTTTATTGCCTGAACAGTCAGAAGGCTCCTAGACAACTCTGATTTTGGCTCAGTTTTCAGTAGCTCCAAAGAATAAGAAAAGGATAATCTGATATTGCTGGCAGTCTGCACTCTTGCCTTTCTGGGCCAAGACATGCTTTTCCAAATAAAATCAAGGAAATAGTAAACCACTAGTAAAAATGAATAAAGCATCCAAGAGTTTGCCTCCTGTCATGTCCTGTTTTCTCCTTTTTGTTTCTAGGCTGTTTGATATTAAACTCATGTGCCAAAACTATACTGTGGACTTGTCCTTCCTACTTCCCCTTTCAAGCTGATGGGAAATAATTATGGAAAGACATTATGTTTATTATATATTCATTGTTTTTATTGCGTGCTATTTCTGTTTAATAGTCTCTGCATACATTTACAAGTGCAATTTTTATTTTTTATTATTATTTTTTGAAATGGAGTCTCACTCTGTCACGCAGGCTGGAGTGCAGTGGTGTGTTCTCAGCTCTGCAGCCCCCGCTTCCCAGGTTCAAGTAACTGCCTCAGCCTTCTGAGTAGCTGGGATTACAGGTGTGCACCACCACGCCCAGGTAATTTTTGTATTTTTTTTAGTAGTGACGGGTTTTCGCCATGTTGGCTAGGCTGACCTCCAACTCCACCTGACCTCAGGTAATCTGCTCACCTTGGCCTCCCAAAGTGCTGAGATTACAGGCATGAGCCACCACACCCGGCCTACAAATGCAGTTTTTTAAAAAGCTTTGCAAACCTCTTTACTGAGCTAATTTGGGTTATAGATAGCATTGGGAAACTATCTATCAGTCTGTCTATCTATCTATCTATTTATTTATGACAATCTCGCCTTGTCGCCCACGATGGAGTACAGTGGTGCAATGTTGGCTCACTGCAACCTCCGCCTCCCGGGTTCAAGTAATTCTCGTGCCTCAGTCTCCAGAAGAGCTACTACAGGCCGTTGGCACCATGCCCAGCTAATTTTTCTATTTTTAGTAGAGATGAGATTTTGCCATGTTGGCTAGGCTGGTCTCAAACTCTTGGCCTCAAGTGATTCACCTGCCTCAGCCTCCCAAAGTGCTGGGATTGCAGGCTTGAGCCACCATGCTGGCCAGAAACTATTTAAAAACAAACTCTTGGGCTGGGTGCAGTGGCTCATGCCTATAATCCCAGCACCTTGGGAGGCTGAGGCGGGCGGATCACAAGGTCAGGAGATCAAGACCATCCTGGCTAACACAGTGAAACCCTGTCTGTACTAAAAACAGAAAAAATTAGCTGGGCACGGTGGCACACGCCTGTAATCCCAGCTACTTGGGAGGCTGAGGCAGGAGGCTCGCTTGAACCCAGGAGGTGGAGATTGCAGTGAGCCGAGATTGCACCACTGCACTTCAGCCTGGGCGACAGAGCAAGACCCTATCTCAAGAAAAAAACAAAAACAAAAAAACTTGTGGGCATGCTACAGGAAAGCTTAGGTGAGTAAATATAGCAAAACAAGACATGATTTATTTTTTTTTTTTTTTTGAGATGGGGTTTCGCTCTTGTTGCCCAGGCTGGAGTGCAGTGGTGCAACCTTGGCTCACTGCAACCTCCACCTCCCCGGGTTCAAGCGATTCTCCTGCCTCAGCCTCCTGAGTAGCTGGGATTACAGGCATGCCCCACCATGCCCGGCTAATTTTCTATTTTTAGTAGAGACGGAGTTTCTCCATGTTGGTCAGGCTGGTCTCGAACTCCTGAACTCAACTGATCCGCCTGCCTCGGCCTCCCAAAGTGCTGGGATTACAGGTGTGAGCCATCTCGCCCAGCCCAAGACATAATATGTTTGTGGAGTATCTTAATAACTATTGCCTACGGTAGTTAATGGTATATCTTATCTCCATAGAACCATTTTTTTTTTCTTTTGGTTTGTGAATTTGTTGTATGAATTGGTTCTGAGTTTGGTTTTCAACACATTTAAATGGAATTTATATTTAGGTTTCAGTAGTTATTAGTGTGAGGGATACTCTTGAAATTTGTGCCAGGTACTTTTCTGGCTCAAACTATTATGGATCAGGCGTAGGGTAGCTGAAGTTCTAGATTATTACTGTGAAATCAAGTGCTGTTTTTGTTAATGTTCATTTGTCTGGTATAAGTTTGCTCTGGGGCTAAGCTAGATCTATGGAAAGACTTAACCCTTTTCCAGAAAGCTTCCAACTTAGGGAAAAAAATTTTTTTTTTTCTAATTCTGACTGTTCCACTTCTGAAAAAAACAGATCCACAGATCAGACTTGTAAATGATCTGTTTTCTTAAGATATCTTCTAACAGAATGGGTCTCCAGGGAACTGAGTGACAACACACATTTAGCTGGGAGTGGCAGTTCATCTCCCTAAACGTAATTTAACATCACATTTATCTACACACTACAGTTTTGGAGGCATACTTGGAGATTGAACTTATACTTCTCTTGGCTTATTTTATTTTATTTTATTTATTTTTGAGATGGAGTCTCGCTCTGTCGCCTAGGCTGGAGTGCAGTGGTGCGATCTCTGCATACTGCAAGCTCCACCTCCTGGGTTCACACCATTCTCCTGCCTCAGCCTCCCGAGTAGCTGGGACTACAGTTGCCCACCACCACGCCCGGCTAATTTTTTGTATGTTTTTAGTAGAGACAGGGTTTCACCATGTTAGCCAGGATGGTCTCGGTCTCCTTACCTTGTGATCTGTCTGCCTTGGCCTCCCAGAGTGCTGGGATTACAGGCATGAGCCATGGCGCCCGGCCAGCTTTATTTTTATAATTTTGTGTCTGATATATTTCTAACATAATTGTGTAGAGAAGCTGAGATTTCTTGAACTTTGGAAAACATTGAAATCTTGATAGAAAAAATACTAAATATGGCCAGGCGCCGTGGCTCATGCCTGTAATCCCAGCACTTTGGGAGGCCAAGGCGGGTGGATCACCTGAGGTCAGGAGTTCGAGACCAGCCTGGCCAATGTGGTGAAACCCCATCTCTACTAGAAATACAAAATATTAGCCGGGCATGGTGGCAGGCGCCTGTAATCTCAGCTACTTCGGAGGCTGAGGCAGGAGAGTAGTTTGAACTAAGGAGGCGGAGGTTGCAGTGAGCAGAGATTGTGTCACTGTACTTCAGCCTGGGCAACAAGAGTGAAACTCTATGTCCAAAAAAAAAAAAAAAAAAAAAAGGAAAGAAAAAATGCTAAATATAACTTATGTTGTGGTCTGGAAAGAAATAGCAGCATACATAGGTCATAGAAACTTCAGTTGAGTTTATATTGATGTAGCTGCTTTTATGAAGAGGGAGGGGAAAAACTAAGAGTTGAATATATTTAACTATTGTGCAACAGAGTGTCACTAAAATAGTTATAAATATTCCTTTTTTTTTTTTTTTTTTTTTTGGGGGAGAGTCTCGCTCTATTGCCCAGGCTGGAGTGCACTTGAGCAATCTCAGCTCACTGTAACCCCTGCCTCTTAGGTTCAAGTGATGCTTCTGCCTTAGCCTCCCAAGTAGCTGGGATTGCAAGTGCCCGCCACCATGCTCAGCTAATTTATGTATGTATGTATGTATGTATTTATTTATTTTTTGAAATGGAGTCTCGCTCTGTAGCCCAGGCTGGAGTGCGGTGGTGCGATCTCAGCTCACTGCCACTTCCGCCTTCCGGAGTTTAAGCAGTTCTCCTGCCTCAGCCTCCTGAGTAGCTGGGACTACAGGCATACACTGCCATGCCTGGCTAATTTTTTGTATTTTAGTAGAGAGGGGGTTTCACCATGTTGCCCAGGCTGGTCGTGAACTCCTGAGCTCAGGCAATCTGCCTGCCTTGGCCTCCCAAAGTGCTGGGATTATAGGCATGAGCCACTATACCCGGCCAATTTTTGTATTTTTAGTAGAAATGGGGTTTCACCATGTTGGCCAGGCTAGTCTTGAATTCCTGACCTCAAGTGATCCCCCCGCCTCAGCTTCCCAAATTGCTGGTATTACAGGCGTGAGTCACTGCGCTTGGTCTAATATTTCTTCAGAAATGTATACTGTATGGTACTATTTCTTGAAGGTAGCTTGCTGAAATAATAAGATCAGCTTTCTGAATTGCCAGATCCAGAACATCAAAAAAAAAAAATACTGTGATAGAAAAAAAAAAGCCTTCTGGATCCACCCCCAGGAATCCTAGTGGGTTCCCATGGTAACAACCTCTTTGCTTACAACTTGTCACTGTGTAACTGTCACTGGGGTTCAGAGAAAAGCCAGTATAGCAAGAACTGTGTGGCATTAACAACTCCTTAATAAAATGCTGTTGCACATTTGCAGTGAGCCAGAAATAGAAAAGAAAGTTTAAAGGTTTTAATTTCTGTGTTCCGTTAATTAGAAGCTTTAAAAAGCTGCCTAATTATGGTAAGGTGCTGCAGCAGTGGGAAGGTGGTGGGTGGCCCAGGCTGGCATAGGAGGGAGAAAAAGTAAGCTATAGGCTGAAAATGCTAGAAACTTCAGAGATTTTTTTCTTCTTTAATCCTATCATTTTGAAAATGAGGGACATGGAATGCCTTACTTAAATTCACATAGAGATAGAAGCAGGAATTTTCCCAGCACTGTTCTGTTGTTTCTACCCACACATTGGATTCACCTTTCCTCTACTTTTCATAGTGAAATCAGTTTCTGAGGTTAGCAAAGGACCTTTACAAAAGTTATGCAGAGAAACTTTCTATCCATGGAAGGAATCCCTTCTACAGCATCCTGGGCAGGCAGCGTCTGCCTCTTTCCTCAGGTGGAGGTGACTTGTTTAATTGGCAAAAGCCCCTGTACTGGAGTTCAAAGGGAAGATAGTTTTATGTGGATTCCCCATTTTAAAGCTATACATTGTTTTTCTCTCATCATAAAAGAGCAATTGTACACTGGGCATGGTGGCTCACGCCTGTAATCCCAGCACTTTGGGAGGCCGAGGTGGATCACCTGAGGTCAGGAGTTTGACACCAGCCTGGCCAACATGGTGAAACCCGTCTCTACTAACAATACAAAAATTATTTAGGCCTGGTGGTGGGTACCTGTAGTCCCAGCTACTCAGGCAGCTGAGGCAGGAGAATCGCTTGAACCTGGGAGGCGAAGGTTGCAGTGAGTTGAGATTGCGCCACTGCACTCCAGCCTGGGCGACAGAGCGAGACTCTGTCTCAAAAAAAAAAAAATAAAAATAAGAGCAGTTGTAATCAGAAAAATTCCCAAATGTTTTTCAGTAGCCTGTTTATCTCCATTTAAGTCATGCTTGTCAGTCATGACAAGAAAAATAATTCTTTAAAGGAATTATGTCATGCCTAAACCCTAGAACTTGGAAAAGATAATGCCATATTTGGAACAAGCTAGTTCTTTAACAAGTGGGAGGGAAGAGATGATGATAAATGCTATATTGAGTTTAAAGTACTTTACAATGTGCTTAACGAGAGGAGATGATTTTGAGCTAAAGAATATCAAAACAGGCCTCAAAAATACTTCTAAGGCAAAATCAGAAGCCAAGTAGGCAAATTGTTTTGTGTTTTTGTGGTGCATTTTGCGAATGCTTTTGTCATTGTTTCTAGAGTAGGTATATCTATACAAAAGTGAGCTTGGGGTTCAAAAATAATATTTCGGGTCTTACTGTTTGTTTGTTTGTTTGTTTGAGATGGAGTCTCGCTCTGTTGCCCAGGCTGGAGTGTAGTGGTGTGATCTTGGCTCACTGCAACCTCTGCCTCCCAGATTCAAGCAATTCTCCTACCTCAGCCCCCAGAGTAGCTGAGACTATAGGCGAGTGCCACCACGCCCGGCTAATGCTTTGTATTTTTAGTAGAGATGGGGTTTCACCATGTTAGCCAGGATGGTCTCTATCTTGTAACCGTGTGATCTGCCCACCTTGGCCTCCCAAAGCGCTGGGTTGACAGGCGTGAGCCACCGCGCCTGGCCTGTTTGTTTTTTTTTGTTTTTTGTTGTTGTTGTTGTTGTTGTTTTGATTCGGAGTCTTGCTGTGACAAGCTGGAGTGCAGTGGTGCGATCTCAGCTCACTGTAACATCGACCTCCCGGGTTCAAGTGATTCTTGTGCCTCAGCTTCCCGAGTAGCTGGGATTACAGGCATCTACCACCATGCCTGGGTAATTTTTGTATTTTTAGTAGAGACGGGGTTTCGCCAAATTGGCCAGGCTGGTCTCAAACTCCTGACCTCAGGGAATCCATCCGCCTCGGCCTCCCAAAGTGTTGGGATTACAGGCATGAGCTACCACGCCGGGCTTTTTGTTTTAAGACAGGGTGTTCCTTTGTCGCCCAGGCTTGGAGTGCAATGGCATGATTGTGGCTCACTGTAGCCTTGACCTCGTGGGCTCAAGCAATCCTCCCGCCTCAACCTCTCAAGTAGCTGGCACTACAGGCACATGCCACCATGCCTGGCTAATTTTTTCCATTTTTGTAGAGACAGGGTCCCCCTGTGTTGCCCAGGCTGGTCTTAAACTCCTGGTCTCAAGCAATCTTCCTGCCTCGGCCTCCGAAAGTACTGGGATTACAGGTATGAGCCACTGTACCCAGCCTTTTTCCTCTTCTTAAAGTCTGGTCCTCTCTCCCAGTTTTCATGTCTCACAGCCATCCTTTTGTCTCTGATACCGCTTCTTAATTCTAAACAGCTATATTCTATAAGCTGCTACCAAAGAGAGAAACATCATCCTCTCTAGACTGCCGTGGAGTCAGTGCCACATATACCAAACTGTCTGATCTGTGACTATGTCCTCTTTTGACTGGGCCCACATTAAAGCATGTCCCAAACGCTATCTTGATATATGTCCTCAGTAGCAATCTTGTTTTTTAAGCCTTCCTTTACAGGTTGATTCACAGTGGGAGAGAGCCATGTTCAGAATTTTTTTCTGATAGCCTGAATTTTCTTCTTGTCTTTCATGTCTTTGCTTCTATTTATGTTCTTTGTACCTCTTCTTCCTTGAACTTGGATCTTCTGCATAGTTGACTCTATTATATCATCTTTGGGGCTGCAGAATAAAATGTGGAAGATTTTAAAGTTAAGGTTCCCAGAATAATGTTGTCGCCCACATTGCACATATGTCACATTTTGAGTTTACTAGTTAAGCCTCTAAATATGCACTTTATATACAATATGCGCAGTGCGATGATTTAGGTTGCCATGAGAACCTAAAAATTTTAGGCTTAAATGGTTCGGTAACAGACACTTTAAAATTATCTTAGATGAAGGCTAATTTTTTCTTTTATATACTCTTTACAAACTGAGGCATAAGGCAATAGCTGTTCTCATATAGTACTTCTGCTGACAGGTTGGGTGGCTTCTTTGTTTGCCTACCTGTTATCAGTCCCCTTCATTCCAGTCTTTCATACTCTGGTGTCCTGTCCCCTGCCCAAGTATTTGTCTCTCTTTTTTTTTTAAGTCTTACCCTGTTGCTCAGGCTGGAGAGCAGTGGCGTGATCTTGGATCACTGCAACCTCCACCTCCCAGGTTTAAGCAGTTCTCCTGCCTCAGCCTCCCCAGTAGCTGAGATTACAGGTGCCTGCCACCACACCCAGCTAATTTTTTTTTTCCCGAGTCGGAGTCTCGCTGTGTTGCCTAGGCTGGAGTGCAGTGACAGGATCTCGGCTCACTACAACCTCCACTTCCTGGGTTCAAATGATTCTCCTGCCTCAGCCTCCCAAGTGGCTGGGACTATTTTTGTATTTTTAGTAGAGACAGGGTTTGCCATGTTGGCCAGGCTGCTCTCGAACTCCTGGCCTCATGTGATCTTCTCGCCTCGGCCTCGCAACGTGCTGGGATTACAGGCGTGAGCCAGCATGCCTGGCCACTAATTTTTATATTTTTAGTAGAGATTGGGTTTCGCCACGTTACCCGGGCTGGTCTCGAACTTCTGACCTCCAGTGATCCACCTGCCTCAGCCTCCCAAAGTGCTGGGAGCCACTGTCCCCGGCCTCGTCTCCTACTTTCTTTGCTCCAAGGTAGGATTAGAAGTAGAAACTGGAGCCAGGAGCTATAGTGCCAGCTACCCGGGAGGCTGAGGTGGGATAATTACTTGAACCTGAGAGGCAGAGGTTGCAGTGAGCTGAGATTGCGCCACTGTGCTCCAGCCTGAGCTACAGAGCAAGACTCTGTCTCAAAAAAAAAAAAAAAAAAGTAAAATAAACTGGGTGAGGTGGCACACATCTGTACTCAGTTCCAGATACTTGGGAGGCTGAAGTGAGAGGATCACTCCAGCCCAGGAGGTTGAGGCTGCAGTGAGCTGTGATCCTGCCACTGGACTCTAGCCTGGGAGACAGATATAAAAGTAAAAGCTGGAAGCTTTACCTTTCTTTTTTTTTTTGAGGCAGGGTCTCACTGTGTTGGCCTGGCTGGAGTGCAGTGGCGTGATCATAGCTCACTGCAGCCTTGAACTCCTGGAATCAAAATGATCCTCCTGCCTCAGCCTCCTGAGTAGCTGGGACCACAGGCAGGTGCCATCATGCCTGGCTAATTTTTGTGGCTTTTGTTTTTTTGTGGAGATGGGGTCTCACTGTATTGCTCAGGCAGGTCTCAAACTCTTGGCCTCAAGTGATACCTCTGCCTCGACCTCCCAATTTTTATTTTTATTTTTTTAAGAGACAGGATCTTGCTTTTTTCCATGCTGGAGTGCAGTGGCACAATCATAGCTCACTGCAGCCTCAAACTCCTGGCCTCAATGAACAGTCCTCCCACCTCGGCCTCCCAAAGTGCTTGTATTACAGATGTGAGCCACTGTGCCTGGCCAAACTTTAACTTTTTAAAAAAATGTGAGATGGAATAACTGTATATTGTTGTCTTGAGTCCTTAAACTGAAAATCTGGTAAAAGTTGTGAATCCATTTCCTTATAAATGCATACAGAGGTAGAGTTTTACACATAGTATAAGGAAGTTTTTTGAATTTATGAAATGTCAATGGGCCATACATATGGACCCCGATCTAGTCCAATCCCGTATTTCTCTTGAGGAAATAAGGGAGGAGAACTGACATATCAAAGGCCATACTTTACGTGTTTATAGTCATTTTGATTTTGAGGTTATACTTGGAGCAATTCCTTTTCATGTACACAACTGTGGTGTATTGCTGTGTGTTTGTTTTTGGGAGGGGTGGGGGGATGGGGGACAGATTTTCACTCTTGTCACCCAGGCCAGAGTGCAATGGTGTGATCCTGGCTCACTGCAACCTCCGCCTCTCGGGTTCAACCCATTCTCCTGTCTCAGCCTCCGGAGTAGCTGGGATTACAGGCATGCACCACCACGCCCAGCTAATTTTTGTATTTTTAGTAGAGACGGGGTTTCACCATGTTGGCCAGGCTGGTCTTGAACTCCTCACCTCAGGTGATCCACCTGCCTCGGCCTCCCAAAGTGCTGAGGTTACAGGCGTGAGCCACCACACCTGGCCTGCTTTGTGTTATTTTTACTTAGTTGCCTTCACACAAGTATTTTTAGTAGAGAACATACAGGTAATTAAAGCTGTGATCTTAAACACGAAAAAAGCATATTAATTCACAGTAAACTGCTCTTTGGGAAGTCAAAGTTGCTGTAATAGGACTGCTCAGATTCTTAAAAAATTAAATACAGTGTATACAATGAAGTCAGTATATACAATGAATAAGCCAGTATATACAATGAAGAGGCTTAATTTTTTTTTTAAGTTTTGTAGAGACAGGGTCTGTGTTGCCCAGGGTGTACTTGAACTCCTGATCTCAAGTGATCCTCTCCCTTGACCTCTCAAAGTGCTGGGATTACAGGGGTGAAACACTGCATGTGGCCCAGTTAAGAGGCTTTTACTTAAGAGGCTTTTACTTAATTTTTTTTGTTTTTTGAGGCAGTGTCTCACTTTGTCACCCAGGCCGGAGTGCGGTGGCACGATCACGGCTAACTGCAGTCTTGACCTCCTGGGCTCAAGGAATCTTCCCACCTCAGCCCCCTGAGTAGTTGGGACTACAGGCACGTGCCACCATGTCCGGCTAATTTTTTACTTCTTTCTGTAGAGATGAGGTCTCCTTATGTTTAGTGTTAAGAGGCTTTTAATAACATGTTGAATACTTGCATGTCTGTTTTATGGGACATGAATGTGCCTCTACTGCTGGAATCCTGCTGTGTACTCAGTAATGGATAGGAGCTAGGCAGTGCTTTTTTCTTTGAAGCTTTTTTTTTTTTTTAGACGGAGTTTTGCTCTTGTCGCCCAGGCTGGAGTGCAGTGGCACAATCTCGGCTGACTGCAACCTCTGCCTCCTGGGTTCAAGTGATTCTCCTGCCTCAGCCTCCTGAGTAGCTGGGATTACAGGCACGCGCCCCCACGCCCAGCTAATTTTTGTATTTTTAATAGAGACAGGGTTTCACCTTGTTGGCCAGGCTGGTCTTGAACTCCTGACCTCAGGTGATCCATCGTGGGATTGCAGGCACGAGCCACCACTGCCCGGCCTGGAACTCCTTTTGATGACTGGTTAACTTAGCAGTGTTTTATAATCAAGGATCTCATAGTTATATCAGCATAAACATTTCTAGTTCCACCATTCTATTTCCCTGTGACAGGGTTTTTGTTTTTGTTTTTTCTTAATAGTGGTTTAAAATTTATTCAACAGGCTAGGCAGAAATGTCTCAGATGGAAGAACATTTTCCTGAAAGTGTTACATGAGAAATGTTACAGTGGATGCTGAGTTATGGTCTGAATTTATTTTTATCTTAGTTTAGAATATGTTTTCTCTAAAGTAGGCAAAAACTATAATTTTGCTTCCATAAGCAGTGTGGTATTAATCTCATACTATGAAACATTTCAGGTTGAAACCACACTCAGAGTTTCAGAAATGGAGGGATCTTAGAAATCATCTTGTTCAAATTCTGTATTCTTCACATTTAAGATATCGCAGGTGCCTTCTTTTTTTCTTCCTTGAGACAGAGTTTTGCTCTTGTTACCTAAGCTGGAGTGCAATGGCACAATCTTGGCTCACGGCAACCTCCGCTTCCCAGGTTCAAGCGATTCTCCTGCCTCAGCCACCCCCACACCTGGCATGCACCACCACACCTGGCTAATTTTGTATTTTTAGTAAAGACGGGGTTTCTCCCTGTTGGTCAGGCTGGTCTCGAACTCCGGACCTGAGGTGATCTGCCCACCTTGGCCTCCCAAAGTGCTGGGATTACAGACGTGAGCTACCACTCCTGGTGCGCAGGTGCCCTTAATGAGAGTTCTGGTAGGTGGGATAAGCAAGAAAGTCTAGGTCTGTCTGTTCTCAGTCTCTCTTCTCTCTTTTCTTTCTTCCTTTTTTTTTTTTGTTTGTTTTTTTGTTTGTTTGTGGATAGAGACGGGTTCTCGCCACATTGCCCAGGCTGGTCTCAAACTCCTGGGCTCAAGTGGTCCACCCACCTTGGCCTACCAAAGTGCTGAGATTATACATGTGAGCTATCAAGGCCAGCCTCTCTTCTCTTAATGTGTATAGCATTTATAGTTTGTACCCCACGCTTTAGTGCAGTAGTCATGTACTGTCTGCCTTTATTATTAATATCTCATGTTAATCTCATCTAGGAATTAGATTGGAGGTCACTGATACTATGGTTTTGATTTGTGCTGTAGCCCCTATGATACCGAATAAATACATAACCAGGCTGGGCTTGGTGGCTCATGCCAGTAATCCCAGCCCTTTGGCAAGCCGAAGTGAGTGGATCACTTGTACCTAGGAGTTTGAGACCCGCCTGGGCAGCATGGTGAAACCCCATCTCTATAAGGGGGGAATAAAATTACATAGGTGGTATGCACTAAGTACTTCAGTAAGGGCTGAAGAATAGAATCATTTGAGCCAATCAGCCATGCATTTCTTATTGTTGGAAAATTCACTCTGGTCAGCAATTAAGCTTTTCACATACTTCACATTGAAGTGAATCTAAATGAATTGTTCTAAGTAAAATAATTTTTGGAACACAAATATTTGGCTTCTGGTTATATAAGCCATCATCCTCAGACATAGATTTTAAAAATTATATTAGAGTTTATTTTAACTTGTATCAACCATAAAATAAAAAAGAGCTCAAAACATACACAGTTGGAATGAGACCTTCATTCTGAAAGCAGCAAGGAACTAGTGAAAGTTAACATTGTTCACTCGAATGGAGAATAACCTTTTTTTGCATGTTAAATTTTAGGATTTAAATGATAAATTGAGCCTCACCACTACTGCTGATCTGGGAAGAATCTGACCTAGTAAAGGTTTTCAAATGTCTTTTCCATTTCCCGTGGCTGAGGGATTCTTGGTGTCAGTGACTGAAATTATTTGGAAGTTCCTTGACTGAAATAGAATATCTCAAACCTTATTTCAAGTACCAGCCTGTGTGTTTCTGTTTTTTGTCTGGAGCATGTGAACAGAATGCATGTGTGTGAGATAATTGGGCTTTCACTAATGGCCCCCTTTCAGCAACCATGTATGGGTAAAGCTGTTCAGTTCCCTGCTCCTCCCTCTCTGAGCACGGAGCAGAATCTGTTCTGCTGAAGCTGCTGTTCCACTTTTTAGCTTGCTATATTTGTACAGCAACAGCAGGAGCAGCCCACTAGCTAGGCCGTGTGGCCACCCTTTGGCACCCGCACCGGCTCAGACCTGCTCAGGACTCAGCCAGGGCACACAGTTTGTGTTCTTACGTGCATCCATCTGTCTGTCTGTGTGCGTCTCTGTGGAGGACTGAGGTTTTCAAGTGAAAGAGGTGACTCGTTTGTCTTTGTTGTTTTGCTGTGTTCAGGTTTGTCAATTGTAAATTGTAGAGAATGCTTCAGGTTGTTAGGGATGGGGTGAGGAGACAAGATTTGTATTTAACAAAATACCGTCTTGGCGAGAGGGTACCAAACAGGGAAATGTGATGTCAGAAATGGTCTTTGGGTTCCCTTAGAAACATACCTTGTTGAAGTGGTAGTGTTTTTTTTTTCCTCTTTGTTTTGTTACAGGTCACAAAGATCAGCTCTTGGGGTGGTATTGAATTCCTTTCCTGGCACTCAAATTTTTTGACATAAAATTTGAGTATAAAAAGATGAGGCACCTCCACCCCTTTAAGAAATGATTTAGTGCACATCTTGAAAGAGTGCAGTAGGGGTTAAGTGTGTTGACTTCGCTGTCTGCCAGGAAAGGAACTGTGGGGAATGCCCTGTTGCTTTGGGCCCCACAGCAACCTATGCTGTTTGCGCTGTTTGAGTGCTTTGTAAAGTTTGGCCTTACAGAGGCCTTGTAATGCCTTTTGGTGTCATGTCTGTTTAAGGAATAGCAGAAGACATGACATGTAGACAAATTTCAGGTTATTTTCAGAAGATACTGGGTTTGTTACTGTATTTTAAAAGGATACTTTCTTGGTTTGTTATGAGATATTCTAATTAAACAGTGATGAATTCTTACTCCTGGTCAGTGTAAGTCTAAATTCAAGTTTGTTGCTTTGTTTTACAGTTTCCTTTCACTCCCCTCCCCCATCCCCTCATGAGTCATAAGCATGCAGTGTTGGGAATAGAACTTGTCAGCTGAGTGGGGATGAGACAGTTCTCTGCCCATACTATTTGTAACTGTAGTCAATGAGGAGAGGAAAGGACGTTATTAAATGCTGGAGAAACACCTTGATTGAGGCAGCTTCTTCTGTGGCTGTGTGGTATGGATGCAGAGTTCTGTGTGACTATACACTGATGTATTCTGGCTCTGAATCACTTAGGGATCTCTTCTGCACCTTGTGCATTGTAGGTTTTGGATGCTTATTTGTTTAGGGTCTAGGACCTGGTGCTTAGCCTCTCCTGGATCCTGTATATTTACTGACTTTCCAAATTCTTTTGAGTGTGGCATTATATCTGCTTCATCTTCTCTTTCTTGGCTATTCTTAGTGCCCTTCTCATTTTACTGTCCTAATGTTTTCCCATTTATACTATGAATCATTGTGCACCCTATGTAGAGCCTGTCATTGGAGATTAAAATCAGTGGCAGCTCTTTGATTTTACAGCTCAGCCTCAGTAAGTGACACTCTGATTAGCACACCTATATTCTAGCTTTCTTTTTGTTCTTGGCCTTTTTTAAAATTTATAACTTCCCTGGTCTCATTTTATTAGTTTATATTTTTCCAGTGTGTCCATTTTGAAAGCTTCATGAAAGAAATTTTTTTTTTGGTTTGATGGAAGGAATGAATAAATGTTTATACATAAATAAGTGTTCTCAGAACAAGTGGTTTGGTAATCCATAATGAAGATATACTGGACTCTAACAGGCCCAGTTGGAGGTGCAAGATCTGTCAGCCTATTGCTGCCAGAATTCTTACCTATTCACTTCCCCCTCCTGCTAGGAAATATTTTGGAATAATCTCAGGTACCCAATTTTTTTTTTAAATAAATGAAGCCTATTTTATTACTTCAAGTTTGCTTTTTTTTTTTTTTTTCTGGAGATGGAGTCTCGCTCTGTTGCCCAGGCTGGAGTGCAGTGGCACGAACTCAGCTCACTGCAGCCTCCACCTCCCAGGTTCAAGCAATTCTCCTGCCTCAGCCTCTGAGTAGCTGCGACTACAAGCGCATGCCACCACACCTGGCTAATTTTTGTATTTTAGTAGAGATGGGGTTTCACCACGTTGGCCAGGCTGGTCTCGAACTCCTGACCTCAGGTGATCCACCCACCTTGGCCTCCCAAAGTGCTGGGATTACAGGCCTGAGCCACTGTGCCTGGCGTTTTGTTGTTGTTGTTGTTGTTGTTTTAGACAGAATCTTGCTCTGTCACCAAGGCTGGAGTGCAATGGCACAATCTCAGCTCACTGCAACCTCTGCCTCCCGGGTTCTCCTGACTCAGCCTCCGTAGTAGTAGCTGGGACTTCAGACGCCCACCACCATGCCCAGCTAATTTTTGTATTTTTAGTAGAGATGGGGTTTCACCATGTTGGCCAGGCTGGTCTCCAACTCCTGATCTCGGGTGATCCACCTGCCTTGGCCTCCCAAAGTGCTGGGGTTACAGGCTTGAGCCACCATGCCCGGCCTACTTCAAGTGTTAATGATAAAAAAAATTTCAGCTGGGCAAGGTGGCTCACACCTGTAATCCTAGCACTTTGGGAGGCCGAGGCAGGCAGATCACCTGAGGTCGGGAGTTCAAGACCAGCCTGACCAACATGGAGAAACCCCGTGTCTACTAAAAATACAAAAAAATCAGCCAGGCTTGGTGGCACATGCCAGTAATCCCAGCTACTCGGGAGGCTGAGGCCGGAGAATCTCTCGAATCCGGGAGATGGAGGTTGTGATGAGCTGAGATCATGCCATTGCACTCCAGCCTGGGCAACAAGAGCAAAACCCGTGTCAAAAAAAAAAAAAAATCAGCATAGCTGTTGCATTTTAAAAAGTGAAACTACACACTATGTTTCTAGCTCAGTAAACAGATGAACCTGTTGTCTTTGAGTAACATAACCATTGAGCGTTGTACAGTACATCTTAAGATCAGGTACTTTATTTTGAAGAGATAGAATCATCATGTAACAGGCTGAAATTTTTTGGGACTCATTCTTTTCCACCATAAACACCAAGCTTGGTGCCCAGAATAATAATAGTAGCAAATGTTTATTGAGCACTTTCTATGTGTCAGGCACTATTCTAAATGCTTTACATGTATAAATTTAATTCTAACAAATATCCTGTAAGGTAGATACTGTTTGTGTAACCATTTTGTGCATGAAGAAACAGAGGTATTTATGAAGAAGTTAAACAATTTCCCCAGTTACCTGGCTAGTAAGCAGCAAAACTGGGATTAGAAAGCAGTGGTATGACTCTAGAGTCTAGGTATAGGGTACATTGTGGGTTTGTAGTAAATATTTGTCTATTTTATTAGCACACTTTGTTATTTGAGATTATTAAATTATGAATCAGTCTAACCCATTTTCATTTTAGAATTTCCTTATGAAAATAACTATATGATTTTGGTTTTGCAGATCACCATCAACTGTACTAGTTCATTTATTTTTTATTTTATTTTTTATTTTTGGAGACGGAGTCTCTCTCAGTCGCCCAGGCTGGAGTGCAGTGGCACGACGTCGGCTCACTGCAAACTCCGCCTCCCAGGTTCACGCCATTCTCCTGCCTCAGCCTCCGGAGTAGCTGGGACTACAGGCGCCCGCCACTATGCCCGGCTAATTTTTTTGTATTTTTAGTAGAGATGGGGTTTCACTGTATTAGCCAGGATGGACTCGATCTCCTAACTTCGTGATCCGCCCATCTTGGCCTCCCAGAGTGCTGGGATTACAGGCGTGAGCCACCACGCCCGGCCCTCTAGTTCATTTATTGGTGGTAAAGAACAGCAAGCCAAGTAACAAGTTTGTGAAACATCTCTAAAATTACTAGTTTATCTCCACTAGTACCAGACTATTTACTGAAGATATTGAAAGCAGAATTAATTTTAGCCTTTTTTGGGTCGGGGGGGAGCGCAGGAAGAGATTGGTTCTCACTGACCCAGGCTGGAGGGCAGTGGCACAATCTTGGCTCACCACAACCTCTGCTCCCAGGGTCAAGTGATCCTCCCACCTCAGCCTCCTGAGTGGCTGGGACCACAGGCACATGCCGCCATGCCCAGTTAATTTTTTTGTATTTTTTGGGTAGAGGTAGGGTTTTGCCATGTTGCCCAGGCTGGTCTTGAACTCCTGAGCTCAAGTGATCTGCCCACCTCGGCTTCCCAAAGTGCTGGGATTACAGGCATGAGCCACAGTGCCTGGCCTGCTTCTTTACCTCGTTCCTGCACCACACATCTTCCGGAGATGCCCTTACAAGGGGAGCATGGGAAGGTAGAACCAGCAAGTTTTGCCATATCCATAAACTTATAATCTGTGTGAGAGTGACAGGAAAACACAGAGAAGTCTGTTCAAAAGAAATGATGATGAAGGAATTATTAGTAGGCCATGTAATTCAGTGGAGGGTAGCAAAAAATGTATTGTATCATGGACAGTGTGATGAAATAGCACAAAAATTTGATTTAGACAGGGAAATAAGAATCAGCTCTCCTGAGATTTTTTAAGTCTTTCACATTTATGGTAACATTTTCCCTTAGATAGATGCTCTCCCATGTTTCTTGTTTCTAGTGCAAGTCGTATTTTCTGAACAAGACCATTAACTCCTTAAGGACAGGGATTGTGCCTTTTTTTTTGGTATCCTCTTTAGTTCTGGGTATATAGTAGATGTTTTCTAAAAATGTAGTTGCTTTTTTGATTGATAGATCTCCTGGCTTTTTTTTTTAAGAGCTTGTTTTTGTAAAAATGAAATCAAAGCACTGACAAGTTAAATTTTGTGGAACAGTTGAGTTTTTTTAGGAGTGATTTGAAGGATGTGACAGATGATTTAAGTGGGTATTTAAATGTGAGAAGCACTCCTTTTTTTTTTTTTTGAGACGGAGTCTGGCTCCGTCGCCCAGGCTGGAATGCAGTGGCACGATCTCAGCTCACTAAAAGCTGCGCCTCCTGGGTTCATGCCATTCTCCTGCCTCAGCCTCCCGAGTAGCGGGGACTACAGGCGCCCACGACCACGCCCAGCTAATTTTTATTTTCAGTAGGGGTTTCACCGTGTTAGCCAGGATGGTCTCGATCTCCTGACCTTGTGATCCACCCGCCTTGGCCTCCCAAAGTGCAAGTGCTGGGATTATAGGCGTGAGCCACCACGCCCGGCGAGAAGCACCTTTAGGAGCACAATTGCAGAGTGATGAAAGCATGATAATTGAAGTACCTTATTTATTTATTTATTTATTTATTTATTTATTTATTTATTTATTTAGAGATGGAGTCTCGCTCTGTCACACAGGCTGGAGTGCAGTGGTGTGATCTCAGCTCACTGCAACCTGTGCCTCCCTGTTCAAGTGATTCTTCTGCCCCAGCCTCCCAAGTAACTGGGATTACAGGTTCCCGCCTCCACGCCGGGCTAATTTGTTTGTATTTGTAGTAGAGATGGGGTTTCACCCCGTTGGCCAGGCTGGTCTCGAACTCTGACCTCAAGTGATCCACCTGCCTCGGCCTCCCAAAATGCTGGGATTACAGGCCAGCCAAAGTAACTTTTTTTAAAAAGTGATAATAGAATAGAATAGAATTTGTCTTAGGGCTGTGCGTCCTTTAGGGTGAATCAAGCTTTGCTGAACATGTTCCCTGATTGGCTGAAGCAGAGGTACAAAATTTGCATTTTCTGGCCTATAACCTAACTGTCTCAGGAAGTGTCTCTACAGAAGTAGTTTCTGGTTTCTCTAGTTTTATAGAATTAAGAATTTAAGAACAGAAAGAAAATAAAGTTTCCTGCTTTTCAACAGAACAGGGCAAAGCTCCTGAAACAAGACCATATGGAAGCATCCCGCATGAGTGCCCGTGTGTTTGATGGTGAGGTTGGGGCAGATGGTAAAGGCAGGGTTCTTGGCTGCTTGGTCAAGGATTTTGGAGATGATAGAAGTTAGGTGGCTAGTGCTAAGGAAAGACTGTTGTATGTTGTGTGTATTGGGCCTGTCTGCCTAAGAGGTGGAGCAGCCTCACAGAGAGGAAGGAAATTGATGTGTTTGGTAGGGTAGAGGTGGTAAGATAAGAAAAGAGGCAGGGGAGATGCAGAGTTGGAATGATAAAGCTTGCAATTGCATCTAAACCTGCCCCTGAGATAAGGGAGAGAGAGACAAGATATTACAGTGTGAGAAATAAGATTCCAGTTCCCTGGTGTCTTCTGTTCTCTAGAGCCTTCAAGTAAGATACTGCAGGGACTGTAGGGTTTTTCTGTTTAAACTTGAAGCTCTTTTGATTCCTTTTTGAGATACAAGCCAAAAGCTGTATTTATAGAACTTGTTTTGACATATTATCTCACCCTGTCCCTTGCCTTCTTTACTGGAATCCAGCTAATGTTGCACTTTGCCTTGGCAGGAAAGGTTGATTGAAGAAAATGTATAGCTATACAGCTGAGTGATTGAAATAGCTTCAGACTTTGTAAATAGGCCATACATGATGAGGTCCCAGCTGCATGAACGTTATTTGAGTTGCTGGGGTCATTTAAAATGGTGTGATGTAATTATGATATACTGCTGGATCACCTGGACAATGGCAGTTTCCACACAGAAGTTTCAGGCAAAGCAGGAAAAAAATACAAAACCAAAATGCTGTTTTGGAAAAGAGTATGAGTTGAGGTTTTTCTTTACTTTGTGCTTTATAGTTCCACGAGTTTTCCTTTTTTTAAGTGGTAGGAATGGACTTATGGGTTGCAGGGGGAAGTGGACAAGGGGATACGGTGTCTGCAGGCTAGGTTGCCATGCTCCAAAAGCTCAAGTTTTCTTTAAAAAAATTTTCAGTAGGCCGGGCACAGTGGCTCGTGCCTGTAATCCTAGCACTTCAGGTCGATCACCTAAGGTCAGGAGTTCGAGACCAGCTTGGCCAACATGGTGAAACCCCATCTCTACTAAAAATACAAAAAAGTAGCTGGGTTTGGTGGCAGGTGCCTGTAATCCCAGCTGCTCGGGAGGCTGAGGCAGTAGAATTGCTTGAACCCGGGAGGCGGAGGTTGCAGTGAGCCAATATTGCGCCATTGTACTCTAGCCTGGGCAACAAGAGCATAACTTCGTCTCAAAAAAAAAAAAATTTCTGTAGAATAGGTAACGTGTTCACATGTAAACAATTCAACCACTGTTCCACCTCTACAACTACTGTTAGCAGTTATTTCTTTATCCATCCAGAGATACTCTGTTCATATACAAGCCATGTGTAATTCCTTTCTTATTATATGAATACGTCTTGATCAGTTAGCTGCCTTATTTTCTTTAATAGCTACATAGTGTTCTGTTGTATGGTTATACTGTATTTAATAGCCTTCAATTAATGGGCATATGTTTTCAGGTTTTGCTGATGTAAACAATGTTCTTATGAATGCCCCTTTGCATACTTTGTATACATCAGATACAAGATTATTTGTAAACTATATTTCTAGAACTGGGATTGCTGAATTCAAAGGGCATGTCTTTTTTTTTTTTTTTTTTTCTCTGTTTGTTTTTTTAGACAGGCTCTCTCTCAGTTGTCCAGGCTGGAGTGCAGTGGCATGATCACAGTTCACTGCAGCCCGACCTCCTGGGCTCAAGTGATTCTCCCGCCTCAGCTTCCCAAGTAACTGGGACTACAGGCACGTGCCACCACACCCAGCTAATTTTTGAATTTTTTTGTAGAGATAAGTCTCACTATATTGCCTGGGCTGGTCTGGAACTTGTGGGCTCAAGCAGTCCTCCCAAAGTGCTGAGATTATAAGTGTGAGCCACTGTGCTCAGCTCAGTTTTCAATATTGATGAGATACTATCCCTTTTTATATTTTGCAAGTGATATTATCCATTGAAAAATACTAGTGAGCTGGGCGTGGTGGCTCATGTCTGTAATCCCAGCACTTGGGGACACTGAGGCAAGTGGATCACCTGAGGTCAGGAGTTCAAAACCAGCCTGGCCAACATGATGAAACCTTGTCTCTACTAAAAAAATATAAAAATTAGCCAGGCTTGGTGGCTTGGGCCTGTAGTCCCAGCTACTGGGGAGGCTGAGGCAGGAAAATTGCTTACAACTGGGAGGCAGAGATTGCAGTGAGCCAAGATCATGCCACTGCACTCCAGCCTAGGCGACAGAGCGAGACTCTGTCTCAAACAAAAAAAAAAAAAGAGAATATTATTAATGGAGATGGGGAGGCCTAATAATTGCAATGTCAGTCAAGCAATTACCCTAAAGAGTTGCTAGAATAAACATAGGATCTGCAATACCCGGAAGATTTAAGAAACCCTCTTGAGATGAGCTTAATTATCAGCTGTAGCAACCATTATTGCTATTATTGTTGGAGAAGAGGCAGGTTGCCTAGAGGAGGTGGAAGCAGCTGCTCGCCTTCCTTTTAAACTAAATTCGGGGGAATTTGGTGATACTAGCTAAATCTGCAAGTCATCTCTATTTTACTTTCAGTGTATTAGAGCATTACTTTCACTCACTTATTATGATCTTGACCAATTCAAAAAACATTTGTGGTCCATGGGCCATTCAGTCCTTTTCTCTCTCTCTTTTTATTTTTATTTTTTATTTTGAGACAGAGTCTTGCTCTGTCACCCAGGCTGGAGTGCAGTGACATGATTTCAGTTCACCTCCTGGGTTCAAGCAATTCTTCCTGCCGTAGCCTCCCAAGTAGCTGGGATTACAGGCGCCTGCCACCATGCCCAGCTAATTTTTGTATTTTTAGTAGAGATAGGGTTTCACCATGTTGAACCCGGGAGGCAGAGGTTGCAGGGAGCCAAGATTGCACCACTACCCTCTAGCCTGGGTGACAGAGCAAGACTCTATCTAAAAAAAAATAAATAAGTAAATAATAAAGAGAGGCAAAGTAATATTTTGAGTTTCCCAATAAAAGGCATTTTACAAGCTGCCTTATTTTACCAAATACAGCACTGTGACTCAAGAAAGTCCAAGTCCCAGTGGTTGGTTGTGGAACCCAGGTCTCTTAATCCCTTATCTTCCCTTTAGTTCCTTCATCTGAAAAATGGGAATGAAAATGCTGAAGAATCTCCTTTGAGCACTCAGAAAAATAATTATAGTCCTTTCCAAAGGTTATGTGTTATAATGACTCCGCAAGAGACATCAAGATTATAAGGTGATTTTAAAAGTCGCTCTGACAGGGCTTGAGAAAAAAATTAGTCACATTCTGCCTACATGGTACTAACATATGGTGCAGCCCTGATGAGCTGCACAAGTGGGCTGAAATCAAAATGCAGTTGGAAAGAGGAGCAGTAGTGACTCACTAGATAAGACAGATTTGGCCTCATGGCAGGGCAGTGAAACTAAGAAGGAACTGTGGTCTTAGAACATGCCAGATTTGAGCAAGTGATCATGAATATTATGGAAAGGTTGAATGACTGAGCCTTTGGGTTTGAATTAGGTACTTTGTCTGGTGTCACAGTCCTTGGAGCGAGCACCCTCCCTCGGTGGGTTCAGAGCTCCCACTCCCTCCACCTCCCTCACTTCTGTGTATTACTTCTGTGTATCATTCCCTGTGCCTTTGAAGGTAGAAGCCACCAGGCAAATACTTAACACTGGTGTGCCTGGAACATTGGGTTCAAACTGCAATGATAGGTAGAAGCGTTAGTAATTCTGCCCAGAGAAAGCTGTGCATTAGCTTAGCTACCATATGTAAATTGCTACTGCTGCATCCAGCAATTTGTTGTCCATTGTTGACAGTACTGCCATGGTAAAGAAACAGGAACTATAGAAAGAATTAGATTCCTCCTCCCACCTCCCAGCTCTCACCACAGTAGGAAGCTGTTTGGGGAGCAGAGAGGAAATACGGGGGATTTGAGAGTTACACCCAGTGTGTGGGCATTTGGGGAGGAAATAGGAAAAGAGATTTTTTAAATTATTTTATTTTTTGAAACAAGGTCTTGCTCTGTCAGCCAGACTGGAGTGCAGTGGCACGATCATGGCTCACTGCAGCCTCAAATTTCTGGACTCAAGCAATCTTCCTACCTCAGCATCCAAATTAGGGCTACAGGCGTGCACTGCCATGCCTGTCTGATTTTTTTTTTTTTTTTTTTTGTAGAGATAGGGTCTTGCTATGTTGCCGAGGCTGGTCTCAAACTCCTGGGTGCTAGAGATGTTCCTGCCTTGGCCTCCCAAAGTGCTGGGATTACAGGCATGAGCCATCATGCCTGGCCAAAAAGAGATTTTTAAAAATGTTTTTTGCATGCTCTGTTTGCCTCATCTGAGTGCCTCTAAAATAGGGTGTCTCTCAGGTGAGACGACCTCTGGTTTAGGTGCTTATATACTCATGGAAAGATCATATAACTAAATGGGAGGTGAGCTAGATTAGGGAGGTAGTTCTATTTATTGGTTGTGAATATGCAAGGATGCTATTGGCAGAGTCAAGCTTTAGGCCATTTGTGGCTCTGATCCTTTAATAATGGCTGCTTACGAGAAAATGTTTATCATTGTTAGGTGCAAAAAAGTAGGTTGTGCAGTATTATACTTAGTATAATATTGAATTTGAAAATTCTGTGTATTTGAGGCCAGACATGGTGGCTCATGCCTGTAATCCCAGTACTTTGGGAGGCCAAGGTGAGCCCATCACTTGAGGTCAGGAGTTCCAGCCTGGCCAACATGTCGAAACCCTGTCTGTACTAAAAAATACAAAAATTAGCTGGGTGTGGTGGTGCACGCCTGTAGTCCCAGCTACTTGGGAGGCTGAGGCAGGAGAATTGCTTGAACCCGGGAGGCAGAGGCTGCAGTGAGCTGAGATCATGCCACTGCACTCCAGCCTGGACAACAGAACAAGACTCCATCTGGGGGGAAAAAAAAAAGGAAAATTTTGTGTATTTGAGTGTTTGTACATTTTATTGTATGCATGGAAGAAATCCTGGTAGAAGATAAACCAAAATATGGTTGTAAGTATAATTAATTAAAGTTGGGGAAATGGAAAAATTAAAACAGGAAGGAATACTTATGAAATATTTTGTTTAAAAAAAAAAAAAGAGGGTGGCCGGGCGCAGTGGCTCACGCCTGTAATCCTAGCACTTTGGGAGGCCGAGGTGGGCGGATCACGAGGTCAGGAGATCGAGACCATCCTGGCTAACATGGTGAAACCCCATCTCTACTAAAAATACAAAAAATTAGGCGTGGTGGCGGGTGCCTGTAGTCCCAGCTACTCGGAAGGCTGAGGCAGGAGAATGGCATGCACCCGAGAGGCGGAGCTTGCAGTGAGCTGAGATCACGCCACTGCACTCCAGCCTGGGTGACAGAGCGAGACTCTGTCTCAAAAAAAAAAAAAGAGGGGGTGCTGCCCACATGTTGCTTTTACAGTACCTGCAATTTCAGGGGGGAAAACCCCCAAAAAACTAGGAAGTGCAAGTATGTCTCAATTCAGGAAAGTTCATAGAAACTTTACAAATTACACCAGATAAACTGGGGAATTAAGTTCAACAATTGAAGGTCTGATATGTGTTACTTTTATTCAGGTGTTCTGTGGATATGAATATAAATGAGAAAGTTGAAACATAGTTCACTAACAACATTTTGAAATGAGATTAAAATCACTAACAACATTTTAAATGAGGTGAATTGTATGTGATGTGGACTAAACTAGATAGCTGTTTAAAAACTTGTTTAGAGAAAATACAATTATAGTTTTAGATGACCTAGTGTTAGTCTAGATTAATCTAGTCCCATCCTCTAGGGATTGGAAGTCCAAGAGGGGACCATTCTAAGAATGGTTGTGAACCCCTTATAGAATCTGATGAAAGCTGTGGATTTTGTTTTCAGGAAATCTCACTTGTCCATTTTCACACGGTTTAGCATAAAGTTTAGTCTGTTTAGCCTAAAGCATTGTTGGGCTTACAGGCCTCCAGCTCCTGAGAGGTCTGCTTCCCGCTTGATCCTTTTATCTGTTTACTTGGCTCTCTGGAGCATGAGAGTAGGTGAACATGGAGTTTTCCAAAGCAGGGGGCCTAACTTACTTATTGAGCTAGGCATGTAACAGGAAGAAAGAAGTAAAGGGCATTGCAAGCTGACCAAAAAGTAATACTTTAAAGAGAATATACTTTTCCCAAGTTATTTCTATTATTTGTCTTTTTTCTCTTTTCCAGTTAAAAGTTTGGGCAGGGTGCGGAGGCTCACATCTGTAATCCCAACATTTCGGGAGGCTGAGGCAGGCAGATCATTTGAGGTCAGGAGTTCGAGACCACCCTGGCTAACATGGCCAGACTCTGTCTCTACTAAAAATACAAAAAAAATTAGCTGGGCAGAGTGATCCCTCATCTCTAAAAAAAAAAAAAAAAAAAAAATTCTGGGCACGGTGGCTCATGCCTGTAATTCCAGCACTTTGGGAGGCCAAGGCAGGTGGATCATGAGGTCAGGAGATCAGGACTATCCTGGCTAATACAGTGAAAACCTGTCTCTACTAAAAATACAAAAAAATTAGCCAGGCTTGGTGGCCAGTGCCTGTAGTCCCAGCTACTCAGGAGGTTGAGGCAGGAGAATCGTTTGAACCTGGGAGGCGGAGGTTGCAGTAAGCAGAGATCATGCCACCGCACTCCAGCCTGGGAAACAGAGCGGGACTCCATCTCAAAACAAAACAAAACAAAAAACCGGGCACAGTGGCTCACTCCTGTAATCCTAGCTTACTCTGGGAGGCCAAGGAGGGTGGATTGCCTAAACTCAGGAGTTCAAGACCAGCTTTGGCAACATGGGGAAACCCTGTTTCTGCTGAAAATACAAAACATTAGCTGGGCATGATGGCTTGTGCCTGTAGTCCTAGCTGCTTGGGAGGCTGAGGCACAAGAAGCACTTGAACCCGGGAGGCAGAGGTTGCAGTGAGTCGAGATCATGCCACTTCACTTCAGCCTGGAAAAGAGAGAGAGACTCTGTCTCAAAAAAAAAGTCAGACTCAACTTTATGGCCCTTAGCATTTAAACAGACTTTCTGTGGGTTATGTGCATGAGCTTCCTTGGAGACAATTTTTAACCTGAAGCAGCCTTCTTAGCCCGGATCTCTGTGATCTTGAGGGAGTCATTTCATCTCTGTATCTTTTCTCATCTGCAAAATGGAGATAGCGTACGTATGAGGATTAAATGTAAAGCACCCAAAACAGGTCATAGTGTATGGTAAATGCTCAAAAAATGTTAGCTCGTACTTATTGCCACTTTACAAATGTCTAGACATTTCTCTTTACTTTTAGGTGATAAGGGTTTACAAACTTTAAATGCCATATTCCATCAATTTGAAGATGCACATTTATTAGCACTGATGGTATGTTAAATACATTGATTCTAAAGATAGAAAAATTTATTGTTCAAAAAACCATTTATGTCAAAGCCAGATATAATATTGATGAATTATCTATTGTTTGAATTATTTCATCTAGTTCTCATATTTCCCAAGAGGTTATCCTGAGGGCCAAGAGAGACTGACAGTTGGGGCCTGCCTCTCCCTCCTCTATCTTTGACCTGAACAGCCTGACTTTCATGTTTAGGAGAAAAACAGTTCTGCTTTTAAGATCGTTTAAAAACCTCTAATCTGGATAGTAGTTAGATTATTTTTTTGTTTTGGTTTTTGAGACGATCTTGCTCTGTTGCCTAGGCTGGAGTGCAGTGGTGCCATCACAGCTCACTGCAGCCTCGACCTCTGGGCTCAAGCAATCCTCCCACCTCAGCCTTCCAAGTAGCTGGGACTACAGACACATGTCACCACACCCATCTAATTTTTTTTTTTCTTTTTGGGTAGCAACAGGGTTTCATGATGTTGCCCAGGCTGGTCTCAAACTTGTGGGCTCATGCAGTCCTCTCACTTGAGCTTCCCAGAGTGTTGGGATTATAGGTATGAGCCACTGTACCCAGCTAAATTCTTTTTCTTCCTGGCTAAATTCTTTATTAGCTCCCTGTCTTATATCAAGGAAGTTTTTCAAGGAATTTTAAGGTTGCTTACTAACAGTTGTTAGTTAAGAGTGAGTTGGCCAGATGCGGGGGCTTGCACCTGTAATCCCAGCACTTTGTGAGGCCAAGAGGGGGTGGATCGCTTGAGCCCAGGAGTTCAAGACCAGCCTGGGCAACATGGCAAAACCCCTTCTCTACAAAAAATACAAAAATTAGCCGGGCGTGGTGGTGCACACCTGTAGTTCAAGCTACTTGGGAAGCCGTGGTGGGAGGATTGCTTGAGCCCAGGAGGCGGAGGTTGCAGTGAGCCGAGATGACACCGCTGCATTCCAGCCTGGGCAACAGAGCGAGACCCTCAAAAACAAAAAACAGTGAGTCTTACTAATGAGGCCAAGTTCATGGGTTTAGGACTGATGTATGTTATTGAACATCATCGTGCCACAGGCCCTTGTCTCTGGACTTTGTGATCTAGCACGTGCTATGTAAGAGCTGCTGATGGTGACTGAGTCAGTGCCAGTCATCCTGGGAAAGACAATATTTTGTCATTTACTCAGCATACAAGCTGTATAGGCCAGTAGAAAACACTAAGAATAAAGAGCTTATTACCTTGCCTATTCTAAGAAAGGCTTTTAGAGGATCTGAGAGCCTTTTCTGTCAGTGAAGTTAAAAAACTTCTTATGAGGTTGTATTTTAAATGTCTTTAAACATTTATCGCAGGTAGATAATATTGGAACTCTCAGCTAGCTTGCCCTTCATCTTGCTCTCACCACTCTCCCTACTTCCTTACTTTTTTTTTTCTTTTTTGAGACAGTATCTCACCCTGTTGCCCAGGCTGGAATGCAGTGGCGGGATCTCGGCTCACTGCAACCTCCGCTTCCCGAGTTCAAGTGATTCTTATGCCTTAGCCTCGCAAGTAGCTGGGATTACAGGTGCACGCCACCATGTCCGGCCATTTTTTTTTTTTTTTTGAGACACCACACCCAGCTAATTTTTGTGTTTTTAGTAGAGATAGGGTTTCACCGTGTTGGCCAGACTGGTCTTGAATTCCTGACCTCAAGTGACCCGCCCACCTCAGCCTCCCAAAGTGCTAGGATTACAGGCGTGAGCCACTGCATCTGGCCTAATGTTTGTATTTTTAGTAGAGACGGTGTTTCCTCACATTGGCCAGGCTGGTCTGGAACTCCTGGCCTTAAGTGATCCACCTGCCTCGGCCTCCCAAAGTGCTGGGATTACAGGCATGAACCACTCCTGGCTGTTCCCTACATTTTTTTTGCTCCTTTTTCCCTTTAGCCTTATTTTGGAGTGGGGTGGGGAGACAAGGTCTCACTGTGTGGCCTAAGCTGGAGTGCAGTGGTGCCAGCATAGCTCACTACAGCCTCAAACTTCCGGGCTCAAACAGTGCTCCTGCCTTATCCTTCCAAGTTGCTAGGACTACAGGTGTATACCGTCACACCCAGCCCCCCTCTTAGCTTTTTTACTCCTCTTTAGAACCACCTGTGTACTTCCTGGTTCTTGCATTGTGATAGAGAAAGGTAGAGATAATGTTAATAGAAACAGACATCCGTGGAGTTCCAAGGAAATACAGTACAAACAGTTCAGGCTTTCTCACAGAGCATGTGCCCTTTGGTTCCCCACAGAAATGAAAGGAAAGATGTAAAACAGTCAAAGCTTTTAGTTTCCATTCAGCTCTTCTCTCTCACCAAAGCGTTTCAGTTTTCTCACAGAATAGGCAATAAAATAACATAGGAAAAGCAAAACTGGGAAGACAAAGCTTTAAAAAAATATAACTTTTTTGAGGCCGGGCACGGTGGCTCACCCCCTATAATCCCAGCACATTGGGAGGCGGAGGTGGGCGGATCCCCTGAGGTCAGGAGTTCGAGACTAGCCTGACCAACATGGTGAAACCCCATCTCTACTAAAAACACAAAATTAGCTGGGCATGGTGGCGCATGCCTGTAATCCCAGCTACTCAGGAGGCTGAGGCAAAGGATTGCTTAAACCTGGGAGGCGGAGGTTGCAGTAAGCCGAGATCGCGTCATTGCACTCCACCCTGGGCAACAAGAGCGAAACTCCGTCTCAAAACAGCCTTTTTTGTGTATTGGACTATTCATTTGCCCTTCTCCAGGTGACAGAATCCTGTGTGGAAGATTACAGTGTTGTTTATTTATGTGTGTGTGTGTGTGTGTGTGTTTGAGGTTTCCTTTAAAAAGTCTTGGTGGCTTAGGAGTAGGATGATACCCTGTTTATGTGGAGGTTTTTTGTTTTTTTGTTCTTTTGGGTTTTTTTTTTTTTTTTTAAAGAAATTCATTTTTTTTTCTTTCTCTTGGCCTGGCAGTTAAAATGTTCCTAGCCCCCTGAGGGCTGCTATGTTCTCCAGGACTTAAGATACCTGTCCCTTACCCTTTTGTGTATTGGTCTTTCTTAACAACTCCAGATCTCCCTTTTGCTCTCTTTATCTTGGAGATTCCCTGACTAGCTTGCAGTCTGAGTCTCGTCTCAGAGGGTGGAAGTGATGCCTATGAAAAACCAATCACATAATAACACTGTTTTTCAAACTGTGTTCCACATAAAATTTGGAGGGAAATGTGGTTCCCTGGCCTTTTCTTTGACTTTTACATCTTCCAGAAGAACTCTTAACAGGTAGAAATTTAACTTGCTGTCTACCATCTGTGATAATCATTACAGAGCCTTCTCAGGACACACTATCTCAGTAAAAGTTGATATCTCCTAAATTATGGTCACATTTCTCTAGAGAGACAGACCTACCAAGAAGCCACGGGCAGGTTATCTTCCTTAGCATCTGAATCCTTAGGGTAGTCCTCACCTTAAATGGTCATAATGATAAAGGATTGAATGAAGTTTGTGAACTTAGTAAATGGAAGTTCCTTTCTTCTTGGTAACTTTTGATGGTAGAGGCAGGTGCAAGTAAATGCTTTTAGGAAGTTCTGTTTTTTTTTTTAATTAGTTTAAACTTTGCCCTTAAAATTACTGGAACTATCACTACTTTATTAGCAAAATTGGAAACTAATTAAATCTGCATGAAAAGTTAATACTTGAGCACCTATTTTATGCCAGTTAAGAAATCTCTCTGTCTTCAGGGAGGATAGGCAGTGTCTTACTAGTTAGTTCTGGGTCTGGCTTTGTCTTTCAGAATTCTTGTACTTTCCAGTTTAGACATTGTCCTTGGTGAATTTGAATAGTTTATTGTCTGTAGTGAAAGCCAGACAGAAATACAGCTGGCAGGAGTTGTATTTGGAAGTTTGTAGGAATTTGGGCAGTTTTATAGAATCAGTCTTTACTTGCAAGATTGTTCGATATGCTTAAAAATAAAACAAATTGGTTTTGTGGTTCCTCTGTTTGCTTTTACCATCAATTAACTTCCCCATCTTCTGATTTTTTTTTTTGTTTCAGTGGTTCACCGCCACCCTAGGGCCACCAAGATGCATTTACAGTGGCAGGAACGTGGTTGCTTTTGTAGAGTTTCATGCCCGGCACCTATGTATTCAGGAAGGTTGCTTTGGGGAAATAGTGTGGTCTCTCCACATGAATAACACGATCCTTAATTGCTAAAAGAATTATACAGCCATTAGCTTTTCTTAGTCTCCAATCCAAAAGCAGATGTTAAAAATGATTGTTTTGGTGACCTAGATGTACTGAAATTCAACCTCATAAATTTTAGTCATTGTTTTGCTATTTGTTACGACATTTTAGGGCAAGACTCTTTTAAACCTTTTAGTATTTTACTTCCCCCATCGTTTAAGTTGATGGTGTTTTAAAATTAGCCTTGAGATATTAAATGCAACTTATCTTTAAGGCATTGAGTAAAAAGGGCGCAGGAGGAGTACTTCTGTATTTTTATCTTCTGCCATGGTGACAGAGGGGCTTTTCTTTGGAAAGAGGTGATATATCTGGAGTCATGAGAGACGTCTAGGCATGGCCCACTTATTTTTCTTTCCTTGGTTTTTTAGAGTGAAGACATAGTCCAGAGAGGGAAGTGTAAAGCTACAGGTATGGGCTAACTACTGAATGGGTGTGCTCCGTGGCTATCTTTTTAACCTTCTTGCATGAGGCCTGCTATGCAGATATGAAAAAGTTGCTTTCAGAAAGGTGATGGCTTCTTTTGTACATTATGGGATAACATTTGCAAAATGTGTGTCCCTGGGAAGCTAGAAATATTTTCTTGCCCTCTTTTCCAACTCTTTCTCCTTAGCTATTTTCCAAGGCAGGCTTATCTCCCACTAAAACTAGCTGCTTCCTAGTTCTTACAGCTGTTGCGGTGAGCGTGTGTATGTTGGAGGGAGCCGGGAGGAATACTCTACACCAGACTTGTCCAACCCGCAGCCTGTGGGCTGCATGTAGCCCAGGACAGCTTTGGATATAGCCTAACACAAATTTATCAACTTTCTTAAAACATGAGATTTTTTTTTTCTTTTTTTTGAGCCGGAGTCTCGCTCTGTCACCCAGGCTGGAGAGCAGTGGCGCGATCTTGGCTCACTGCAACCCCTCCGCCTCCCGGGTTCAAGCAATTCTCCTGGCTCAGCCTCCCGAGTAGCTGGGATTAACAGGCCTGTGCCACCACGCCTGGCTAATGTTTTGTATTTTTAGTAGAGACGGGGTTTCATCGTGTTAGCCAGGATGGTCTCTATCTCTTGACCTTGTGATCCTCCCACCTCGGCCTCCCAAAGTGCTGGGATTACAGGTGTGAGCCACCGCGCCCAGCCTGCAAATTTTTTTTTTTTAACTCATCGGCTATCATTAGTATATTTTATTTGTGGCCTAAGACAATTCCTCTTCCAGTGTGGCACAAGGAAGCCTAAAGATTGGACACCACTGGAACAGAGATGAGGACGGAACTTAGTAGATTCCATGCACGTACTAATACCTTCCTTGAACCAGAATTTGTTCAACATACTTTTTTTTTTTTTTTTTGGAGACAGAGTTTCACTCTTGTCACCCAGGCTGGAGTGCAGTGGCACGATCTCAGCTCACTGCAGCCTCTGCCTCCTGGGTTCAGGCAATTCTCGTGCCTCAGCCTCCTGAGTAGCTGGGATTACAGGTGCCTGCTACTGTGCCTGGCTAATTTTTGTATTTTTGTATTTTTAGTAGAGACAGGTCTCGAACTCCTGACCTCAGGTGATCTGCCAGCCTCGGCCTCCCAAAGTACTGGGATTACAGATAGGAGCCACTGTGCCCGGCTAACATACTGATTTTTTTTTTTTTTTGGAGACAGAGTCTCACTCTGTCAGCCAGGCTGGAGTACAGTGGCACGATCTCGGCTCACTGCAAGCTCTGCCTCCCAGGTTCACGCCATTCTCCTGCCTCAGTCTCCTGAGTAGCTGGGACTACAGCTGCCTGCCACCATGGCCGGCTAATTTTTTTGTATTTTTTGTATTTTTTTTAGTAGAGAGGGGATTTCACCGTGTTAACCAGGGTGGTCTCGATCTGACCTCGTGATCTGCCCATCTTGGGCTCCTAAAGTGTTGGGATTCCAGGCATGAGCCACCGTGCCTGGCCTAACATACTGATTTTTAAATCAGCACTGGAGCTTAAATAAAGTGTAAACTTACAGTATATTGTTACCAACTAAGAAATGCACTTAAGTTCCAGAACTAGTGTGGGATCTGAAAGTATGACTTGATTGGAAGGGTGGTCACAATTTGACAGGACTGTTGGGTCAGTGTTACTGACAGATACTCCAAGGAAGGCTCTGAGGCTATACTATTGCTGAGTACACAGCAGTAGTACAGAGCTGAGTACAGAGTCTTTCTGTGATTAAGGATAGGGGAGGAAATGGAAAACTTTTTCGTTTTCAAAATGGTGATGTTTTTGTCATATCCTTTCAGTATACTGTATGTGGTAATTTTACAGGCAAGGCAACTTGTACACAACAAATTATTAAATGTAGTGCTTTTTTGGTACAGTGATTTTAGATTTGAAATGGAAATTTTTTTTTTTTTTTTTTTGGTGACAGAGTCTCACTCTATCGCCCAGGCTGGAGTGCAATGGCATGGTGTCGGCTTACTGCAACCTCCGCCTCCTGGGTTCAAGCGATTCTCCTGTCTCAGCCTCCCAAGTAGCTGGGACTACAGGCACCTGCCACCACATCCGGCTAATTTTTGTATTTTTAGTAGAGATGGGGTTTCACCATGTTGATCAAACTGGTCTAGAACTCCTGACCTTAGGTGATCTGCTCACCTCGGCCTTCCAAAGTGCTGGGATTAGAGGCGGTGAGCCACCGCGCCCAGCCTGAAATGGAGGTTTTTTATGTTTTATTTATTTTGTTTTGTAAGGCAGGGTCTCACGCTGTTGCCCATGCTGGAGTGTAGTGGTGCGATCAAGTATCACTGCAGCGTTGACCTTCCTGGGGTCAGGTGATCCTCCCACTTCAGCCTCACAAGTAGCTGGGACTACAGGTGGGCACCATCATGCCTCACTATTTTTTGTATTTTTTTGTAGAGATGGCGCCATGTTGCCCAGGCTAGTCTTGCCTGAGCTCAAATGATGCTCCTGCCTTGGCCTCCCAAAGTGCTGGGATTACAGGCGTTTCCCACTGTGCCCAGCCAGAAAAATTCTTTTTACAATATTTCTATTTCTTCTTTAACCCCCCTCCCCCACCATTCAGAAATTTTTACATTGTCTAGATTCTTATGGAAAACTTATTTTGTTGTTTTGTTTTTTGTTTGTTTGTTTTGAGACAGGGTCTTATTCTGTTGCCCAGGCTAGAGTGCAGTGGCTCAATCTTGGTTCACTGCAGCCTTGACCTCCTGGGCCCAGTCACTCCTCCTGCCTCAGCCTCCTGAGTAGCTGAGACTACAGTATGCATCACCACACTCAGCTAATGTTTTGTATTTTTTTGTAGAGATAGGTCTCTCTTTGTTGGTCAGACTAGTCTCAAACTCCTGGGCTTGAACAGTCTGCCCACCTTGGCCTCCCAAAGTGTTGGGAATATAGGCGTGAAGCCTGTGTTCTTGCCCCGTAAATTATTCTTAACCGTCACATTTTGTAACAATAACAGAAATCTTCCACAAAGTGAAATGCCACAGAGATAATTACCAGTTTGTGTCACCATATTTTACCTATGCAAGCAAGGTACTTGGCTGGGAGCTCAGGAGACCCAGTAGTTATATTAGAAATACTCGATTTTAGAAATGAAATTTAGGTCCAAAAAGGTACTGTGCAAAAATTTAAGTTACTGTAGTTGGTTATTTTCAAGTATCAATTGCTTACTTTTTTTCTCTCTTATGAAACTTGGGGGTAAAATACCCAGTCCACTTAGCAGCAATCTGAGGTTATAACCATTCCCTAGATTTTTGCAATTTGAATTCCCTCATATAGATTGATGGTGATTTTTAATGACATTGATTCCCTTTTCAGTAGTAGCTTCTAATCTCCTCTGTGCTTATATAACTAGACTTTACTTTATTGCCCTTTCAAACATACTTAGATTTATTGGGGTGGAAGTGTAAAATCTGTTCACCTGTTGTAGAACTCCCTGGTTATATCTATCAAGGTAGACATTTGCATATGCCAACTAGGCTTTTTTGCTTAACTGTGCTTTTGTTTGCTTTTTCATCCTTTTGGCAAAACATACTGTGATTGCTAGCCTTTCTCTTTTCTAATCCAGTTTTACATCTTCCTGTTAAGTTTATACTATTCCTATATCCTAAATGCAATGAATGCTGTTCTTTTGAGTGTTTTTCTTACCTATATTGATCACTTTTAATGATTTGGGTTCTTAATGTTACAGCAGGCTGACTACTCCTACCTTCACTTAATCAGGCTTTGAATTGTTGCTCTTTTAAAAAGTAGAGAATATTCAAGGCAGAGAATACTGAGACAGACGGACAACCAGGGAGAGAAGAGGAAACCATGAAAGTACATTCAGAGTGAAAGGAACAGGTGATGAAAAGAGGCTGAGGGAAAGTTAAGGCCTTCTTTTGCAGCAGACCCTTGGTTATAACCCCTCCTGTCACCTCTGTATTTCTAATGCTTCCTTTGTGGGAAAAGCCTGGAATGTCTATCTGATTTTTTTTTGAGACAGAGTCTCACTCTGTCGTCCAGGCTGGAGTGCAGTGGCGCAATCTCAGCTCACTGCAACCTCCGCCTCCCGGGTTCAAGTGATTCTCCTGCCTCAGCCTCCCGAGTAGCTGGGATTACAGGCATGTGCCACCACGCCCAGCTAATTTTTTGTATTTTTAGTAGAGACAGGGTTTCACCGTGTTAGCCAGGATGGTCTCGATCTCCTGACCTCATGATCCACCTGCATCGGCCTCCCAAAGTGCTGGGATTACAGGCTTGAGCCACCGTGTCCGGACTAATTAAGACATTAAACACACACACACACATACACACACACGCACACACGGGCAGTTTTTTGTGAATAACTTTCTTTTAATTCTACTTTTAAATTTCCCTTAATATTTGCATTTTTGTATTCCCATAATTGCTTTTATCACTTAACTTCATAACCTCTTTCTAAAATTGACTTGTGATTAATTTCTGTGCTCTCTTTTCCCAAAGTATGTTGAATTTAATTATACTGAGATAACTCTGGTGACCTGCCTGAGAAGAAGTGCCCTCTTTCATGTAATAACATTTCCATCTTGTAGGTTTTTAAAGCGGTGTTGCTTTATAAATCATAAAATGGACTTTAATAGCAGTATAAGCACAGAGAATTTATGGGCCCTGCTTTCTATTTTCAACTGCTTTATAAATTGGGCCTCTGGAGACTTCTTTTGAACAAAAGTTCTATGACTGGGAAAAAATGATTTTAAGACATTACTCTAAATCATATTTCCCAGCCCTTGGCTTGGTGGAAACTATTTTAAGGAGAGCACATCTTTTCATACATTGGACAGTGCCTGGCAACTCAGTAATGTCTCCATTTAAGTAGTCTTTTGTTATAGATGTGATTCTGATTTGAACTAGAGATACAATTAGATTTCATATGTTTTTAGGAAATATTAAAAACACAATAACCTTGAAATTTAGGTAAGTTCCTTGAAATTTATTGAATCCTTTTTAAAGGATTTTTTTTTGGTGGGGGAGACGGAGTCTTACTGTCGCCCAGGCTGGAGTGCAGTGGCGTGATCTCAGCTCACCACAGCCTCTGCCTCCTGGGTTCAAGCTATTCTCCTGCCTTAGCCTCCCGAGTAGCTGGGGTTACAGGCGTGTGCCACCTCGCCCAGCTAATTTTTTTTTTTGATATTTTTTAGTAGAGATGGGGTTTCACTATCTTAGCCAGGCTGGCCTTCAACTTCTGACCTCAGGTGATCCGCCCGCCTTGGCCTCCCAAAAGTGTTGGGATTGATTACAGGCGTGAGCCACCATGAGCTGTTGTTGCTCAGCCTTTTTAAAGCCTGGAATGTCTTTTTAGAGGAATTCTTGCACTAAAAGATCTAATTTGGTTGTCGACTCAGTTATTCTTTGGTCTAGGCAGCTTTCTATAGGAAGAGGCATGCCATCAGTTCCAATGTACGTAGGAGAAACTAGGACAAACATAGCCAGTAATCTAACCAGCCCCAGCTAGGGTTACCATCTTCTGCCTGACAGGCATGGGCTTGGTAAACTGTGTACTGTGTGTCAGTTGCACAGTCTCCTCTCACTTGCAGTTTGTTTTTGCCGCTTTAATAGGGTGGAAGAGAGCTCCTGCCACTTCTGCCTCTATAGTAGTAAATCAGATGAGCGAGTCTCTGGCAAAAATAGAAAAAGCAGTAAGCTGCTGTTACAGTACAGTTCTAGATTTTGGATGATGACGTCTGGACATGGACAGAAGAGACAGTTTTCACCTTCCTGGGTCAGGTGCAGACAGATGTTAGCCATTGTTACACAGATTAGAACTTCTAGGCCTATGCCATTGTGTGTTGCCTTTCTTTTTTTTTTTTAACGTTAACTCTGTGTGTTTAGTAGTTCATTCGTTTTACTTCTTTGCAGGCTGAACATAACTTCTTTTTTTCAAAGTTCCCTGTGTTGTGAACTGAGCTTGGGTGAAGTGAAATCTTTGAGGTAAGGCAACTCTAATGATAAAAATGGAAAGAAAGCCTGTGAAATTTGGGAGCCTTCAGAGATAACATTTTAGAGTCACTGCCTAAATATTGAAATGCCGCCATTTGTTGTTTGGGGGGATGTGGAGCTAAATTGAGAACGGGAGCACACATCTGCCTTGACTGCTAAGTATATCCATCTCTACTGCTCACCCATAATAGAATTTTTATGTGTGCACTCACTAGTCTTGGTTTTATCAACAGTTTAAAGGAGGAAAAAGAGAATGAAGAGACTTCATTTCTTGGTTTTTCCCTTACATGTTTGAGTGTTGTCCCTGGTAGGCCCTAGTTCTTTTTCATTATTATCACTAAAGTGGCTTTTGTTCTTTGTTTCTTTAGAAAGGACAACAGAGAACTGAAAATACATTATTTCCTAGTATGCTAGTAAGAAGCAGAATATTACTATTCCATTTTTATTTTCTGGCAGATGAAGCTTCAGAGTTAGTAAAGAAAATTTCCCTGTGCCATCTAATGAGTGTTACTGAACAAAGGATTTTTGAAGTCTTTCACCCAGATGAGGAACCATTAGATAGCACACCTTGCTCTAACCATTAGATAGCACATCAAGAAAGCAAGGTCAGTTGAGAAATTGATGCTCTTTTGAAAATATCAAGAAAAAAAAAAAAGCAAGGCTGATCAACTGTAGGCAGTTGTATGTGAGTGGTAAGTTTCTGGTGGCCAGTTTATTCAACCAGTTTGCCTCTGGCCTGCTTCTGATGGTCTTATCATTCCTCTTTATGTGACTGTTCTGAGGTTAGTTTGGACCTAAGCACTGTGCTCATTGCTGTCTTTGGCACATGGAAACGTAAGTTTAAAAGCAAGGCTAACAACCCATTTCTTCGGTGAGCCTTTTCTTGCTTCAGGTAGTTTCAGGCTTTGGGGGACCTTAAAAACTGGTTTGCAGGGAGGAGTTTGGAGGATGTGAAACAAGTTTGTGTTTCTTCTGCTCTGTTAGCCACTGCTATCTTCATGGATCTGACACTATTTATCTGACAGTGCACTTAGTACTGCTTCGCCAGGGAAAATTGCACAAAACAAGCCTGGCGCATCAGCACTTTCATTGTGTGCTGGGCTGAGCCTCCCTTCACATGGTCACATCCCCATTTTAATCCAATACTCCCTTTCCCTACCCCTTCCCCAGTCCTGCCTCTTTCTGTGGCACTTATTGCTGGTTTCCCTGAGCTCCTGTTTCCACTTTGTGTTTTTTGTGGGGCCCAGGAAGCTAAAGCTGTGTGTATTTGTGGATCAGACAAGTGCAGCAAGTTAATATCATTGGCTTCTGAAGGGGAGAGTGAGGTGATGGCTGCGTTTAAGTTGGATTTCCTTCCAGAAATGATGGTGGATCATTGCTCTTTGAATTCCAGTCCCGTGTAAGTATTTTTGTTGTCTAATTTTTATCATAAGCAGAGGAACTGGGCTGTTTTCTTTATTTGATGAAATTGGTTCCTTTTTTTAAGAAGGGGAAGAGAAAAATGGGGAAAGAAGCCAAAACAACCTGAATTCTCTCATGCTATTATTTTCAATTGTAGTCTGTCTCATTACTGCTTATTTCCTCAAGGCTTTAAGTTATTTACATAAAGGTGCACTTGATATATGACCAGCAGCATCAGCTCAAGTGTGCTAGCTCCAATTCCTTTAAGCTGTAGTGTTTTCCTATATGATAGATTACAAGGTATTTTTTTTTTAAACTGTAGCATTGTCGCTTTGGGTTGGACATGCAATTTCAAATAATCTTTTGGGAAGGAAGTATTTTATTATTTTAAATTACTGGATTCTTAGTCTCCTATCACAGAGAAGACTGGTAGCTACAGTCAGTGTGTTTAGTATCATCTACAACATTCTGTATTAACATACAAAGTGCAATCCTGGACCTTGATTCCCCCCACCCCCGCCGAGTCTAATTGAAAATACAGCTCAGCACGTGATTTTAGGAACATCAAATTGTCCTTTACCCTCCAAAAAAAGCAAAACTGGATCAATCTTGATTGGCAATTTGCCCAAATAAATTGTGAGAGTGAGAAACCTTGTTAGCTTGCAGTACTGTCCAAGAACTGCTGTTGTACACAGCCAAAATGCTAACCTAACCCTGAGTTGTAGCTGCTAGGAACCTGAATTCTGGACTTTGTAGAGAAGGACACATTTCCAACCCCTGATTTCAGTCACTGTAACCAGGCTTCAGAGTATTTTGGAACCTCCAGCAAATGAGCTTTAGGTTATTCAAAGCCAAGAATATTAAATGGTAGAATATTCTCTAGATAACAAGTGTTAATGCAAGTCTTTGAGGTTAGGCCTCCATGTGCAAATCAGTCTACCCTGGGATTAGATGTAACAGGTGTGGATAATAGTAGATACCAAACAGTTCTTTGTGGAATAGTTGGGGGGCAGGGCTCAAAGTTAGCTCTTTCTCTCTCTGTTTTTGAAACAGGGTCTTGCTTTGTTGCCCAGGCTGGAGTGCAGTGGCACAGTCACAGTTCACTGTAGCCTCAACCTCCTGGGCTCAAGCAGTCCTCTCGCCTCCGCTTCCCAAGTAGCTGGGACCACAGGCATGCACCACCACCTGGCTAATTTTTAAACTTTTTGTAGATATGAGGTCTCCCTGTGTTGCCCAGGCTGGTCTTGAACTCCTGGGCTCAAGCTATCCTGCTGCCTCGGCACCTGGCCTGTCTTACTCTTTTGAAGTGGATCTTATGCCTCCTCTGTAGTCTCCAAAATTACGGTAATTTAAATGTCTTTTTATGAGAGTTCTTTACTACTAAAATTTTATTTTAGCTGTAACAGGTGAAATTAAAGTGAATATCATGATAAAGATTTAATACATAATAAGGATATTTCCATGTCCCAGGATTTATGATCCTTAGAAACAAGGCTGTTGCTCAAATTGTCTTTCATTGTAATACTTCCTGTGCTTTGCCACTGCCTGGTGTTCAACCCAACATTGACACAGCATTCTTCTCAGCCTGCTTTCTAATCTTTTAAGAGATTGGACCCATTCAATATCCCATTAAATCTGGACCATGGACCACTGCATGAAAGTCACCTGGAACTTAAAAATTCAGATGTTTTTATTCTAGAATAGGACCCCCAAGACTCTAGAAACAAGTGTCCAGCATGTTTTTTTGTGCACACTAAAGTTCGAGAGCTAGTGGACTTAACACAGGTCATTCTCAGAGTCAGTCGGGGAATGGATTGTCAACATTTTTTCCAAGTACGTTTGCATCTGTTTTAGTCACCCATCTTCACCAAAACTTTGCAAGGGTGCCTGGGCGTAGGCCATTGCCCCGATTTTAAACATGAGAAACCCAGTTGAGAGAGAGATTGAGGACAAATAGTAATCAGTGTTGGGCCTGAAGTACAAGTTTAAAGGTAAAGGTCTTTTTATTTTTGCCCACTAGACCAGGCTGCCTCTAGTGTCAGTGAACGGTTAGCCAATGTTCTTGATTCTTCATTGATCACTCTTAAGCTTCCACTGGTGCTACTTTGCCTGCATCCTAAGATATGGATATTTTCATGAGTTGTGTCCCAGACTTTTTTCTTTTCATTCTCCCATTGCTTAAGGGGACACTGATGTGCTTCTCTGCTTCTCAGATCTCTGTTCCCCCAAATGTCTTCTGAGGTCTAAGACTTTATTCTAAATACTGCTCATTGATTACTTTTCATCTAGAGACTTCCCCACAAAAAGTAATTCCCATATTGTCTTCACTAGAACCCAAGAGTTGTTAGTTTCTTTCTCTTCCTCTCCTCCTTGGAGTTCAAGTGAACTCCAGATCCTAGTGTATCCTGGCCCAAAATTCCTCAGTATTGGCTGAGACTGGGTGCTAATCTTAGGTACTAGTTTATGCAAGAGCCTTCTGATCTCCATGTTCCCTGCCTTATTTCATCCTCCAGATTATTTTTAGGTATCTTTTAAAAGGACAGATCTGATCATTCACTTAATCTAAAATCTTGGAATAAACTCCAAACCTGTCTATAACATGGAAAGCCCTTCACTGGGTCTCTCTGACCTACCTCTTTATTCTTAGTCAGCTTTCTAGTATGATCTCTTCTCTGTTTCTGTACTCTGCCCACAACTTTCTCAAGTCCTTTTTCTCCCTTCTGATGTTATCCCACTTTTCCCATCTCTCCTCAGTCCTTACCATTTCTTCATCACCCTTAGGCCTCTTTCCTCCATGCCACGTAGCACTTTTTCTAGTTGCCTACTCTATGCAGCTGAAATCTCTGCACACACACCTCCCCCTCCTCCAAATAAAGTAAAATCATATTAGCCACTTCTTTCATAGAACTTTTAAACATTCCTTTATAGGATTTGTAGAGGATTATAGTTGTGCCCTTCTACTTTTTCAGTGACATTGCCTCAAGGGCACATATTGCTCAGTCTTACAGAGCCCTATAGTGTGTAGTATCTGGCACCATAGCAAAAGCTTGGGAATTACAGTTGAATGAATGATATTAAAGATGATTGCAGAGATAAGATCTCCAGATCTTATCTCCATACCTCAGGGAAGAAGGCTGAAAACCTTTAAAAGCATATTGTTAGCTATTCTGTTGTTGGATGGTGACTTTAAATTATTATTGTCTTTATTGTCCTTAGAGATAGCTTTTTCTAGTACCTAACACCCCACATGATAGGAAGATTGACCTTTATCCAAATGAAAATTAACTTTCTCACAGCATAAATGTATTATTCTGTCTTGTTCTCACTAGGGAGCAGCTGGTAAGTAACTCAGGCCAGTGTTTCTGGGCCCTTTTTATTCTCACGCACTTCTGTTCCAGTTTTTCCACAGCACTGTATGTGAGCCAGAGGGACCTTGTATAAGGGTGGGTGGTAGCAGAAGTTTGGAATGCAACAAGTATTTTTGCCTGCTGGGGAGGTGGAGGGATTGGTAAGTATCTGAATTTTTTCTTTTTGTATAATTAAAGGGAAGTCAACAGGTAATGAGAAAGGGGGAGTGAAAAAATAATGAAAGGTTTCAGGAATTATTTTTAAACAGGTCCCGTTTGAAGGTCTTGTTTGGCTGCAAGGAACAGATGTCCACTCAAGCTAGCATATATGAAAGGGCTTTCTTATAAGGACACAGGTGGACTGAACTGTAATCTAATCAGGAGCTCTGCAGCTAGAAGACCTAGAAAGTGTATCTTTCTGACTCCAGGATATATAACTGCTCACTCTACATGTACCTCCTTTCTACTCTTAACTACCTTATAACTTTGGTTGCAACATGACTTTTCTTCGGATCCCTTCTCCCTCCCCTTCACATTGAGACATAATTCACATACTATAAAGTTTACCCTTTAAAGTGAGCAATTCAGTGATTTTTAGTATATTCCAGAGTTGTGTAACCATTTCCACTATTTAATTGCAGAACATTTCATCACCCTTAAAAGAAACCCTGTACCCATTAGCAACCATTCCCCTCTTCTTCTCCATGTCTCCCTTCCCCCATCCCCATTCCTAAGCAACCACCAACCTACTTTCTGTCTGTAGATTTGCCTGTTCTGGGCATTTCATATAAATGGTAACATATACTATGTGGCCTTTTGTGACTGGTTTCTTTTACTTAGCATAATGTTTTCAAGGTCTTTGTTGTAGCATGACCCATTGTCTTTTGACCACAGCACTTTGAGCTTCTCCATTTAACCCATGCTATCTCTAGTTGCAACTTTTCCACTTCTGACTTCACTACTAACTGCCTGTTTCTGTTAACCAGTTCCAGATTCTGTAAAGTAGTGCTGTCAAATAAAACATTCTGTGATGATGAAAATATTCTGTATCGCAGCTGGGGGCAGTGGCTCGTGCCTATAATCCCAGCATTTGGCAGGCTGAGATGGAAGGATCCCTTGAGGCCAGGAGTTCGAGACCAGCCTGGGTTTCACAGCAAGACCCCTGTCTTTACAAAAACAACAACAACTATAAAATGTTCTGTCTCTGTCTCATACAGTAGCCACTAGCCACATGTGGCAAGTGCAACTGAAGAACTTAGTTTTTTAAATTAAGTTTAAATAGCCACTTGTGGCTAGTGGCTATCATCGTATTGCTCAGTGCAGCTATAAAGGAGCTTGATTGGCCAGGCCCGTTTTTGTTTTAAGCATAGGTCAAGGGTCTTAAGTTTCTGGCCAGCCAATGGATCAGCTTGCCATTGGGTTAAGACCCACCACATGGTTTAGTCACTTGGGGCCAGAGGATGGGAAAAATTTGGAATAGAACATTTGTGCTGCCCCTGAGATAGGCCTGGGGTGGGGAAATTTTGAGAGGGGAAAAGAAAGGAGAAAGAGAAGAGAGTGTTCAAGAATTTTGAACAAATACATACTTTGAAAATAACAGCTCTTTTTTGTTCCCTCGTGTGTCTCTTCCCAATTGTATCCCTATTGTATTTTCTCATAGTATGTTTCAGCAGAAATCAAGGTAGACGAAGTAACCTCTTGTCCTGAATTTTCATAGTTGCTCATTCTTAATAATGGCAGCAGAAGCAACAATGAGAGTAACTACCTCCTCAGGTATTACTATTACTGCTTCTGCTGCCAGTAGTAGAAACATAAAAAGAGAGGGGGTAGGTTTCATCCCTTTCCCCTAAAACACTTGCCACTTTCTGATCTTCCTCCTCTTCACATTCTTGCAGGCCCTGATTTGCCTTTCTTCTATCCTGTTCCCAGGTCAGGGCTGGCAGTACTGCCCCAGGAAATAGGAATTTCCATAGACTTGCCTCTTAGGAATGACAGGGACACTATAGATACTTCTCCAGGGAACTGCTGAATTCACTGGTTCTTGAATGGAGATGATAAATATACATAACTCTCCATTGAATGGGGAAGTAAGGTACAAATTTGAGAATGTATTTAATGATACAAAGAGTAAATGGATGATGTGGTAGCTGATGTGTACCCAGATGGCTTTTTTAATACAATGGTTACTTTTAATCATAATGACAACATGCATATTGGAAGTATATGTGGAAGAGGGAGAGTGTTGTTTCTCTTCAGACACAATATCAGAGAAAGTTTGTGACTGCTTATTACATACACACGGGTATACATGCGGGTTGTTGCTATACCTTGGTAGTGCTTCTCAAGCTGTGTTAAGGGACCATATCTCTCCCCACCCCCACTCCCTTGTAAAATGCAATGAGAATGATGTAGGGGAAAAAATAAGGTATGAGCTTGTATTTTACATTTATTATTACTAGACTGAACAAATACAAAATTGCTCAGTCTAATTTCTGTAAAAATTTCCAAAGAGTTAAGTTTGAAGATTGCCCCTGGTCCTTAGGCCACACCTTGTGTGTGTGCACGCCCTTTTTTTTTTTTTTTTTTTTTTCTTTTTGAGATGGAGTCTTGCTCTGTCGCCCAGGCTGGAGTACAATGGCACGATCTCGGCTCACTGTAGTCTCCGCCTCCCGGGTTCAAGTGATTCTCCTGCTTCAGCCTCCTGAGTAGCTGGGACTACAGGTGTGTGCCACTACACCCAGCTAATTTTTTTTTTTTTTTTTTTAAGTAGGGACGGGGTTTCACCGTGTTGTTCAGGCTGGTCTCAAACTCCTGACCTCAGGTGAGTCACTGTCCCCAGCCTCTTGGGCCACAGTTTGAACAGTGCTACTCTATGGGAGTCTTCTGGCTATTGAATTGGTATATAAACAGGGAAGGGGAGGTTCATGGTGTAGGTAGACCTGGAAAAATAGAGAAGGATTTGGAGAGCTAAAGAAGAGCAAAGGATGACATTTCTCTAGAATCTTGAGTCCCTGCTAAACTTTTGGGTAAACTGTAATCTACATATATTGACTTGTGTTTATGCTTTAGCACTAAACAGGATGCAAAAGTTCAGAATTGGCACACAAACAACAGAGGGAAGGGGCAATCTGGGAGCAGTTGCCTCCGTAATACAGATTGATAAAACTGCTTTTCAGAAATAGCTGTCAGCTTCCTTATCAAAATGTATTCTGGGCACCATTGGGGTTCTTTGTTAACCCACTCTAGAATAGAAATAGAATGAAAGATTAGCAACATTCTAGTAAAATGCTATTACAACTGGTAATTAAAGTTGTCGGGACAGGTTGTAGGGAGCCAGTGTTTCACTAGTGATAGGGCTGCCTTTTTTTTCTGGAGACAAGATCTCACTCTGCCACCCAGGCTGGAGTGCAGTGGCCCCGTCTCAGCTCACTGCAACCTCCACCTCCCAGGTTCAAGCGATTCTTGTGCCTTAGCCTCCCGAGTAGCTGGGATTACAGGTGCACGCCACCACACCCAGCTAATTGCTTTGTATTTTTTGGTAGAGACGGAGTTTACCATGTTGGCCAGGGTGGTCTCGAACTCCTGACCTCAAGTGATCTGCCTGCCTCGGCCTCCCACAGTTGCTAGGATTACAGGCATGAGCCACCATGCCTGGCCATAGGGCTTTTTTTCATCATGGTAGCTGATTTCTGTTGGAACATTAGGATTAAGCATTTAAAAGCAGTCACATTATGTTTTTGCCATGACCTGCCACACATTTTAAATTAACAGATTACAGGAAAACCAGTAAAATGATGCCATCTGAAACACTCAAAAGAAAATAGGCCAGGCGCAGTAGTTCCATGCCTATAATCCCAGCACTTTGGGAGGCTGAGGTGGGAGAATCGTTTGAGCCCAGGAGTTTCAGACCAGCCCTTGCAACATAGTGAGACCCTCTCTCTACAAAAAAATGTTAAAAACTAGCCAGATGTGGTGGCGCACACCCGTAGTTCCATCTACTGGGATTGCTGAGGTAGGAGAATCGCTTGAGCCTGGGAGGTCGAGGCTGCAGTTAGCTGTGGTCATGCCACTGCACTCCAGCCTGGGCAACAGAGCGAGACCATGTCTTTAAAAGAAAAAGGCGTATTAATCCTGTGGCAATTAAATAATCATAGGAGATAATAGCTGCTCTTAAATTTGGGTGCTGTTTTTGTGCATAGCACTCATTTTATCAGAGCTAATTGGTTAAATGGGGACTGTTGAAACTTAAGGAATTTCTCCTTTCACACATTTGAGTGCTTACTTTGAACCGGATACTATACCCAGTGTGTTTACAAGAATGAACAGGAAATAAAATGGTTTCTGCCTGCAAGGAGCTGTCAGTTTAATTGGGAAGAGGTGGATACAGCCCGATTATGTTCAAAGGTGTTAAGCATAATTTTAATGCTAAAATTTCCACAACGAAGGTGGAAATTTAGTACTGTTGGAGTCCTAGGATTGTAGCTGATTAGTTAACCTGGAAGAATATGGGGAGCCTTCACAGATATAGGGTTAGGAATTGGTCTATATTCCATTTGTCTTACAGCTTTTGAATTTAGATAGTGCTAGAGTCATCAAAGGTGATGTGAGAATAACCCCTGTAAGTGTTGAATTATAAAAGATTCAAGGCTGGGTGCGGTGGCTCAGGCCTGTAATCCCAGCACTTGGGAGGCCAAGGCAGGTGGATCACTTGAGCTCAGTTCAAGACCAGCCTGGCCAACATGGCTAAACCCCAGCTCTACTAAAAATACAAAAATTAGCCAGGCATGGTGGCGCATACCTGTAATCCCAGCTACTCAGGAGGCTGAGGCATGAGAATCACTTGAACCTGGGAGGTGGAGGTTGCAGTGAGCTGAGATTACGCCACTGCACTCCAGCCTGGGCAACAGAGAGAATCTGTCTCAAATAAAAAATAAAGAAATAGGCTGGGCACGGTGGCTCATCCCTGTAATCCCAGCACTTTTGGAAGGCTGAGGCAGGCAGATCACCTGAGGTCAGGAGTTTGTGACCAGCCTGGCCAACATGGCAAAGCCCCATCTCTACTAAAAATACAAAAATTAGCTGGGCATGGTGACACGCGCCTGTAATCCCAGCTACTTGGGAGGCTAAGGCAGGAAAATCACTTGAACCTAGGAGGCAGAGGTTGCAGTGAGCCGAGATGGCACCATTGCACTCCAGCCCGGGCGACAGAGCGAGACTCCATTTCAAAAAAAAAAAAAAGAAAGAAAATATATAGTAATTAAAAGAAGGTGAGCTACTTTCATAGATTCAGCATTCTTAAGGATCTTCAGACACTATTCAGAAGATAGCAATGGTGGAAAAATGATTTTTTTGTTGTTGTTTAAAGAGAACTAGCACATTGGCTGGGTGCAGTGCTTCACGCCTGTAATCCAGCACTTTGGGAGACCGAGGTGGGCAGATCACCTGAGGTCAGGAGTTTGAGACCAGCCTGACCAATATGGTGAAACCCCATCTCTACTAAAAATACAAAATTAACCACGCATGGTGGTGCATGCCTTCAATCCTAGCTACTTGGGAGGCTGAGGCAGGAGAATTGCTTGAACCTGGGAGGAGGAGGTTGCAGAGAGCTGAGATCATGCCATTGCACTCCAGCCTGGGCAATAAGAGTGAAAGTCAGCCTCAAAAAAAAAAAAAAAAAACTAGCATGTTGTTTGGGATTGGATATTAGAACGTGGCAATTTTTGTATATGATTTTTAGATTAAGCAGATACTAACAGAAAAGCTAATAGTGCTAGATATTGGGAATTTAAGTTATTAATGGTTTAGATAAATGTTCAGAGTTAAATTTAGAAACAAATAGGACGAAGGACTTTGAAGTAGATGGTATGAGGCCAGGCGTGGTGGCTCACACCTGTAATCCCAGCACTTTAGGAGGCCGAGGCGGGTGGATCACCTGAGGTCAGTTCGAGACTAGCCTGGCCAACATGGTGAAAGCCCGTCTCTACTAAAAATACAAAAATTAGCTGGGCATGGTAGCAGACACCTGTAATCCCAGCCACTTGGGAGGCTGAGGCAGGAGAATCTCTTGAACCTGGGAAGTGGAGATTGCCATGAGCTGAGATCAGGCCATTACACTCCAGCCTGGGCAACAAGAGTGAAATTCCGTCTCAAAAAAAAAAAAAAAAAAAACAAGATGGTATGTTCTGAGTGGAAACATCTATAGTGTAAGAATTCACCTAGGTTGTTTACAGTGGCAAGATAGGAATGAAGGTATTAAAATAGCTGATTATCCTTCAGGTTCTAAAGGTAATAAAACTGAAATAGGAGAATTACAAGTACAATGTGATAGGACTAGAGAAACTTGGGATCGTTAAAATGGTTGCCCTCAGTAAGGGAATCTTAACTGGTCTTAGAGTAATAGCAGTAAATTGGATAACTCAGAAACAGAAAATCTAAAATGATGGTAACATTGTTTATGTTCATCGCACAATCATCTGGAAATATAAGAGGTGGAGCTCTGTTTTGGTCTGGAGACCTAACTCGAGCATTATGATTATACATGAGTCAGCTACATTCAAAGGCCAGCATTCTAGTCCTTAGTTTAATCCTTGAAAATCAAGTGCTTCTTTTCTAACTTCTACTGAAAGGAAACTTCACCTGTCATTGTATACATTGAAGTGTTCTGAATCTTATTTGTAATCAATAGTCCTTTGTTATTTTGTGGGCCTTTTTTTAAGTGTTTGTTTTGTTAACTATGCTTAAAAGTTATTAAAACTTGATCTTGTTTTGGGAGTTTTACCCTTTAAGTTCCTCCTCTAGCATGGTAATTCTCATGCTAGATAAGAAATGTACACTGTCAGTTCCCTGGTAACAGCTGGGATGTCCCAATCAGAATGGTGACTTTAGTTTGGCATCTGATGGAATGGGTGGCCATGGTGAGGGAGAACCAGGGAACTCTGGTAAACTGAATGGAAGTAGTGAAAGAAGTAGATTTTTTTTCCCTTACGTTCTCAGAACTAGTTAAGATCATTAAAGAAAAGAAAATTTCCTCTGGAAAGCAACATTATTACATAATAGAAGTTTCATTTTATCTCACACAGCTCAAAGAAAATGAACGGCACCCTGGACCACCCAGACCAACCAGATCTTGATGCTATCAAGATGTTTGTGGGCCAGGTTCCAAGGACCTGGTCTGAAAAGGACTTGCGGGAACTCTTCGAACAGTATGGTGCTGTGTATGAAATCAACGTCCTAAGGGATAGGAGCCAAAACCCGCCTCAGAGCAAAGGTTAGGGCTTTGGGTTTTGGTTTATCTTATTTTTTCCACTGACTCTCAGAGCAGGTGAGGGCTTTGGGTTTTTAACAGGATACAAAAAATTGGATTTTTATATGTAATTTCTTTCATGTGCATTCTCTCTGTCATTGCCAGAATACTCCTGTCTGTCTGTCTATTGGAAAAAATCTGTCCTTTTATAGTAGTAATATCTTGTAATCCAAACATATTTAATGGCTTTAAAAAGTTAAGGTGTTAGCATGAGGATAATTTGTAAATTGGGTCTTGGGCAGTCCTTTGTGAGGGTTCTAAATTTAAGAGACAGACTCACGTGAGTGTCTTATTTGACCTTGGGAACAGATAACAAAGATAAAATTGAAGTTAAACCACATAAAGTTTTCTTTAGTGTTTGGGCTAGCATAAGCTGAAGGAGAAAGACTGTCCACATACCCATTGGTTTCTTGTTAGTATTACAGAGGCCTTGCGGGATAGTTTATCAAATAGAAAGGATTTGTTTAGGCAGCTTGTTTGCTGTTGCCACAAAGTGAACAGGAGAGGAAAGGCGGAGCTGCTTCCAGAATTGCCTAGCAGAGTGGAAGTTTCACAAGACTGATGGTAGATAGGTATTAACTTTGCCCCGTATATACACACAGACATGTTCTTATTTTCCATTTTACCAGTTTTCAAATAATTTTCTGTGAAAGCTGTCCAACAGTGCAAATGTAAGCAAGCATGATTATCATATTGAAACTAGCTTAATAGCAGAGGATCTAGAAGCAGAGGAATTACTTTCTCTTTTTGGCATGGTTAACTAAAAATATAAAGTATAATAGTTTCTGAACATGACTGGCAATATAACCTTCAGTAATTTGTAGTTCTAACTGCTGCAGCATGATTTAAAAAAAAATCTATATTGTATCTCATGAGAATATGGGAGTGTCAGAACATTTAAGCCCAAGATTTACAAGATATACTTCCTCTCCTACTACCCAAAATAAAGATACAAAGCACAAAATCTACAGATCTGAGGCAGCACCATGTGCTTTTAGAAGCTTAATTATATTTGATGAGAACCAAGAGTCCAAAAAAAGATGTTAAGAGGTGCTTGCTCTTAAGTCATTTTATAATTTAATAAGTGATAATTATGTTTGAGGCATATGGTAGAATCTGGCTACGAAGTAGGGAGTGGTTTATTCTGAGAGAGCAGGGAAAGAAAGAGTTCCTGGTAGACTACAGGCTGCAAAAGTATAGAGCCCCATCTGTCTTCTTGTCTCATATACCACCTGGTGTTCCAAGTAGGGTAGGTTGAGTCAAATGGCACATGACCTTTCTTTATGAGAAGTCGTATTTTCCAGAGAAGTTACATGAGCAGCTAAATAAGACTTATAGTGTAACTAACTAGGAGGAGACTAAAACAATAAAGTGTATAGAAAATAATCTCTTATTCCTCTGCTAGATATTCTATTCGTTCTTTTCCACTACCCTCCCCCTCTCACTAATTTTAATAAACCCAGCCCTCTTTTAAGATCTGATCTGTCAGTGGAGGAAGGATTGCTCTAGGAATTCTCTGCTTTCCAAAGTTTGATTTTATGAAATCTTATTTATTGCAGGGTGCTGTTTTGTTACATTTTACACCCGTAAAGCTGCATTAGAAGCTCAGAATGCTCTTCACAACATGAAAGTCCTCCCAGGGGTAAGAAAGCTCCCACTAGTAAATGGAAATGTGGTAACTTTGATATGTGGGATATACTTACACATATCAGACACACACTGAAAACCATTTTGGGGAAAAGGTAACTGCTGCAGGAATTGATGTAAAGGAAGACATAAAGGGAGCAGTTCAGAGATTACCTGACATTAGTTCTCTCTCAGTCAAGAGTCTTGTGTATTTTGACTTCTTGACTCACATTCTGTTTTCTGGGGAAAGATCATGAAGCAGACATGAGTTCAGAGAGAACTCTTTAAAGCTCTAGTTCTGGTATTTTAGAGTCCATATGTATTTTTGAATACCATCAATATATACAGTGATAATAATCATATTTTTCCTTTTCAGATGCATCACCCTATACAGATGAAACCTGCTGACAGTGAGAAGAACAATGGTAAGCAAATGTATACAATCTTCCCCTTAAGATTTCTGCCTAGGCCAGGCACGGTGGCTCACACCTGTAATCCCAGCACTTTGGGAGGCCAAGACAGATGGATTGCTTGAGGCCGGAGTTCGAGCCAGTCTGGCCAACATGGTGAAACCCCGTCTCTACTAAAAATACAAACATTAGCTGGGTATGGTTGTGCATGCCTGTAATCCCAGCTACTCAGGAGGCTGAGGCATGAGAATCTCTTGAACCCGGGAGGCGGAGGTTGCAATGAGCTAAGATCATGCCAGTGTACTCCCGCCCAGGCAACAGAGTGAGACTCTGTCTCAAAAAAAAAAAAGATTTCTGCCTAGTTTGTTTGCTGTTCTTAGGTTATCTGAATTGAATTGTGCTTTAAGTAATCCGTTGTCTAAGTTGTCTCAGTTTTTTCTTTAAAAGTATGATGAAGAACAGAGCTGACAGAGAAATATTATAAGAACATTGTAGAATGAACTGGAATATACTTGGTCAGTATAATTTCTTTTGGACAGGAATGAGGGGGCAAAATGAACAAATTAGGAAGGAGAACTTAATTCTCGAATTTTTTTTTTTTTTTGAGATGGAGTCTCACTCTGTTGCCTGGGCGGGAGTACACTGGCATGATCTTAGCTCATTGCAACCTCCGCCTCCCGGGTTCACTGCATTCTCCTGCCTCAGCCTCCCGAGTAGCTGGGACTACAGGTGCCTGCCACCACGCCCGGCTAATTTTTTGTATTTTTAGTAGAGACGGGGTTTCACTGTGTTAGCCAGGATGGTCTCGATCTCCTGACCTTGTGATCCGCCCGCCTCGGCCTCCCAAAGTGCTGGGATTACAGGCGTGAGCCACCACGCCTGGCCTTAATTCTCAAGAAGATAGTCAGGACCAGGTGAGGTGGCTCATGCTTGTAATCCCAGCACTTTGGGAGCGCACGGCGGGCGGATCACCCGGCCAACATGGTGAAACCCTGTCTCTACTAAAAATACAAAAATTAGCTGAGTGTGGTGGTGCATGCCTGTAATCCCAGCTACTCAGGAGGCTGAGACAGGAGAATCGCTTGGACCCAGGAGACGGTGGTTGCAGTATGCTGAGATCGTGCCACTGCACTCCAGCCTGGGTGACAGAGCAAGACTCTGTCTCAAAAAAAAAAAAAATTCAGAAAAGTAGACAGTTACATTCACTGAAAGGTGTATTCTCTTCCACTTGTCATATCAAGTGTGAAAACCTCTTCTTTCTTTAGTAGTATTGCCAGTAAGAGCAAACAATGCTGGCTGGGCACAGTGGCGCACACCTGTAATCACAGCACTTTAAGAGGCTGAGGCCGGAGGATTGCGTAAGCCCAGGAGTTTGAGACCAGCCTTGGCAATAAGAGTGAAACCTCTCTGCAAAAAATTAGCTGGGTGTGGTGGTACATACCTGTGGTCCCAGCTATTCGGGAAGCTGAGGTGGGAAGATTGCTTAAACCCGGCAGGTCAAGGCTGTAGTGAGCCATGATCATGCCACCGCACTTCAGCCTGGGTGACAGCGAGACTCTTGTCTCAAAAAGAGGAAACAATACAAAGGACTAGGGAAGATGCCAAGTACTTCACATTTAATAGCAACTGCTACCCTTTGAAGTAAACCTGATTATTCCTATTAGTTAGATGAGGAAACAGGCACAGAATGGTTGAGTAACTTTCACAAGATTACAAAGCTACCATATTTCATCTAAATGCTTCTAATTATAATTTTAAGATAACATTGGTTATAAAAAGAGACGTGAAGCCGGGCGTGGTGGGTCACACCTGTAATCCCAGCACTTTGGGAGGCCGAGGCGGGTGGATCACCTGAGGTCGAGAGTTCAAGAACAGCCTGACCAACATGGAGAAACCCCATCTCTACTAAAAATACAAAATTAGCCAGGCATTTTGGCGCATGCCTGTAATCCCAGCTACTCAGGAGGCTGAGGCAGGAGAATCACTTGAATCCGGGAGGCGGAGCTTGCGGTGAGCCGAGATCGCGCCATTACACTCCAGCCTGGGCAACAAGAGCGAAACTCCATCTCAAAAACAAGAAAAAAAGAGATGTGAAAAATACAAAAAACAAATGTGTGTCTTTGAATCTGTAAAATATGGTACAGAGCCAGGATTCAAACCCAGGCGGTCTGGCTCCCAAATCTGTGCCACATTGCCTCTTTAAGTAGTAATATTCAAGTCTTTTCTGTTTTACTCTCTTAGCAGTGGAAGACAGGAAGCTGTTTATTGGTATGATTTCCAAGAAGTGCACTGAAAATGACATCCGAGTCATGTTCTCTTCGTTTGGACAGATTGAAGAATGCCGGATATTGCGGGGACCTGATGGCCTGAGCCGAGGTAGGTAGTTTTAGCTTTTAAATAATCTTTTGGTTTTTTGTTTTGGTTTGGTTTGGGGTTTTTTTTTTTTTGGAGACAAGGTCTTGCTCTCTCTCACCCAGGCTGGAGTGCAGTGGTGCCTTCACAACTCACTGCAGCCTGAACCTCCCAGGATCAGCCTCCTGAGTAGCTGGGACCACAGGCATGCATCATGACACCCAGCTAATTTTTAAATTTTTTATAGAGAAAAGGTCTCCCTGTGTTGCCCAGGCTGGTCTTGAACTCCTGGACTCAAACGATCCTGTCATCTTGGCCTCCCAAAGTGCCAGGATTGTAGGTGTGAGCCACTGCACCGGGCTTGGAATCTTTTTAATTTGACCGGTGGAAACTAGCAACAGTGATTCCCTAGCCAATATGGCCCAGTCAAGATAAAGAGGTTGGGCCTGCTGCTTCCTGCTGTATATCTATGTCCTGTCTTGACTCCTCCTATCAGTTCATTCTTTTTGTCTCCCAGCCCCTCTAAGGAGTCTACATTCTATATTTCATTGTCATGTATTAAAATTTTCTCTTTTGGTGCTTTGCAAGATCCTTGATGCCAAAATGGAAATACTTTCTTCTTCCATTTTCTTTTATTTTCAAGAGGAACTAGAGGATATGAGTCCTCCTTTCTCCTGTCAAGCATTTTTTTTTTCTGTCAGTGGTTCTGTTTTTTCATTATAGCACATATCACCCTGTTGCAACATACCAGCACATGATTCCCTGAAAACAGGGACTGTGTCTGTATTGCTAGCATGATAGTCAGCACATAGTAGGTGCTCAGTTAATGTTTGTCAGAGAAATAAATGAATGCATGAGTTACTGACTCTTCTCTTACCAGGTTGTGCATTTGTGACTTTTACAACAAGAGCCATGGCACAGACGGCTATCAAGGCAATGCACCAAGCACAGACCATGGAGGTAGGGAGCAGATAGGTGATGGGGAAAATTCCTCAGCTTGGGAATGCTGGGACAGTTGGCCATTAAAGTCCAGCAGCATGTGCAGCATCTGATTGCCCAGAAGGTTAAACAGCCAACATCTTAAAGTTAAAAACCACTGATTTCTTTAAAATTAACGTATTGGAAATGCTCTCCCTACCCCTTTTTTTGAGATGGGGTCTTACTTTGTCACCTGGGCTGGAGTGCAGTGGGAATATCATGGCTCACTGCAGCCCCAACCACCCAGGCTCAAGTGATCCCCCCTACCTCTGCCACTCAAGTAGCTGGGACTACAGGTGCACACCAGCACGCCCAGTTAATTTTTGTATTTTTTTTTAATAGCGACCGTTTTGCCATGTTGCCCAGGCTGGTCTAAAATTCCTGGGCTCAAGTGATCCACCCGCCTCAGCCTCCCAAAGTGTTGGGATTACAGTCTCTTCTCTCTTGTGTCTATCATGAGGAGAATCATTTGGCAGTGAATGAAATTAGAATGTAACCTGCATGTCATCCAAAAGGAAGATTTTTTTTCTTCTTTTCAGATGGAGGAATTTGACCCTTTCGTTATGGTCTTTTCACAGGGTTGCTCATCACCCATGGTGGTAAAATTTGCTGATACACAGAAGGACAAAGAACAGAAGAGAATGGCCCAGCAGCTCCAGCAGCAGATGCAGCAAATCAGCGCAGCATCTGTGTGGGGAAACCTTGCTGGTCTAAATACTCTTGGACCCCAGTATTTAGCAGTGAGTCTTTGTGGTTTGCTTTCTGCAGACTGTGCAAGCTCCCAGCTGTTCCTTCTTCTGCTGTCCCTAGCCAACAAACACAGTGGCATTTACAACTTTTGGCATATAGAAATTATATGTAAAAATTCAGGTAGTACTATTTCTTTTAGTCCTGTTAGTCTCTTTCTCTCTCTATATATATGTATCTCTGGACATGCATCTCTGGTTATATCTTGAGGCTTTTGCTGCAACTAAAGTGAATTCCTGGTTTCCCGTTTTAAAGATTTAGAAACATCTTGTGTCCTTGCCTCCAAGAAAGAAATTCCTGAGGGAATCTTAACTACCAGTGTCTTTCTCCATATCTCTTTCTACCAGATGTAGAGGGCATCATTAAAATCCTTATTGAGTCTTTCCTAAAGAGTATGATAAATGTTTCTTTCAGCGGACTTGAGAGATCAAGAGATTTTTTTTCTTTTTTTGCTTTATTTATTTATTTATTTATTTATTTTTTGAGACGGAGTCTCACTCACTCTGTCACCCAGGCTAGAGTGCAGTGGCACAATCTTGGCTTACTGCAACCTCCACCTCGGGTTCAAGTGATTCTCCTGCCTCAACTTCCCAAGTAGCTGGGACTACAGACACACACCATCACACCCAGCTAATTTTTGTATTTCTAGTAGGGATGGGCTTTCACTGTGTTGGCCAGGCTGGTCTCGAACTCACGACCTCAGGTGATCCACCTGTCTTGGCCTCCCAAAGTGCTGGGTTTACAGGTGTGAGCCACTGCGCCTGGCGGAGATCAAGAGATTAACATGAACATTTTTAAATGAGCATTACAGGTGTATATTCAAGTTTACTACATTGTAAATAGACTTCCTTTAATTTGATCTCTCTGTTGTCGTGAGCCAAAAGAAGGTTGTCTAGTCCAAAAGAAGGTCTCGCCCCAATTTGTGATTTAGATTTACTAGGTCTGCAGTGTATATGTTACAGGGGATTATTAATGGAAAAGAATTGGGCCAGCACAAGACAGTTAAAACCACCCATTTGTGAGTCAAAGAGGAAAAAGGTCATCTTAGGCTATTAATGGTGAAACCACTAGATTTGTATGGATGATACAAAAATATTCACATAGAAATAGCTAGTATAGTCATTTATTCCTCATCATTTCAAGTATTATTCTGTATGGAAACAGACAAAAGGCACTGATTTCTGTCTCCCAGTACTGAATTTTGGTTTAGTTCCAGTGGTTTTCATATTTCTAATATCTTATAAGAAATCCCAGTTTAGGCCGGGCGCTGTGACTCACGCCTGTAATCCCAACACTTTGGGAGGCTGAGGTGAGTGGATCGCCTGAGGTTGGGAGTTTGAGACCAGCCTGGCCAGCATGGTGAAACCCTGTCTATACTAAAAATACAAAAAAATTACATGGGTGTGGTGGCAGGTGCCTGTAATCCCAGCTGCTCGGGAAGCTGAGGCAGGAGAATGGCTTGAACCTGGGAGGCGGAGGTTGCACTGAGCGGAGGTTGCAGTGAGCCAAGATCGCACCATTGCACTCCAGCCTGGGCAATAGAGCGAGACTCTGTCTCACAAAAAAAAAAAAAAAAAAAAAAAAAGAAGAAGAAAAAAAAAAAAAACCCCAGTTTATCCTAGCTAGTATTTCTCTGAAGTTTTTTTAAAAAAATATAAAGAGTTGGGGTTGTTTTGTTTTGTTTTGTTTTGAAGCCTCGCTCTGTTGCCCAGGTTGGAAAACAGTGGCGCAATCTCTGCTCACTGCAACCTCCAACTGCAAGCAGCTGGGATTACAGTCATGTGCCACCACGCCTGGCTAATTTTTGTAGTTTTAGTAGAGACAGGGTTTTGCTTATGTGAGCCAGGCTGGTCTCAAACTCCCGACCTCAAGTGATTTGCCTACCTTGCCCTCCCAAAGTTCTGGGATTACAGGCGTGAACCACTGGGTCCGGTTATATTTCAACAGAAAAAATTGTTTCTTAGTGCTGAAACATTGCTTATATGTTCAGAAAATTCAGGGAGGTTTTAGTCATCTGCAGAAATGATAATGCTTTGAAAATGGTCTACATGCTATGCATTTGCTTTTCTTAGAGACTTTTGGAGCCCCCCTTTAGGGAAGGTTAACCTTTTTGTTGTCATTGCCACTACCAGCAAGTACATGATGGCATGTGTTGAGAGCTGTGTTCTCTTTGTTTTGGTTAGACATGATTCCTGCCCTAAGAGCTAATCTCATTTGGAGGGAAATGAAGGGACCAAGTACAGTATTCACCGTCCACCAGTTAGGACTGAACACATAGCCCAAGGTGTTTAAGAAGAAAAAGGCCAGGCGCGGTGGCTTATGCCTGTAATCCCAGCATTTTGGGAAGCCGAGGCAGGCAAATCACCTGAGGTTAGGAGTTTGAGACCAGCCTGACCAACATGGTGAAACCCCGTCTCTACTAAAAATACAAAAATTAGCTGGGTGTGATGGTACACACCTGTGGTCCCAGCTACTCGGGAGGCTGAGGCAGGAGAATCGCTTGAACCTGGAAGGCGGAGGTTGCAGTGAGCTGAGATCACCATTGTACTCCAGCCTGGCGACAGAGCGAGACTCCGTCTCAAAAAAAAAAAAAAAAAAGTGTAGACGTGGGTGCTAGTGGACTGTGTGATAGTACATCATCATTAATTATGAGGTTCTTTCTGGACTATGTGGACTTGAGTTAGCCAGGCTCTACTGTCCTGGAGGAGTTGGTTTTTATCTTTTTATCCTTTGAGAAGCGGGGGGAAAGGGTGTATAGGTGCATTTTTTCCCCCATTCTGTTCCTGGAGGTTTGTAGACCTCCTGAAACTTATCCATGGTCTCTAGCCTGGAAGGATTTGCGGCGACAGAGAAACCAGGTCAGATGTTTATAGGAATGGGAAACAGGTTGAATAAAAGGATCCTGTACAAGAATACCAATTTTCCATAAACAATACTAATTGGGTTTAGTTGGAGCAAAAGTTTTCAGCAAGCTGGTTAGATGAAGGTTGTGGTTTGCCAATATACAAAGTAAACTAATGCCACAAACTCAGGGACAGGCCCTCTTACTTTATTTGTCATGGGACCATCATTGAAGGAGAACGTACTCTGAACCTGGTATAGACTAATCCATCAGTCATTTGGTCATCTGCAACAGGGAAGACCAGTTTGGAGGGGAGGAAGTAAATAAGGTTGGATAGATGTGTAGCTGGAGTGATTATTAGTCATGTGGTCCATTGTGACCAATAAAGGGTAACTCCAAGAAATACTATGAAATGTTTAGATTTGATATTTAAAATAGTTGTGTGAAGTAGAAATTGAGTATCCAGATGGAAACAATCTGCAGAGTGAGATGTGTGGACCTAACTAAGGAGAACTTGGGAGAGGGTAGCTGGAAATGGCATTCATTCATTCGCAGACAATAATCACAGTTGACTGCGTAGCTCCTCAAGTTTAGCTTATTATCCTGCTGTAGTTCTGTCCTTTGCTGTGCTGAATTCTGCTGCCCAGGGACTTGAGCTTGGCTCAGTATTCAGTGAACATACTATCTTCTGGGCCAGTGCTTTAGCTGTGTTTTTTTTTTGTCCTGTGCTGTCATAAGCCTCATGTTTCTGTTGTGTTGGCTTGGGTTCTTGTCTTTGACTTTCTTCTCTCTGGGGGCCTCTGCACTCTCGCTTTGCTGTGCTGTAGAGTTATCCCAGATGCAGAACCAGCCCTCACTCTCACTCTTGTTCTGTTTTTTGGTGTAATGTCTAGCTTTATTTGCAGCTCCTTCAGCAGACTGCCTCCTCTGGGAACCTCAACACCCTGAGCAGCCTCCACCCAATGGGAGGTAAGTGTTTCACTGCTGCAGAGGAGCAGCAGCACCCAGGCCAGCAGACCCAGCTAACAACAGTCTTGGGAGTTTGGCATCGTTTCTGTGAAAACATTTTTTTGCTTATTATGTAAACCTGACCTAGGATAAACATCCCAGGACTCAATTTTCTTGTCTCTATACAGTGGCTCTATGGCTAGTTGATGCCACATTGCTCTGACGTTATCTGGTGCCTCCTAACCTTTTAGGTCACTGTTGAAGAAGAATATGGAAAAGGGCTGTTTAGCTCCTATAGACTGAGGCTGTTCTCTGATAAGGGGAAAAAATTGCAAGAACTCTTTATTTCCATTATAAAGTGACTTTTCCAGTGACTGCAGAAAAGCCAAAGATGGCTTCCATGCAAATGCCCTACCTTGAAGCTTCTAGAACCCAGGCATTTGGTTTACCTGTGTATCTTCTTGTTTCTTAGGTGAATTCCTATTTTGTTGTTGCTATTATCGTACACAGAAAACTTAAATGGAGTGCCACAACAAACCTGAGCTAGGGCCCATCAGGAGTCGGTTGGGGGTAGGGCATGGGACAGCTTCAAAGCTGCCTGTGCCTACACCCTCTGCATTGGATTTAGGCTAGGCCAAATGTGCATTTGAGAAAGGCATAGTTTTCAGTGAACTGCATTTTGCTCTTTGAAAATTTTTGATAGTCATTCACTTTGTCTCAGGAAATTATAGTTGGCTATATTTTTGGAAAGTTGCTAGATTGTAATCTGTATTGTATTTTAATTCTCGTTTACTCTTTCCACTCCCCCCACCCCTCACCCCATCCATCTTTCCATTGTCTAGTAAATGGTTTGCAGCAGCGACAGCACAGTTTAGATTCCTTCTTCCCCTTTCAACTGTGTTGTCTGGGCTCTACTTGGAAGTCTTTCACTCAGTGATTTTTCCTCTCTCCTCTTTCTGGTGATGAATCTGCTATTCAAGTGACAGTGTCTTTATTCTTTGTGTCATTGCTGCTCTGCTGTGTTCTCCCTTGTTTGCTCCTGGGCCTTCTGCATCTGCCATGTTTTCTGCGTGTTCCCCTCTATTACAGAGAGCGAATCCCCTGTAAAGTGTGAGTGAGGGGCCTGGATGCAGTCCCATTCTGTGCTGTAGGTTTTGGCATTGTTCTCCTGTGCTCCTGGCCCTATGGTAGGCAGTTTTTCTTGGTTTCCTAATTGCCCACACCTTTATTAATGTACACTTGGCATGGTATGCTATTGGATTAGCCATCTCTTCTCTGAGGAAATGATTTCAAGTTTCTTAATGAGTGATACATGAATCATTTTTGGAGCCCTGTAATGTTGTTTGTAAGGCTTATCTAGAACAGTTCCTCTTTGTCAGGGACCAGCCCTCTGCCAGTGTGTGCTTGTCATTGCTGGAATGGATATGAAGCACCCTTATCTGCTGGCTAATCTCTTGCTTTGGATGTTGTAGGGTTGAATGCAATGCAGTTACAGAATTTGGCTGCACTAGCTGCTGCAGCTAGTGCAGCTCAGAACACACCAAGTGGTACCAATGCTCTCACTACATCCAGCAGTCCCCTCAGCGTGCTCACTAGTTCAGGTAAGCATGAGGATGACCCAGTGTGCCATTATGTGCCTTGGACAGATGCTTTGTGTTTAAAGGCAGAGTCCAGAGAGGGAAAATAGTTAACACCTGTTTCCAGAGAGGTCAGATTATGAGCAACAAATTTTCAAATGTCATCTTTTGTACTTAAGAGAAATCTTCCTGATTTTCAATGTGCTGTGGCCATTATTTGTCTCTGTCCTGCAAGGACAGTTGTTAGAATTAGTAACTGAAAACCTCTTTACAAATAGCATACTTGGATAGTGACACTTTTTCTTGTATTTGGCGAGAATGCCAGTGATGGGTTGAATTTTAACTCCTTGCTTTCTAATAGCAGGGTCCTCACCTAGCTCTAGCAGCAGTAATTCTGTCAACCCCATAGCCTCACTTGGAGCCCTGCAGACATTAGCTGGAGCAACGGCTGGCCTCAATGTTGGCTCTTTGGCAGGTAAGGGGCAGCACCTGGCTGTCATCAGACTATTCTTTGTGCAGGTAGCACATCTTAACCCTGGTAGGGGCACCACTGGAATGATTGCAGTGGCCCAGTGAAGTTAAAAATAATCATGAGGGCCAGGTGTGGTGGCTCACACCTCTAATCCCAGCACTTTGGGAGGTCAAGGTGGGCGAATCACGAGGTCAGGAGATCGAGACCATTCTGGCTAACACGGTGAAACCCCGTCTCCCCTAAAAATACAAAAAAATTAGCTGGGCCTGGTGGCGGGCGCCTGTAGTCCTAGCTACTTGGGAGGCTGAGGCAGGAGAATGGCATGAACCGGGGAGGCAGAAGTTGCAGTGAGCCAAGATTGCGCCACTGCACTCCAGCCTGGGTGACAGAGCGAGAGTCCGTCTCAAAAAAGCATGGGATTTTTAAATCAGACCTGAGTTAAATCCCACCTGTGTCCGTTAGCTAGCTATAACTTCGGACCACCTTTCTAAGGACATTTTCTCATCTTTGAAGTGGGAATAATAGAATACTTTGAAGGATTGTTAAAAATTAAATGAGGCCAGGTACAGTGGCTCATACCTATAGTCCCAGCAGTTTGGGAGGCCAAAGCAGGGGATCACCCTAGGTCACAAGTTCCAGACCAGCCTGAGCAACATAGTGAGAACTCCATCTCTACAAAAATTATCTGGGTGTAGTGGTGCATGCCTGTAGTCCCAGCTACTTGGGAGGCTGAGGCCGGGAGGATTGCTTGAGCCTGGGAGCTTGAGGCTGCAGTGAGCTATGATTGTACCACTGAACTCCAACCTAGGTGACAGAGTGAGACTCTGTCTCCAAAAAAAAAAAAAAAAATTAGAACATAGGTAAAGTGCTGCTGAGCACATTGCATAGTACAGTAGATGACACATAGAATGTACTTAGTACCTGTTAGTTGCTGTTTTAATGGTAGGGTTCACCCACATCTTGTCAGAAATCACATGTACCCCTTTGAGTTTGCAGTCTTGGGCCTCTTCTTTTATGACATTCTAGCTCATTATGAGAAAGTGGCAGAATAGCCAGATAGAAAATGGAGGCTCTCATTCCACAGATTGGATGAAGGTAATGGGGAGCACAACACCCGCGTATGGCATTTCTTAATGTCCCCATTAGCAAGGCCTGGTGAATGTCCTGAAATCTAGCCAGTCAGATAGTTTCTTCTCAGGGAGAAACTAAGAGGGAGATAAAGGGGAGAACTTTGGAGTTTTCCCTCTTCTAGATGTCCCAAGTAGACTTGTCTTTGGCATCAGTTTAGTCTTTCTAGTATATTAATCCTTCTCTTCCTCCAACCAAGGAATGGCTGCTTTAAATGGTGGCCTGGGCAGCAGTGGCCTTTCCAATGGCACCGGGAGCACCATGGAGGCCCTCACTCAGGCCTACTCGGGTATCCAGCAATATGCTGCTGCTGCGCTCCCCACTCTGTACAACCAGAATCTTCTGACACAGCAGAGTATTGGTGCTGCTGGAAGCCAGAAGGAAGGTGAGTGCAAAGGGAGATCGGGGTCAGGTATGGGGGGCGGTTTTCCTCCTATACCAGAACGGAAAGGCAGAGCAAAGGCTGAGGGAACCAGTTAGGTCGTCAGACCATTGTTTTTCTTTGACAGTGTCAAGTGTAGACTGAGAAACCCTGTGAAGTGTGATCTGCTTTTTAAATGTTTTCTGGATGTGGCTCAAATCAGAACCTCTGTGTGCCCTCTTGGGATGGGGCTGCAGTTTTTAGATGAAGCAACAGACACTGACCTTATCGGGTCTGACACATTTGACAAGAATGTTTCTGTTAGGAGGTCTTCTCTACAGATTACAAATCTATCAGAGGATCTTCTGTCTGGATGTCTTCTGTTTCAGTGTCCCTTTTAGCTATATCATTTGGCATTTTCCTCACTTTCTGATTGATGTTTGTCCTGATTGAAGACAAACTGAGGGGTGATGGGACAGAGTTTGGCCCATGAGTTGATGGAGTGGGAAGTATGTCGTTTGACACAAATGGTATTCAATTTAGGAGAAAAATAGGAGAGACTCTTTAGCCAGAAAGAGGCCTGAAGGTGACTTACATGAATAGAAGGTCCTGCTGACACCTCTGTGCTCAGATTTGACTGGGTTTTTATAACCAGGAGCTGGTATAAGCACTAATGTAGGAAAAAGATGAGTGTCCTCTTGTCACAGCAGAAAGTCCTGGTTCATCTCTCCTCACCTGCTGTGAATCACTTATATCCCCTAGGGATGTGGTAGTAGGAGAATGTAGCGTGAACCAATATTTTAGTGGAGACTGTGGAGACAGACAATAAATAAATGAAAGCATGAGGTGTTTCAGATGATCCTCTGGAGAATGACAAGCCGGGAAGAGAGATAGGGAGTGTCAGAGGCACTGCATTTTATGCAGAATGCTCAGAGAATGTCTCTCTAGATTGACATTTAAGCAGAGAACTGAAGGAAGTAGGAAGCAAGTCATGCCTGAATCTAGAGAAAGAAGAGTAACAGGGGCATAGGAAAAGCAAGTACAGAGGCCCTGAGGCAGCAATGTTCCCTGATGTGTTTGAAAAAAACAGGGAGGCCAGGGTGGCTGGAGAATGGCTGGACTGCAATTGTAATAAAGCTTTTTGGTTAGAAAATCATTGAGTAGGCTGGGCGCAGTGGCTCGCGCCTGTAATCCCAGCACTTTGAGAGGCCAAGGCAGGCAGATCATGAGATCAGGAGTTCGAGACCAGCCTGACCAACATGGTGAAACCCCATCGCTACTAAAAATACGCCAGGCATGGTGGCGCCTGCCTGTAATCCCAGCTACTCGGGAGGCTGAGGCAGGAGAATTGCTTGAACCCGGGAGGCGGAGGTTGCAGTGACCTGAGTTCACGCCACTGCACTCCAACCTGGGCAACAGAGTGAGCCTCTATCTCAAAAAAAAAGAAAGAAAAAAAAAGAAAATCATTGAGTGTAAATAGTCAGATGAAGAATGTATATTCTGTTTTTAAGCTCAGTGTTAATCATGGGTGCATTTTTAAAACTAATTTCTTATTTTCCCATTTACATATGATGAAACTCACTGATTTTGGCATACAGCTATATGAGTATTGACAAACAGTCCTAGTCCTGCAACCATCACCACAGATTAGGAACATTTCCATCACCCCTAGAAATTCCCTCGTGCCCCTTTGTAGTCATTCCCTGCATCTGGCAACTACCAATCTGTTTGCTGTCCCTGTGGTTTCTAGGCATTATTTGGAAACCTGTTTTGTTTATAACCCCTTTTCACCTCCTCTTCTGTGTTCCTCTCTGAGCCTACAGTCTCTGTTTTCCTGCTCCACACACAAGTCGGCCTGCTTTATTATCCCAACACTCCTCCTCCTGCGGGTAGAATTTCTCACATCCTCAATGAGATGGAGCTTGGCTGAATGTGAGGGAAGGAATCTGTTTTAATGTTTGCCTTTGGTTCCTTGCTTTGTATTTAGAGAATCTGTTTAGTTCCCCAGATGAATCTCTGTTTTTAGGGATTGTGACAGTTTTAACATAGGTGGAAATGAAAGATCACTGGTGCAGGGCGACGAGCATGTTTGACACTGATACTTTTCCAATTCCTGGGTATTTTGAAGGTCCAGAGGGAGCCAACCTGTTCATCTACCACCTGCCCCAGGAGTTTGGTGATCAGGACCTGCTGCAGATGTTTATGCCCTTTGGGAATGTCGTGTCTGCCAAGGTTTTCATAGACAAGCAGACAAACCTGAGCAAGTGTTTTGGTATGTTGGCTTCTCTCTGGTGTCAGGATGGGATTAGTATTTTACCACTGAGAAAGAAGGAGCTCACTGCAGAAAGATCTGAATATGAGTTTGTGGTGTTGTTTTAACTTGGCCATGGGCAGGTCATTATGACCTCTTTTTGAGCCCCAGTTTCTCATTGCTGTAGTGGAGGTAAGGATTTCTACCCACACTGTTGCTCCAGAGAGAAAAATAATATATGGAAAATGGTTTGCAAAAAAACCTTTAAACAGTCCAGGTTTGTGCCTGTAAGTCCCAGTACTTGGGGAGGCCAAGGCAGGAGGATCGCTTGAGCCTAGGAGTTCGAGACCAGCCTGAGCAACAGAGTGAGACCTCATGGCTACAAAAAATTAGTCAGACGTGGTGGCGTGTACCTGTGTTCCCAGCTACTTGAGGCTGAGGTGAGAGGATCACCTGAGCCCAGGAGGCCAAGGTTGCAGTGAACCATGGTCACACCACTGTACTCCACCCTGGGTGACAGAGCAAGACCCTGTCTCAAGAAAAAGAAAAAAACCTTTAAATTACCATGTAGCTGTTAAGTGGTACTATTAAGAACCTAATTTATTTCGTATGACATAATGTCCAGATTTCTTGTCCCTGCTGAATAAAATTGGGATTTGAGATGAAGCACATAAGGTATCTTGCATAAGGAGGACTGAGAATCTCCTTGCCTCATTATGTCCCTCACCTAGGTTTCTGCTTGGACACACAGGTTTTGTAAGTTACGACAATCCTGTTTCGGCCCAAGCTGCCATCCAGTCCATGAACGGCTTTCAGATTGGCATGAAGCGGCTTAAAGTGCAGCTCAAACGTTCGAAGAATGACAGCAAGCCCTACTGAGCGTGCTCCCCTCTGAGACTGGAGTGAGAGGGTCTTCTGGTAAGTGGGGGAGGAGCACCCTTAATGATTCGAAGCCCTGAGGCTGTGTGTTGACAGCCCTGGACCCTGATCCCTGCCACTCTCGCAGGCACAGCTTGCCCTGAAGACTCGGCTACTGCCTTCTGTGGGAGTTTCGCTTCGTACAGAGGACAAGTTTGTGCTTTGGTTTCCAGTGTTTTACTTTGGAGTTTAGGTGCCATATCCTGAGGTTTTTTTTGTTTTTGTTTTTGTTTCTCCTTTATTTAAAGTTTGCTGTGTTTGTAACCAGTGTGTGTTGAGAAGGACCAACACCAAACCACCCTGGGGAAGGGGGACAGGGAAACATTTAACACAGACGATGATCAGGATTTGCCCCAAACCACCCCAAGAGAGAGGACTGAGTGGAACAAAAAAGTGACCCCCAGAACCTCTCTTAGTGTGAGGGTGGGTAGAATGAGAACTGACACCTGGGAGCTGTGGGGAGCAGAGCGGCTTTGGGGAAGAGTGGAGTGACTAGACACCTAATGCCCTGGCAGCTGGAGACTCAAACTCCTGTACAGCTACCTTCTGGGAAATAGTTTTTGACACCTATTTTTCAGATTCTTGTCCGGAATTTCTGCTGCTCTTTTCAAAAAAGGGCATTAACAATTCTCTGGAAATAAAGCACCTGTTAGCCTGACATATGCAAAAAGCAGGGCGGCATCACCCATTACGAGCTCCCCCAGCCAGCAGTCAGTATTGGATTGGCCTTGCCTGGCTGGTGGCAGTTTGGGAGAAACAGCCAAAGAGGTTAGTTTATTTCAACACCAAATTAGACCATGGCCCATTTCCAACGGGTCTCTTTAAAGGCCTCTATGGAATACATTGCCTGGTTTCCTTCTTTGCAGTTCACCACAGCAAGGAATGTCACCTCCATCCCAAGCCACCATTTTCTCATGAAGGCAAATCCAAGAAGGGCTTGCAGTTCTTGCTGAAGGGGGTACCATTTGTGGGCAGAGTGATCAATACCATCTAGTTGGGGGAGGAGGAGCTTATTTCTTGGTGTACTTGAATCAGAAGGTCCCTGCAAGCCAGTATGCTTCATTTGCCAGTGGCCAGAAATTCTCCCTTGCCTCCTTGATTGAGGTGTCCCAGATGTAGTATTCCCACAGGGGTCTGGCAGGCCCCTCCTGTAACCACTCCAGTCACATTTTCTGCTCTTGAGGCAGAGGTGACATCAGGACGTTTACAGCCTCCACATGAATTGAGTGTTCATTTACCTCAGTATTACCGTGTTCATTTTTGTCCTCGTGCTACAGTTAGCTCCCTGCCGCCTCTTGCAGGTCTTACTTCAGCTCTTGCCTGTGACCCACACAGCTTCTGGGCTCTGCCTCTGCTCTAAGAAGTGCTGTGGGGGTAGAGAACCAGGAAGGACATGCTGTTGGGAATGTACACCTGGGCAGAGGTGGCCCTGTTAAGATGTGACTGTAGCCACAGCCAGGGATGGGATCCCTGGGTCTCTGGAATCTGAAACCTCAACAAATACCAGTCTTGACCCCTAGCAGCAGAGATAAGAATAAAGGGGTTGGTTTGCTATTAAGTCAGATGGGGGCTCTCTCCTTGTCATGCTGTCCCTGTGGGTAACAGACAGGGATTGACCATCTTACTGTTGTACAGGTAGCTGGTGGTGTTGGATTATCCCATTGAAGCTGGGACAGCTGTTCCTTTCTCATAGTGATAACTTGGGTCTGTTGTCCTCTAAGGAACGTGAAACATACACTTCTTAAGCTGAACCACGTAAACTTGAAATTCTGCGCACTGGGAGAAATGTGTCCTGTGTTTCAAAGGATAAAACTGTTCTAAAGGCTTCCAGGGTCATGATGGGATTTTTTAAATAAATGCAAAAAATAAAAATAAAAAAGAAAAAAGAAAACAAAAAAAAAAAAGAAAAAAATGCTAGGTTGGGGAGGCGCTGTTCTGAATCCCAACCGGCTGGAACCAAGAATGTCGTTTCTATTTTTATAGAAGTTTTATACAGCTCCGGGGTGGAGAATATTTATTACCTAAATTATATCTCTGGAAAAGGCCAGGATTTTGTAGAATCCAGAATGTGATTGTTATACACACAGGGTGCTGTGTATGATTGAAACTACTGACTTTCTGTGGCCCGTTTGCAGCCCAGCTAACCTGCCCAAGGGGAAGGTGTTAATGCTGTGAATTGGCAGAGGAGAGAGCTGTGCTCCATAGGGTGCTGCCGGTGCTGTGCTCCCTAGCCTTCTGTTCTGTCTTCCTCCTTAGCCAGAACGCCACTCCCTTCCCACATCCCCTTCTTCTCTCCGCCTTCCCCCATCTCACCATTATTTGTCCATGGATTTGTCCTGGGCTCTGGGACCTTATGAAACCCCTTTCCTAATGACATAAGAGGCCAAGGTGCAATCCACCCACCTTTGATACCAGACCCTGAGGGCTTCATACCTGCTGATGGGTTTTCTTTTCTAAAAGGAATGCTCGCCCCAGCAGGGTCCTGGGCTGCTTGAGCAGCCAGCTGGTGAGACCATGCACTTCTCTGTTCTCTCCTCCCCCTGCCCAGTGAGTTAGCACAGCAGTAGCACTGCCCTTGAGCACAGTTCTTTCCCCAGGCCAAAGATGGTTTTGTGAAGAAGCTGCTCCCCTACAAGTCTCACGTGTGAAAGGGCTCAGCTCAGAGTGGAGACTCGCTGTCAAGTCTTAAGCAATCCTTTTCTGTTGTGTGAAGGTTTCACTTACAATGTGTTTTCTGCTGTAGTTTTGTTTCTTACTTGGGTTACATCATGAAATTGATTTGCCTTGAATGCAGCCAGACCACTGTCTCCTGGGTTCCCCTTGAGTGGCCAGGGCCTGGATGGAAGCTAAGAGCTTGGATTTCTGGGAACAAAGGGCCATCCCCATAAGATTGAGCAGAAATTCTGGTCCTCTTCCCTGAAAAATTTTCCCCACCCCAGCCAGCATCTTCTGCTTCCCCTTGGGTTGTGACCAGGGAGTGGGGAGAGAGGCTGAGGCTCTGCTCCCCTGGAGACCTTCTCTTAGGAGTTGGGTGCTTCATGGAAAATCCAAGCCTTAGGTTCCCTTCTGTCTCTGGCAATTAGATGTGTTCTTGGTGTCCTCCATGTCCTTTTTGACTTTTCCCTGTGTCCATTGTTAGCATGTGCAAAAGTTCCCTGTCATTACCCAACCCCTGCCCGCCCACCTCATTTCAGGGCTGTACACACAGTGAGTGTTCCTGTTCTCTCTCTCTTTGTTTGGATGTATTGCTCTGTGTAACTCAGTGGGTCTCCCTCTTTCTGGTTTGTTTTTTTTTCTAGATTCCTGCCGTTTGTTCATCGTTGTGCCTAAAGCATGTCGATGTGGCGTCAAGTACATCGTCCAAATCCCTGTCTCTTCAGCTTCTCTGATGCTTGAACTCTCACCTTTGACCTTGTGTTGACCTTTGATGCTGATGTGTATTTTTATTATGTTTGTTTCTTTCTTCGTTTTTTTTTCTTTTTTTCTTTCCTTTTTTTTTCCTTTTGTGCTGCCAAATTGGTTTTGCTAGAACGACTGCTGAAGGGGAAATATTTAAACTTGCATTTGAATATAAAAAAAATCTATTTTTCTAGAACTTCATAAGATAACCACTTGATTTTGTGATTCCAATTCTTTGTAATTGTCTTCAGAGCAGCCCTACTAGCACATACCGCGTGGTGTTTGTATTTCTGTGAACACACAGCCAGTCCGTTTCTAGGCTTTGTTTCTCTGTGTGCTTAGTTTTAAAGACAACTTTGAAGTAAACAATGAAATAAAAGATGTCACTAAAACCTCTGAGGCTCCTGAGCACATTTTGCTGATACAGTCTGTGGGGCTTGAGGAGACCGCATGTATTGTTCTTTCTTTTGTTTTTCTTCTGAGTTCTCAACTGCGGAGAGCACCTGAACCCCCTTTCCTTTTTGACCGCAGGCTGCACTTTGGGCCCCAGCCAGCCCTTTTTCTTTTTCTTTTTCTTTTGTGGTTCTTCCCTGGAGCGACTCTGGGGAGTCCTGGATATCCCGCCTGCCCCTTCCCCTCAGCCCCATGCTTGTTCCAACAGTCTCCACAGCAAAATGTGATGCTTTGATTTTTTTGTTGTTGTTTTTGTTTTTGTATTGTTTTTGTGTTTTTGTTTTGAATTTTTTCCTTTCCTACTAAGATTATGCCCAGAAAAAAGTTTTGCATGTTTCCTGCTGTTTCTTCACACCTTCGTATATATCACCTTCACCTCTCTGTTTTCTATAGTTTGTGCAAAAACTGATCGATTTAAAAGGGTTTCAAAGAAGCTGTTTTAAATTGTTGTAGGGTTGATTATTTTTTTCAAGATTGTATTGTTTAATTTTGAAGTGGCAACTTTCTCCTCTATTGCCCTTAGAGCGTTTGCCTGTGCACTTAGACTGTCACTTCGTGTGGCCTCCAGGTCTTACCGGGGCTTCCGGGAGGCTGGCTGCTTTGCTCAGAGAGGGTGGGAAGGGGGCCTGGAGAGACACGAGAAGCAGAGGTAGAGCCTAGAAGGTGGCAGCAGGTGGGTAAGAGGCTTATTTAGCACATTAGGGGCAGTGAGCACCTGGAGGAAGGAGGGCGCTCCCAATCACCCGTAGGAGGCCATCTGCACACCAAGCGGCAATTCACCTGCTGGCGCTTTTCCTAGGTGACAAGCACAATACTACAGTCTTCACACTGTTTACAGCCCTGGGCACCAGCCACCCGGCACTGGCTCTTCATCACAGCTCTGCTCTTGCTTAGCTAGTGGGGTGGGGGAAAGGGCAGGGATTTGTTTTTTTAATTGGGTGGAGAGCCAAACAGCTACTGTCCCTGGGTGCCAAGCAAGCCAGTTTTTTGGTTCCCTGAGGGAAACTGACCCTCCTCTCTTGTGGCACCATCCAGCCTCAGGGTCTTGGAGACTTGAGTAAGAATGTGAGTGGAGGGGGAGAGGTGAGGAGAGGAGCACAGGGTGGATCTGTGGAGGGAAGAGGTTACAGGGGGAGGAGCTGATGATAGATCCCACCCAGACTTAAGCTGCTGGTGGGTGGGTGAGCTGGGAAGTAGGACTGTCCAGGGAAGGGTGGAGAGATGTAGCTAGGGGCTGGGGAGGGGGAGGTGGAAGCGCTATTGAGCATCCTCCACACCAAGGTTGATGAAGGAAGGGATCCCAGCAGGGTTTCTGCTCTGGGGCTGGCAGGTTGCCTGGTATTATGCCCAAGGCCGCTCTGCCTGGGGGAAAGGGCAGCCAGGCAGAGGCCCAGTGTCTGGTAGGCTGCTGAATTTCCTGGAAGGGGTGATTGGATGGAAAGAGGCCAGAAACCCCAGCCTGAGAGACTGCTGTGCACCCCACAGTCTGACTGCACAGAGCCGCCTCTGTTGGCAGGAGGCACTGAGGCTCCCCTTCCTGTGTATTGAGAAGCAGTGTTTGCCAATATATTTTGCTTTCAATTCCAAGAGGAGCTCTGGGAAAACCTGTGGATAAAACCAAATGCCAAATGTTGGACGTTGTTTCCTTTTCCTTTTCTCTCTCTGATTGTTTTAATTGTTCTGTGGTGGTTTTAATGGATTTGAGACCCTGGAGCGGCAGCTGCCTTTCTGATTTCCAGCTGCTTTTTGTGAATAATTTAAAAAGAAAAAAAAAAAGAAACTTTACATTTTGGAGACAAACCTGTGTGAGTTTTTTATTGGTACAAACGTTGTATTTAACACTAGGGGTTTTGTACAGTTTTTTGCCTTTTCTACTAGAAAACAATGTAAAGTGATTTCACAATGTGAAGAGAAAAAAAAATTGCCACTATGACCAAACGCACAGTCTGTTCTGCAGCAACAACGGGATTCAATCAACTCAGTCGTGATTCAGCCGTAGAAATGCTTTTCCTTTATCTTGTTTGAGCTTTTCCTTTCTTTCCTGTTTTGATTTGCAAAAGAAAATGTCTTTTTTGTGTGAACTTGTGTTGTACTCTGTAGAAAATTATGGATTTTACTTTAATGGTTTAAAAAAAGGCAAGGAGAGCCCTCGTCGCTTTTCTTACCTAATCACAGAGTTTGTGTAGTGAATTTAAAAAGAAAAAAAAATTGTTATAAGTTTGGAGCAAGGGAGTATGTGTTTCAAAGGAATCTCCTTCCTTTTTTTGTGTGTTTTTCCTTTTGTCCCAATGGGGAACCTAAATCTGTTTTAATTGCACAGACACATGGACAAAAAGTCATTTTGTATCTGCCAAGTGTGGTACCTTCCTTTGTTTATTTGCTATTAAACTGTTTGAGAAGAACTGATGTCTTCAGAGTTACTGATTGTTGGGGAGGGTGATGTGTCCTTGGAGCAGGTGGGGTTGCCATGTTCCTGAAGAGGGGGTGTGGGTGCCCTATAAGGCTTCATTTTTATGTACCTGAAGATGTGCAGCTGAACCCCCCAAAAGCTCCGGAAGGAAAACATAATTTCTCCCCAGAAAACTGCCTTCCCCATCTTTTTGTATTCTCCAGGATTTCTACTTATGCGGAAACACCTTAAAACTTTTTTGCCCACCCTAATTTTTGAGCATCTCCTGTTCTCCTTGGCTGCCACAAAACAGAGCTGGTCCAGACCTGCCAGTGCACATCTCTTCCCTAGTGCGCAGAGTCCCTGCTCCCTAGGACTCTGCTGGCCAGCACCAAATCCCAGAGCCCCGGCAGTCTTCCTCCCTCCAGACCTTTAAAGCTCTGGCCCAAAGTTCTTAAGCTTCTACTTCCCTCACTCTGACCTCAGTACAAGGCCCCTGAATGGCATGCTTCTAAGGCTCTGTGGACTACTCAATAGTGCTGGATGGACCAGGCCTCAGCCTTCTCCTACATGTCCCTCTATGTGGAGTGGGTCTTGGGTAGCATTTCTCAGTGAGGGTTGCATTGAGTACTAGACCATGATATGTTCTATGAAATAAGGATTCTTAACACAAATAAGTTTGTGAATGTTGTCCCTGCAATAAAGAATGTTCTCTCTGAAATTAGGCAGTAAAGAAGCCTCAGACTTGATTTAGCCAAGCGTCTCCCAGACTGGGGATCCCTTTTGCTGTCCACTTGTTCTCAAAAACAAGTGGCAGCTTGGGGGTTTTAGATTTTGTCTACCAAGTTCTGCATTTGGGTGTTCCTTTGTTCACGTCCCCATTTTTATTCATTAAAAATGTTTAAAAATCAGAACTTATATGCAAATAATTATCCTAGCTAATGTTGATTGTTTACCACCATCAGGCGCTGCAGGATACACATGATACCCACTACATGTTCCAGGCTTCATAGCATCCCTAGGAGGTAGCTAGTTTTCCCATCCTCGTTTTACAGATGAGCAAACAGGTTAAAAGAAATTGGGTTGCCTGCTAGAAAGTGGTGTGCACTGGGAATCAAACCACATTGCCCAACTCCTGAGCCCTTTCTCCTAACCACTACTGAATAGAAAGAATTCAAAAGCCAATAAATGTGCTTTAATTAACCTGTGTCTCATCACAGATTGATTGCTCTCTGTCCTCTAGGCCCCAGTGAGAGGAGCTTAGAGGACCTATGGCTTTTGTGGCTCCCCTGGGAGGTGACTCATTGCAGCTGCGCCCTCCTTAAAGCAGCCATTTTGGTGTTTGAGAGGTTCACTTGTAACTGGTTGGTCAGCGGGCTCCTGCAGGGCGCTGCTGCCTGTGGGGGACGGGCAACTTCTAAAGAGCACTCCTCTCCATACTCTCACGTCACTAGATCTGAGACCAGCTCAACCATTGTTTACCCAGTGTCGTTTGTTTTTATTGTGACAAAATCAAATTTGCCATTTTAAACACTTTTAAGTATAATTTTTAAGAATTTTGTTTTACTTTGGAGTATAGATTCAAGTTGCCCTGAATATATACTCCCTATAATTTTATAATTTACTACCATTAAACACATTCACAATGCTTGTGCAATCATCATCACCTGATTTTTTGTTTTTGAGACAGGGTCTCACTGTCAACGACGCTGGCATACAGTGGTGCAGTCATTGCTCACAACAGCCTCAGCCTCCCCAGGCTCATGTGATCCTCCCACCTCAGCCTTCGAATAGCTGGGACTTACAGGCACATGCCATCATGCCTAGCTAATTTTTGTATTTTTTGTAGAGACAGGTGTCGCCATGTTGCCCAGGCTAGTCTTGAACTTCTGGACTCAAGCAGTCTGCCTGCCTTGGCCTCCCAAAGTGCTGGGATTACAGGCATGAGCCACCATGCACAGCCCCATTACCACCTAATTTTGTAAATCAACTTGAAATGTACTTTTTTCATTCTGACCCACTGATATTTGTGAAATTACAAGTTTGATGCTGTAATCATTACATTATAAAATACACATTAGCAGGGCTCGGTGGCTCCGCCTGTAATCCCAACACTTTGGGAGGCCAAGTGGGAGGATCAATTGAGACCAGGCTGGGCAACAGAGTGAGACCCCATCTCAACAAAAAATAAAATCAGGCATGGTGGCACACACCTGGGGTCCCAGCTACTCCAGAAGCAAAGGTGGAAAGATTGCTTGAGCCCAGGAGGTCCAGGCTGCAGTGAGCTGTGATCATGCCACTGCACTCCAGCATAGGTGGCAGAGTGAGACCCTGTCTCCAAAAATACACACACACACACATATAACTACTAATATAAAGTGTCCATGGAGTGCCTTCTTAGTGAGTTCTGCATTTCACACTTGGGGAAATTGGTGTAGTGGAGGGCAAGGGTAGAGAATCAGAGGCTTCCCCCTCAGACTCTCTTCCTGGGCCTTTTATCTAAAAATAGAATATTAAGTATAACTTGAGCATCTTTTAATTGAAATAATGCTTAAAGGCTGTTGCTTCTCTTTAAAATTGACCCAAGGCCGGGCACGGTGGCTCACGCCTGTAATCCCAGCACTTTGGGAGGCCGAGGCAGGCAGATCACGAGGTCAGGAGATCAAGACCATCCTGGCTAACACGGTGAAACCCCGTTTCCATTAAAAATACAAAAAATTCTCTGGGCATGGTGGCGGGCGCCTGTAGTCCCAGCTACTCCAGAGGCTGAGGCAGGAGAATGGCGTGAGCCTGAGCTGGCAGTGAGCCGAGATCGCGCCACTGCACTCCAGCCTGGGCGACAGAGCAAGACTCCATCTCAAAATAAATAATAAATAAAATTGACCCAAAAAAGGAAATATGTCAAGTACTATTTCAGCCTTTTAAAAAAGTTTAGGCTTTTGCATATTTATTATAATAAAGCTGTATCTTTTTTTGAGACGCAGTTTATCTCTTGTTGTCCACTCTGGAGTGCAATGGTGCGATTTCAGCTCACTGCAACCTCTGCCTCTCAGGTTCAAGCGATTGTCCTGCCTCAGCCTCCCTAGTAGCTGGGACCACAGGCACGCACCACCATGCCCAGCTAATTTTTGTATTTTTAGTAGAGATGGGGTTTCACCATGTTGATCAGTCTGGTCTCGAACTCCCAACCTCAGGTGATTGACCTGCCTTGGCCTCCCAAAGTGCTGGGATTACAGGCATGAGCCACCGTGCCTGGCCAATAAAGCTGTATCTTAATTAAGTGTTTTGTTGGATTTTGTTTTGTTTTTGTTTTTGTTTTGAGACAGAGTCTTGCTCTGTCACCCAGTCTGGAATGCAGTGGCACAGTCTGCTCACTGCAGCCTCCACCTCCCAGGCTCAAGCAACTCCCTTGCCTCAGCTTCAGGCATGTGCCACCACATTCGACTAATTTTTTGTATTTTTAGTAGAGACAGGGTTTCACCATGTTAGCCAGGCTGGTCTCAAACTCCTGGCCTCAAGTTGATCACCCACCTTGGCCTCCCAAAGTGCTGGGATTACAGACATGAGCCACCTCGCCCGGCCAATGTTTTGTATTCTTTGAAAACCTCTTCATCCTTCTGTAGCTTGCTCAACACCTACTTTTTGCCACATTCCTGTTCATCTGGCTGGCAGAGGCACCTCCGCACTGACTTTCTCGGTCAGCACACAGCTTCCCTAATGCTCACATACTATGCTCACCTGAGCAGCTCGGTCCCTGATGAGGAAAAAGCCACCAGGCTGGAAATTAAACACCAGGTTGTGCCTGCACCTCAGGGAATGTCAGACTAATGTTTGATAATATTTCCCTTCAGGAGAGATCGGAGCTGGACTTGCCTTGCACCTTGTGCCTTCAAGCATTTTCCTTCCTTCTCAGGAGTCCTTTCCAACCCCCACCATCTGGTGTTTAATTGCTTTTGCATGCATTGACTTTCTCTGTACTGGTTGAAGGCTCCAGCTATAGGGAAGGCTTTTGTTTTTTAAAAATTCAAGGCAGGTCGGGCGCGGTGGCTCACTCCTGTAATCCCAACACTTAGGGAGGGCAAGGCAGGCAGATCAGTTGAGTTCAGGAGTTGAAGACCAGCAGTGCTAGCATGGTGAAACCCTGTCTCTACCAAAAATACAAAAATTAGCTGGGCATAGTGGCGGGCACCTGTAATCCCAGCCACTCGGGAGGCTGCGGCAGGAGAATCTCGAACCCGGCGGGCGGAGGTTGCAGTGAGCCAAGATCATTCCGCTGCATTTCAGTCTGGGCGACAGAGTGAGACTCCCATCTCAAAAATAAATTGAAGGCAGCCTTGGGATGGGAAATTGAACTCACACAACCAGGAAGGGCTTTCCCGCAGTCCCCGACACTTTCCAGGCCCAGGTCTTGGCCTGCTCTACCCAAGGTTTTTCCATTAGTGGGGATGGGTCTTACTAATCTGAGTCCTCTTGAGATTTGGGTTGTATTTAAACGGCTTTATTGCATGACGTGGTGGCTCATGCCTGTAATTCCAGCACCTTGAAAGACCAAGGTCGGTGGACCACTTGAGGCCAGGAGTTCAAGACCAGCCTGGCCAATATAGCGAAACCCCTTCTCTACTAAAAATAAACCAGGCATGGTGGCGCATGGCTGTAATCCCAGCTACTCAGGAGGCTGAGGCACAAGAATTGCTTGAACCCAGGAGGCGGAGGTTGCAGTGAGCAGAGATTGTGCCACTGTCCCAGCCCAGGGAACAAAGTGAGACCGAGACCCTGTCTCAAGAAAAAAATAATAAACAGGTTTATTGAGATATAATTCACACACAACACAACTCATCCACTTAAAGCATACCATTCACTGAGTTTCAGAGTTGTGCAACCATGAATGCAGCCTAATTTTAGAACATTTTCAGAACCCTGTACTCATTTAGCAGTCACTCCCCATCCTCTCCCTCACTCCCTTTCCCATTTCCTAGTAACCACAAATATACCTCTGTCTGTATCTTTACTGGTTCTGGACATTTCATTAAAATACAGTCATGGGATATGTGGCCTTTTGTGTCTGGCCTTCACTTAGTCAACATCCTGAGGTATTTTCTCCTTTCTTCCTCCTACTTGAAAGCTAGTGGCAGCACCCACTGCCTTGTGGCACCTGCTCCTGCCATCCCTCATCCTTCTGAGCTTGTCTGCTCCCAATCCAGCCTTGTTTCTGCAGCTCTCCCAGCTCCTCTTTCTGGTTGCCGATATTATCTGCCTCAGCCTGAATCTGGAAGGCTTCTAGACTCACAGTTGTCCAATACAGTTACCCACTAGGCACTGTAGCTTTTTTTGTTTAAATAACTAAATATGGGCCCAGCCAGTGGCTCACCTTACCTCTCCATGCCTGTAATCCCAGCGCTTTGGGAGGACGAGGCAGGCGGATCACTTGAGGTTGGGAGTTTGAGACCAGCCTGACCGACATGGAGAAACCCCGTCTCTACTAAAGATACAAAATTAGCCCCGCGTGGTGGTGCATGCCTGTAATCTCAGCCACTCGGGAGGCTGAGGCAGGAGAATTGCTTGAACCCGGGAAGTGAAGGTTGTGGTAAGCTGAGATCATGCCATTGCACTCCAGCCTGGGCAACAAGAGCGAAACTCCCTCTTAAAATAACAAAAATGTAGTACCTCGGTTTCACTAGCCACATTTCAAGTGACTGGTGGCTATCCTATTGGACAGTGCCGATACAAAACATTTCCATCATCACAGGCAGTGGCAGGACTGTTCTAGACAGTTTGCTGTTTTTGTTTGTTTGCTTGTTTGTTTTTGAGATGGAGTCTCACTGTTGCCCAGGCTGGAGTGCAGTGGCAGGATCTCGGCTCACTGCAGCCTCTGCCCTCTGGGTTCAAGCAGTTCTCCCGCCTCAGCCTCCCGAGTAGCTGGGACTACAGGCACCTGGCATCACACCTGACTAATTTTTCTATTTTTAGTAGAGACGGGGTTTTACCATGTTGGCCAGGCTGGTCTCGAACTCCTGACCTCAGGTGATCCGCCCACCTCAGCCTCCCAAAGTGCTGGGATTACAGGCGTGAGCTACCACGCCCGACCTATTCTGCTTTTAAGAAAACAAAGCCACCATTTATTAATCAGCCACAGCCACTGCATTCGTCCTCCCAGCAACTGGTAGCATAGGAAGATAGACTGAGGCACAGAGAAGCTGCAGTTCTTCTGTTCATGTGGCTAATAAGTAGGACAGTTGTGTTTTCATGCAGGCCAACCTGACCCCGTAGTCCTGTAGAACATATTCCTTTGAGGGGTCACTAAGGTGGACCCTGGGGTGCCCTGGTTTAAATTCCACCTCTGGGACAGAGCTTCATGAAGACAGGAGCCATACTTCATTTCTCACTGGAGGCCTCACCATTCCACACACACTGGCGGGTAAGTATTCAGTAGACATTTCTGTCACCATCCAACACAAATGACCGCCAAGTCCCTCAGAGCGACTTTACAGGAATTCTAATACAACTTCTGAGTCCGCTCACCAGGGGCCCTGCCACTTGAAGTTGGTGCCAGCACCTGTTTCAGTAGCAGGGCCCTGTGCTGTTAGAGGTTCCCCCTTGGCGGTCAGGGAAGGACCCAGGTGAGGGGAGCCTACCTGTGGCCATTCAGCCCTGAGAGTGCCACTAACCTGCCCTTCCCTAGAATGGGATGTGCCTGGAGCCCGAAACACCTGACAGCAATGACTTGTTTACAAAATCAGGTGAGGGTTTGAATTTTTTTTTTTTTTTTGAGATGGAGTGTCACTCTTGTTGCCCAGGCTGGAGTACAGCAGTATGGTATCAGCTCACTGCAACCTCCGCCTCCCAGGTTCAACCAATTCTCCTGCCTCAGCCTCCTGAGTAGCTGGGATTACAGGCGCGTGCCACCACGCCTGGCAAATTTTTGTATTTTTAGTAGAGATGGGGTTTCACCATGTTGGTCAGACTGGTCTCGAACTCCTGACCTCGTGAGCCACCACGCCTGGCCTTAATTTTTTTTTATTAAATGCAAAACATTTAGGTGGTTCTTCAAAAGGCTTAGAGTATGTTGGGGAAATCTTTGTTTTAAGGATTCCCTAATCCGGTAATACCAAGTCTACCATCAGCACCCCTGTGACCTTGGACAAATTACTTGATTCTCAGCCCCAGATTGTTCATCTGTTAAATGGAAACAAAAGCACCTGCCCCGTACAGTTGGGAAGATGAGAGATTGTCTCAAAAACTAGCCAAAGGGGCCGGGTGTGGTGGCTCATGCCTGTAATCCCAGCACATGGGGAGGCGAAGGCAGGGGGATTGCTTGAGCCCAGGAGTTCAAAACCAGCCTGGGCAACATAGCGAGACTCCATCTCTACAAAAAGAATAAATGCACAGCCGGGCGCGGTGGCTCACGCCTTTAATCCCAGCACTTTGGGGGGCCGAGGCGGGCGGATCACGAGGTCAGGAGATCAAGACCATCCTGGCTAACAAGGTGAAACCCCGTCTCTACTAAAAATACAAAAAAAAAAATTAGCCGGGAGTGGTGGCGGGTGCCTGTAGTCCCAGGTTCTCAGGAGGCTGAGGCAGGAGAATGGCGTGAACCTGGGAGGCGGAGCTTGCAGTGAACCGAGATGCCGTCACTGCACTCCAGCCTGGGCGACAGAGCAAGACTCCGTCTCAAAAAAGAATAAATGCACAAACAAATAGCCAAGCTACTGCCCCTGGCAAGCACTCATTAAAGTCGCTAGTAACAACAGTAAGTCATGGTTAAAAGTGAGCGAATGCCCCATCCCACAGCCCATTGATAACAGATGGGGTCATATGCTTCCAGGATTTTGCTTTTTTCTTTCTTTTTTTTTTTTTTTTTTTTTTGAGACGGAGTCTCGCAGTCTCGCTCTGTCACCCAGGCTGGAGTGCAGTGGCGCAAACTCGGCTCACTGCAAGCTCCACCTCTTGGGTGCATGCCATTCTCCTGCCTCAGCCTCCCGAGTAGCTGGGACTACAGGCACCCGCCACCACGCCCAGCTAATTTTTTGCATTTTTAGTGGAGACGGGGTTTCACCATGTTAGCCAGGATGGTCTGGATCTCCTGACCTCGTGATCCGCCAGCCTCGGCCTCCCAAAGTGCAGGGATTACAGGCGTGAGCCACCGCACCTGGCCGGATTTTTCCTTATAAACACAAAAAATAAGTAATTTTTGTTAATAAAAATGAGATCATGTTGAGATCATGCTGAGTATGGTAGCTCGGATTATGCCTATAATCCCAGCACTTTGGGAGGCTGAAGCAGGAGGATTACTTGAGCCCAGGAGTTTGAGACCAGCCTGGGCAACACAGACCTGTCTCTACAAAAAATTTAAAAAATTAGCCAGGTGTGATGGCACACACCTGTAGTCCAAGCCACTTGGGAGGCTGAAGCGGGAGGATTGCTTGAGCCCAAGAGGTTGAGGCTGCAGTGAGCCATGATCGCACCACTGTACTCCAGCCTGGGTAACAGAGCGAGACCCTGTTTCAAAAAAAAAAAAAAAAAATGGCTGGGTGCAGTGGCTCACGCCTGTAATCCCAGCACTTTGGGAGGCCAAGGCGGGCAGATCACGAGGTCAGGAGATCGAGACCATCCTGGCTAACACAGTGAAACCCCGTCTCTACTAAAAATACAAAACTAGCCAGGCATGATGGTGCATGCCTGTAATCCCAGCTACTCGGAGGCCGAGGCAGAAGAATCACTTGAACCCAGGAGGCGGAGGTTGCAATGAGCCGAGATCGCGCCATTGCACTCCAGCCTGGGCAACAAGAGCGAAACCATCTCAGAAAAAAAAGGCCAGGTGCGGTAGTTCATGCCTATAATCCCAGTACTTTAGGAGGCCAAGGCGGGTAGATCACGAGGTCAGGAGATCCAGACCATCCTGGCTAACACAGTGAAACCCTGTCTCTACTAAAAATACAAAATATTAGCCGGGTGTGTTGGCAGGCACCTGTAGTCCCAGCTACTCAGGAGCCTGAGGCGGGAGACTAGCTTGAACCCGGGAGGCGAAGCTTGCAGTGAGCTGAGATCGCGCCACTGCACTTCAGCCTGGGTGACAGAGTGAGACTCCGTCTCAAGAATAATAATAATAATAAAATAAAAATCACACCGTAATATACAGAATGTTTTGCAGCTTGTTTTTTTTTTTTTTTTTTTTTTAGAAGGAGTCTCACTCTTGTTAGCCAGGCTGGAGTGCAGTGGCACGATCTCGGCTCACCGCAACCTCTGCCTCCCGGGTTCAAGCGATTCTCCTGCCTCAGCCTCCTGAGTAGCTGGAATTAACAGGTGCCCGCCACCATGCCCAGCTAATTTTTTGTATTTATTAGAGACCAGGTTTCACCATGTTGGTCGGGTTGGTCTTGAACTCCTGACCTCAGGTGATCCACCTGCCTCGGCCTCCCAAAATGCTGGGATTACAGCCGTGAGCCACCACGCCCAGTCTGCAGCTTGCTTTTTTAAGTTACTATGCCCTGGGCTCCCTTCCATCTGGGTACACAGGTATCTACTGCTTCCTTATTTAGAGTCTACATAGCACTTCATGGTTATGAACACCCTTCTATCAGACACAGATTCTTTCTAGTTTTTCACTACCGTAAATAATAAGCCAATAGAGGGATGTTAGTTCAATGGCTTCTTTTCAAAGCAAGTTATCTTATCATCTCATTTGATTTTCACAGAAAACTTGCCAGAGAGGTGATATCTTTTTTTTTTTTTTTTGGAACAGAGTCTCGCTCTATCGCCAGGCTGGAGCGTAGTGGTGCAATCTCTACTCACTGCAACCTCCGCCTCCCGGGTTCAAGCGATTCTCCTCCTTCAGCCTCCCACGTAGCTGGGACTACAGGCACGCACCACCACGCCAGCTAATTTTTGTATTTTTAGTAGAGACAGGGTGTCACCATGTTGGGCAGGATGGTCTCAATCTCTTGACCTTGTGATCCGCCTGCCTCAGCCTCTTAAAGTGCTGGGATTACAGGCGTGAGCCACCACGCCCGGCCAATATCTTTTTAATTGGGGAAACTAACTTGGTAAGATGGGGAGACTTCCCAAGAATCCCGATAGTCGTGGTAGAGGGACCTTGGGACTGTCCCCTTCAGTTACATTTCGTCATGCATCTGGAGCAGGGGCTGCAACTGTGATGTACTCATGTGAAAGGAGGCCAGCATAAGACAAGTGGCATTTGGCTTCAGTGTCAAGGCGAGAACAGGGAGTCAGGGGTGCATGGTTCCAATGAATGAATTGGTAAGACATTCATGGTCTCTTGGGGCCAGACCCCGACCACTGGAGTGGTTGGTAGGCAGTCAAGGTCTGAGCATGCGTGAGTTTCCACTTTTTTTTTTTTTTTTTTTTTTTTTGAGACAGAGTTTTCCTCTTGTCACCCAGGCTGGAGTGCAATGGCACAATCTCGGCTCACTGCCACCTCCACCTCCCAGGTTCAAGCAATTCTCGTGCCTCTGCCTCCTGAGTAGCTGGGACTACAGGTGCATGCCACCATGCCTGGCTAATTTTTTGTATTTTCCATGGAGACAAAGTTTCATCATATTGGCCAGGCTGGTCTCGAACTCTTGAGCTCAGGTGATCTGCCCGCCTCAGCTTCCCAAAGTGCTGGGACTACAGGAGTGAGCCCCTGCACCAGGCCAAGCTTCCACTCTTCAAGAGAAGCAAGGAAATGTACATTTTTATGTAAAATCTCCTAGATAACACATGTTGCCAACCAACTCAGAAATATTTAGTCCTCACATGCCAGATTGTGACTCTTGCTTCAGGCCCAAACTTAATTTTCTACTTTTGATTATAAAACAGGGATCTAAAATGTGAGGTGTGCAGCTGGTACCTGGCCCAGCAGGCACTCTGGTGATAGCCCTGAATCCCCCGACTGTATCACCACCTTGTGAGGTTAAGTGGCACTGAAAAGACCATTTCATTTTGTGGCTGTTCCCTAACACCTTCCAGGGCTTTTCATCTACTGGGCACTGGTAAGCAAGTCTTAACTCTTTACCCTCTCCTTAATACATGCCTTCTGCCCACCCAGGCTACAGCTTTGGATAAGTTCCCAGTGACTTTGCTGTGCTTCAGGTAAAGATCGCAATGAATTCCGGAAAACTATTGTTCTGTTCTCCACTTTCTCCATCTCCCTTGTCCTCGCCTCCTTTCTAGTACAGTATAATGGTTAAGAATGGGAGTCCTGGCCAGGTGTGTTGGCTCACACCTGTAATCCCAGCACTTTGGGAAGCCGAGGCAGGCATATCACCTGAGGTCAGGAGTTCGAGACCAGCCTGGACAACATGATGAAAGCCCGTCTCTACTAAAAATACAAAAAAAAAAAAAAGCCAAGAGTGGTGGCACGTACCTATAATTCCAGCTACTCAGGAGGCTGAGGCATGAGAATCGCTTGAACCCGGGAGGTGGAGGTTGCAGTGAGCCAGGATTGCGCCACTGCACTCCAGCCTCGGCAACAGAGCTAGATTCCATCTCAAAAAAAAAAAAAAAAAGAACGAGACTCTACAACCACACTGCTTCTGGTCCCAGCTGTCTAGGACCAGCAGATGGCAGTGTAGTCTTGGGCAGGTCACCTTACCTCTCCATGCCTGTTTCCTCATTTGTAAACTGGAAGAAATGCTTAACTCAGAAAATGTTAGAATGTTAAATAGGATTCTCTGTTGGTCTCCTCTTACCTTGCCAGGGGCCGTGCCGTTAGTTACTAGTAGTACAAAGACAAGTAAACCACAGTCGTTGCCATAGAGGAGCATGCCCTTAACCTAACTACAGTCGCTGATTTCTGGAAAACGTGCTCAGAAATGAAATTTTTGAGGCCGGGCATGGTGGCTCACGGGAGGCTGAGGCGGGCAGATCACTTAAGGCCAAAAGTTCGAGACCAGCCTGGCCAACATGGTGGAACCCCGTCTCTACTAAAACTGCAAAACTTAGCCAGGTGTAGTGGTGCTCGCCTGTAATTCCAGCTTCTTGGGAGGCTGAGGCAGGAGAATTGCTTGAACCCAGGAGGCAGAGGTTGCAGTGAGCCGAGATCCCACTGTGTCCGCAGTTGGTTCCTTCTAGTGGGTTCGTGGTCCCGCTGACTTCAAGAATGAAGCCGTAAACCTCTGTGGTGAGTGTTACAGCTATTAAAGGTGGTGCAGACCCAAAGAGTGAGCAACAGCAAGATTTATTGTGGAGAGCAAAAGAACAAAGCTCCCACAGCGTGGAACGGAACCTAAGCGGGTTTCTGCTGCTGGCTTGTTGGGGTGGGGATGGGCTGGTCGGGGAGGCAGCTTTTATTCCTTTATTTGTCTCCACCCATGTCCTGCTGATTGGCCCATTTTACAGAGCACTGATTGGTCCATTTTACAGGGTGCTGATTGGTCCATTTTACAAATCTCCAGCTAGCTACGGAGCACCGATTGGTGTGTTTTTACAGAGCACTGATTGGTGCATTTTACAAACCTCTAGTTAGCTACAGAAAAGTTCTCCTAGTCACCACTCCACCCAGGAAGTCCAGCTGGCTTCACCTCTCACCACCACGGGCACTCCAGCCTGGGCGACAAGAGTGAAAAACTCCATCTCAAAAAAAAAAATAATAATAAAGAAGAAATGAAATGTTTCAAGGAAACATAAGGTACTCTGCTACCTAGAATAAGCGAGTATGGGCATATTCCCATCACTGAAGTCAGATGAGCAAAGACCTGTCTCAGGGAAAGGACAGCTTGATCCCATCAAGTTTTCAAGTTTTGAGGTCATTTGAGTTCCCCAGGAAAGAGGAAGGCTGTGGTCCCCAACTCTGTTGGGGTGTAGATGCAGGCCGCCCTTCCTCCATTCCTTCCTGCCAGAGACTCAATGTGAATAGTGTCTGGGCCTTGGAGTGGGGAGAATCTGCTGGCCCTTCACACCTTCGCTGTGGGCCCAGCTTCCCTCCCATCTGCAGCTCAGCATCAACCCAGGCCTCCCTGAGATGAGAGAAGACCCCAGCCAGCTCTCCCTCCCTTTCCCAGGCTTAGGAGCACTCCTTTGGGGAGTCCAGGTGGCCTTGCCCAGCCACCTGTCCCAGAGCCTGCTCCCACTCTGCCTCTGTTGAGCCTGGGGCATTTGCCTTCTGACCCCCAGAGCGTCCCCTCTGACCCGTTGGGCTCTCAGGAAGCAGGCCGTGTAGTTGCTCTGAATTTCCCGGTGAAGCCGTCTTTCCTCCGCTTCTTCCCCATTCACCGATATTTGACATTTATTGAGGGGCCACAGTGTGCCGGGCCTTGCTCTGGGAATACAGTCAGTAATGAAGGAGACAAAGTCCTGCCCTGGGTTAGGGCCCAGCCATATGACCTCATTTGAGTGAAGAATAAAGACATTCAGCAAACAACCTCACTAATATAAAATTATAGAGAGGCTGGGCGTGGTGGCTCACGCCTGTAATCCCAGCACTTTGGGATGCCCAGGCCAGCGGATCACTTGAGCACAGGAGTTCAAAACCAGCCTGGCCAACATGGTGAAACCCCGTCTCTACTAAAAATATAAAAATTAGCTGGGCATGGTGGCATTGCCTGTAATGCCAGCTACTTGCGAGGGTTGAGGTGGGAGGGTGGCTTGAGCCCAGGAGGTCGAGGCCTCAGTGAGCCTAGATTGTACCACTGCACTCCAGCCTGGGCGACAAAGTGAGACCCTGTCTCAAAATAAAATTATAGAGATAAGTCCTGTATCAGAATGCAGTGTAATTCAATGAGAGGATAATATGCTGATTCATCCTAATTATGACTTACGAGGCAGAGTGTGGGTGTGGTGAACAGAGAAGGAATTAGGAGGTGCAAAGGCCCTGGGGCAGACAGGTAGGCAGGTACCAGAATGTAACAGTTGCCATATTACTCACACTTCTGCTCCAAGCATATACCTAAGAGAAATGAAAACATGTCCCCATAAAACCTAGTACATGAATTTTTTATTTTTTTGAAACAGGGTCTCGCTCTGTCACCCAGGCTGGAGTGTAGTGACATGATTGCGGCTCACTGCAGTCCAAGCTTGTAGGCTCAAGCGATTCTCCTGCCTCAGCCTCGCGAGTAGCTGGGACCACAGCTGTGCACCACCACACCCAGCTAATTTTTTTTTTTTTTTGTATTTTTTGTAGATATGGGGTCTCGCTATGTTTCCCAAGCTGGTCTCCAACTCCTGGGCTCAAGTGATCTGCCTGCTTCAGCCTCCTAGTGTGCTGGGATTACAGGCGTGAGCCACCGTGCCCAGCCCAATTTGTACATGAATTTTTATAGCATCATTATTCATAGTAGCCAAAAATGAAACAACCCAAATGCCTATTAACTGCTGAATCAACAAAATGTATATCCAGACAATGAGTATTAACCAACCACAATAAGTAATGAAGTTCTGATACGGTTGAAAACATAGTTGAATCTTGAAAACATTATGCCAAGTTAAAGAAGCCAGTCACAGATGACCACATATTGTATGATTCCATTCCTGTGAAGGGTCCACAATAGACAGGTCCATAGACACCAGGTGGCTTAAATAACAGAAATTTATTTTCTCACAGTTCTGGACGCTAGAAGTCCAAGATCAAGGAATTGGCAGAGTTGGTTTCATTCTAAGGCCTTGCTCCTGGGCTTGTAGATAGCCATCTTCTCCCTGTGTCTTCACGTGCTCTTCTTCTGTGTGACTGTGTCCTTTTTAAACATTTATTGTGGGCCAGGTGCGGGGGCTCACGCCTGTAATCCCAACACTTTGGGAGGCAGAGGTGGGCAGATCATGAAGTCAGGAGTTCCAGACCAGCCTGACCAACATGGTGAAACCCCGTCTCTACTAAAAATACAAAAATTAGCCAGGTGTGGTGGTGCGCAGCTGTAATCCCAGCTACTCAGGAGGCTGAGGCAGGAGAATCACTTGAACCTGGGAGGTGAAGGTTGCAGTGAGCCAAGATGGCACCACCACACTCCAGCCTGGGTGACAGAGGGAAAGTGTCTCAAAAAAAAAAAAAAGTATTGTGGTCAGGCATGGTGGCTCACGCCTATAACCCCAATACTTCGGGAGGCTCTGAGGCAGGTGGATCAACTGAGGTCAGAAGTTCAAGACCAGCCTGACCAACATGGTGAAACCCCGTCTCTACTAAATACAAAAACTTAGCCAGGCGTGGTGGCATACACCTGTCATCCCAGCTACTTGGGAGGCTGAGGCAGGAGAATTGCTTGAACCCGGGAGGTAGAAGTCTCAGTGAGCTGAGATTGTGCCACTGCACTCCAGCCTATGCAACAAGAGCAAAACTCCGTCTCAAAAATAATTTTTAAAAATAAAAATTTATTGTTTATTTATTTTTTGAGACAAGGTCTTGCTCTGGTGCTCAGGCTGGAGTGCAGTGGCACAATCACGGCTCACTGAAACCTCCACCTCCAGGAGTTCAAGACCAGCCTGGGCAACATGGTGAAACCCATCTCTACAAAAACTAGACAGCTGTGGTCTCAGCTACCCAGGAGACTGAGGTGGGAGGGTCACTTGAGCCTAGGAGGTAGAGGTTGCAGTGAGCTGTGACTGCACCACTGCACTCCAGCCTAGGTGACAGAGTGAGACCCTGTCTCAAAAAAAAGGGGGGGGGGATACCAGTCTTAACTGGATGAGGTACAATGTGACTTCATTTTACCTTAATCACCCTTTAAAGACCCTGTCTCCAAAGACAGTCACCTTATGAGATACTGAGTGTTAGGACTTAAACATATGCGTTTGGTTGCGGGGGGACATGATTCAGTCATATCAAGGTGGGGAATGGAGTGGTGTAACTGCTGATGGGTGTGCGTCTCCTTTTTGGGGTGGTTAAAATGTTCTGGAATTAGTGGCAATTAATGTGCATCTCTGTGAATATACTAAAAACCACTGAATTGCCCAGCCAGAAAGGATAAACTTTTGCCCTGGGGCAGGAAGAAGGCTGGCATGCAGAGAGAGGAGAAAGGGGGGCTGGATGAGCTGGCCTGCTAGCGGGGGCCCCAATACTACATAAGACCTTGCCCTTCTCCACAGTATCTGGTGTTAAATCTCATTATGAGGACCCTTTCAGCCCGGGGTTGGGATTGGAAGTGAGACATTGAAACTTCAAGGGCTGGGTTCTGGCCCGGGTGGGGATTTGCCATGGAGCAAAATAGCCTCTTGCAGCACATGCGGGGTTTCCTGTGCCGGGCACTGTCCTAAGTCCTTCTCAACTCTTTCGTCATTGAGTTCTCATAGCAGTCCAGTGAGCCAGGTACCATTCCTCTCTTCAGTCCACGGTGCCAGGTCACTTGGCTAGGGTCCCACTGAGAGTTCGAAGGAAGCCAGGCTAGAGCTCAGGCCTCTCACCAGCTGGAGGTCTTTCCCAGACTCTCTAAGGTGAGAGTTGGTGAATGGTGTCAGCCTGGGCCTGGATGAGTGACCCACGGTGCTCAGTGAATTTCAGGAACAGAGCCAGGGGATGCTGCGGTCAGGGGTGTCTTGATGGGGAAGAAGCAGGGCTGGGCGCTCACCTGGCTTCCCCGGACCTGCAGGTCCAGCCTCGCTCTCCTTCCCCCGAGCACCTCTAGCCCAAGGCCTGCCCACTTGCTGGAGCTGGCCCCTTGGCAAGGCTGCTGGGAGGGCCCGTGCTGCCAGGGCGGTCAGGGTCAGTGTCAGAGGTGCCTAAGGGACGCCCAAGGGGGTGCCCAGGTGGCAAGGTGCCTGTATGCTCAGGGAAGCCACGTCCCAGCTCGCGGGTGGGTGCAGCAGAGGCCCACGTGACCTTGCTGCTGACATTCCTCAGAGGCCATGTGGCCCCAACTGGCAGCGACAGCTGCAGACGGGCTGAACCAGCTTTGTTCCCAGGGTGGCGCCTGCTCTCCATCCAGGCCCCATTCCGGCTCCCACCCGACGCTGCTTTTGTTCCCACGTTTCGGGGGGCAGCTGGCACTGTGATTCCTGCCCCATGAGTGCCTAGAGGCACGGAGCCACCAGGGATCACCCCACGTGGGACACAGGGCTTGGGGAGGATGGGGCAGGACCAGACCAAGCAGCAGATCGAGAAGGGGCTCCAGCTGTACCAGTCCAACCAGACAGAGAAGGCATTGCAGGTGTGGACAAAGGTGCTGGAGAAGAGCTCGGACCTCATGGGGCGCTTCCGCGTGCTGGGCTGCCTGGTCACAGCCCACTCGGAGATGGGCCGCTACAAGGAGATGCTGAAGGTGGGTGTACCCGGCCTGGGGGCGTTCGAGGGTCAGGCTGGGGCCGGATGTCTCCCAGGCTCCCCAGTCCCCTCTCGGCCTCCTCGGGCTCCCCTGTGTCCCACAGGCTGGCAGCCAGGGCCCGAGGCTCTGAATTTATATCTAAGGCCCTGGGTCTTAGATACTGAGTCTTGGCATCAGATTCAGGCCTGTGGCCTTGAACTGTGGTGCCCGAGTCTCTGAGACTGAGGTTCTCCAGCCTCAGGGTCGAGGGTTTGTGGGTCTCAAGCCCATTGTAGGTTTCAGCCTTCCTGTCTGGTGTTCTGTGTCTGAGCCTGGCGGGGTGTGGGCTCCAGGGTTGCGGCTGGGGGTGGGTGGGTGGTGGAGACTCCAGATCTGAGGCTTGGGATAGAAGGTGAAGGCTGCAAGCCTGAGCTTGGGAGGTGAGGCTGGGGTGTAGGGAAGGTAGCTGAGGCTGGCGGGTAGAAGCTCTGGGTCTGAAAAGAAGCTTTGGGATCTGCTGCTTTGGGTGTGAGGCTGGGGGGTGGGTGTGGGGCCTCCAGGTCTGAGCCTGCAGTGCAGGCTGGGGTCCAAGGCTCAGAGTCCAGGCTGAGCACCACCTGCCCACCGTCGCTGTGTGCAGTTCGCTGTGGTCCAGATCGACACGGCCCGGGAGCTGGAGGATGCCGACTTCCTCCTGGAGAGCTACCTGAACCTGGCACGCAGCAACGAGAAGCTGTGCGAGTTTCACAAGACCATCTCCTACTGCAAGACCTGCCTTGGGCTGCCTGGTACCAGGGCAGGTGCCCAGCTCGGAGGCCAGGTCAGCCTGAGCATGGGCAATGCCTTCCTGGGCCTCAGCGTCTTCCAGAAGGCCCTGGAGAGCTTCGAGAAGGCCCTGCGCTATGCCCACAACAATGATGACGCCATGCTCGAGTGCCGCGTGTGCTGCAGCCTGGGCAGCTTCTATGCCCAGGTCAAGGTGGGCCTGCACCCCAGGGGGACAGCAGTGGAGGGTTTTGGGGCTCCCCTCTCATGAGGCACACACCCTGTGGCACTACCTCATTCAGCCCTCCTTTTAGGGAGGGCTGAGGAGAGTGAGAATCAGAGAGCAAAAAGGCTTATCCAGGAAGGTAACAACTTGGCCAGGAAGCCAGCAAGGGCAGAGCCAGGATTCAAACCTTGATCTGTGTGACTTCCTGGAGGAATAATGGGAGGCTCCTCTGTGAGGACAGGCCAGCGGCCTGCACTGCCATGTTTGCTGTGTGGTCTTGGGCAAGTCACCTATCCTCTCTGAACCTTGGGAGAGATCTGTAAAATGAAGGAGAATAGGACTCACCTTACAGTGGGGTTGTATGGAGTCAGTCATCAAATATTTATTGACCAGCTACTGTATCCCAAGACTGTTGACCCAGGGTGTAGCAGTGAGAAAAACAGCCAAGTCCCCGTCCTCACGAGGGTTGCATTCTAGTTGGAGAAGAAAGACGATCAACACAGTCAGGAAGTCAAGTGGTTAGGAGAAAGCGAAGCGGGGCAAAGGGCTGGCAGCACTGGGCGTGGGGGTGTCATAATTTCAAATATAGTGGTCGGAGGGCCTCGCAGAGGTGATGTTTGATGGCTTGAAGAAGAGAGGGTGTGCCATGCAAAAATCTGGTGAGAGAGCATTCTAGGCAAAAATGGGCGAGCCCCTAAAGCCAAGCTGGACCCTGGGGGAGCATCCTGGAATGTTTCCTGGAATGTTCCAGGAAGGACAGAGGCCAGCATGGCTGCCAGGCGTGTCTCAGGTGTGTGCGGAGGTAGGGAGGTGAGAGGAGGAGGGCCAACTGTGAAGGAACTGATAGGATCAGCCACAGCAGGTTCTGATCCTGGGTATTTTTTGGCGGGGGCAGGGGCGGAGTTTTGCTCTTGTCACCCAGGCTGGAGTGCAGTGGTGCCATCTCGGCTCACTGCAACCTCCGCCTCCTGGGTTCAAGCGATTCTCCTGCCCCAGCCTCCCAAGTAGCTGGGACTACAGGCGTATACCACCACGCCCGGCTAATTTTTGTGTTTTTAGTAGAAATGGGGTTTCACCATGTTGGCCAGGCTGGTCTTGAACTCCTGACCTCAGGGATCCGCCCGTCTTGGCCTCCCAAAGTGCTGGGATTACAGGCGTGAGCCACCGCACCCGGCCAACCCTGGGTATTTTTGTTCCCTTTCCCCTCAGGTATCTGTGCTGTGCTTGGTCCATGGGGGATTTAATGCCTGGCCCCAGTAGATGCTTAATAAATCTTGGAGTTAGTGAGTGGATAAATGCTGATGGATCCAAGGTGGGATGGGAGGAAACGAGTCACCAAGGATGACAGCCAGGACTTTGTTTTTAGGAAGCAGATGTAAGGGGGAGCCATTCAGTGAGATGAGATAGGACTGGGGCAGGACAGGGGTTTTTAAAAACCTTTTTAATTCTGAAGAAAAGTAAGCTAGGCCTGGTGGCTCACACTTGTAATCCCAGCACTTTGAGAAGCTGAGGGGTGAGGATCGCTCAAGACCAGGAGTTCCAGACCAGCGTCTACAAACAGTTTTTTTTTTTTTTTAATTTGGCAAGGCTCATGCCTATAATCTGAGCACTTTGAGAGGCCAAGCAGAAGGATTGCTTGAGCCCAGGAGTTTGAGAGCAGCTTGAGTCGCATAGCAAGACCCCATCTGCACCAAACTTTAAAAATGAACCAGACATGGTGGCTCACACCTATTGTTTCAGCTACTCAGGAGGCTGAGGCGGGAGGATCGCTTGAGCCCAGGAGTTTGAGGCTGCAGTGAGCCATGAGTGTTCCACTGCATTCCAGCCTGGGCAACAGAGCAAGACCCTGTGTGAGAGAAAAAAAAAAAAAGCCCAAGTGTGGGCTTGTGGGGTGTTCATTGCTAGTGGGATGTCCGTGCTTCTAAATCTTTTCAGTTATCAGAATAATGGAAGTTTATACTGACATTTCCAATTCAAATCTAATGTTTCAGGAGCTCCCCTTAACTTATTTTAAACTTGATTGTCTTTTCTCTTAGATGAAAAATCTTAGTTTCTAACCACATAATTAAATATTTGCTTTACCCTACAAAATACGTAAAATAATTCCAAAAGACAATACCAATATTACTCTAGAAAATAAAGACAACTGAATGAAGTTTAAGATTTCTTTGCTGTTCTTTTGGCTTTTTTTTTTTTTTTTTTTTTTGAGACAGTCTCGCTCTGTTGCCTAGGCTGGAGTGCAGTGGCTCGATCTCGGCTCACTGCCACTTCTGCCTCCCGGGTTCAAGCGATTCTCCTGGCTCAGCCTCCCGAGTAGCTGGGACTACCGGCACACGCCACTATGCCCAGCTAATTTTCTGTATTTTTAGTAGAGACGGGGTTTCACCATGTTGGCCAGGATGGTCTCAATCTCTTGACCTGGTGATCCACCCGCTTCAGCCTCCCAAAGTGCTGGGATTACCGGTGTGAGCCACTGTGCCCAGCCTTGTTTTTGTAATGTATCCCACTATGGGTAAACTGAGTACTTTTGTTCCAAAGTCATTGAAATAATATATATATATTTTTTTTTAGAGACGGAGTCTTACTCTGTCACCCAGGCTGGAGTGCAGTGGCACGATCTCGGTCACTGCACCCTCCGCCTCCCGGGTTCACGCCATTCTCCTGCCTCAGCCTCCCGAGTAGCTGGGACTACAGGCGCCTGCCACCACGCCCCGCTAATTTTTTTTGTGTGTGTATTTCTAGTAGAGACGGGGTTTCACCATGTTAGCCAGGATGGTCTGGATCTCTTGACCTTGTAGTCCACCCGCCTTGGCCTCCCAAAGTGCTGGGATTACAGGCATAAGCCACTGCGCCCGGCCAAAATAATTATTTGTGTGTGTGGTTGTAGTAATATGACACACAGTTAGGGACATTTATTTACTTTTTTTTTTTTTTTTTTTTTTGAGACAGTGTCTTGCTCTGTTGCCCAGGCTGGAGTGCAGTGGCGCGATCTCGGCTCACTGCAACCTCTGTCTCCCAGATTCAAGTGATTCTCCTGCCTCAGCCTCCCAAGTAGCTGGGACCACAGGCACTTGTCACCACACCTAGCTAGTTTTTTTGTATTTTAGTGGAGATGGGGTTTCACCATATTAGCCAGGATGGTCTCGATCTCCTGACTTCATGATCTGCCCATCTTGGCCTCCCAAAGTGCTGGGATTACAGGTGTGAGCCACTGCACCCAGCCTTAGGTTTTTGTTTTTGTTTTTGTTTTTGTTTTTTTTTGAGACAGGATCTTGCTCTGTCACCCAGGATGGAGTGCAGTGGCTCAATCACGGTTCACTGTAACCTAAAACTCCTGTGTTCAAGCGATCCTCCCTCCTCAGCTTCCTGAGTAGCTGGGACTACAGGCACATTCTTCCACATCTGGCTAATTTTTAAATTTTTTGTAGAGACAGTGGTCTTGCAATGTTGCCCAGGCTGATCTTGAACTCCTGGCCTCAAGCTGTTCTCCCAACTCAGCTTCCCCGAGTGCTGGGATTACAGACATGAGCCATTGCACCTGACCTCCATTTTCTATTTTTAGGTATTTTTCAAATTAAATTTAATTTTTTAATCTGTAAAACATTTATGTGGCTTCAAAAGTATGTAATAAGGCATATTAGGAAAAGGGTTTTTTGGGGGGGTTATTGACACTTCTCTTTTGGTCATGTTAACTTGGAGCTGCTTGTTAAATATTAAGTGAAAGATCAAATAGATTTACCTTGAAAAAGAACAGTGAAATGGGGCTTTAGCTGAAGGGAAATGACGTCACGAGAAGGTGGGTTAGTTTTCTTTTTTCTTTCCTTCTTTTCTTTTCTTTTCTTTTTTTTTTTTTTTTTTTTTTTTTTTTGTGAGACAGAGTCTGCCTCTGTCACCCAGGCTGGAGTGCAGTGGTGCAATCTCAGCTCACCATATCCTCGACCTCCTGTGCTCAAGTGATTCTCCCACCTCAGCCTCTTGAGTAGCTTGGAACTACAGGCGTGCACCACTATGCACAGCTGATTTTATTTTTGTAGAGACAGGGTCTCACTAAGTTGCCCAGGCCATTCTCCAACTCCTATGCTCAAGCGTTCCTCCTGTCTTGGCCTCCCAAAGTGCTGGGATTCCAGGCGTGAACCACTGTGCCTGGCCCAGTTTTTATTTTTTAAATGAGATGAGAAATGCCAGACATGTTTGCACGTGGATGGGAAAGATTCTGTAGAAAGAGAGGACCTGACGATGCAGAGACTGCTCATCGGAGGCTGGCATTTGATGGGAACAGGAGCCATCCTCCACAGTGACAGGAAAGGAGGCAGGGAGCGTGGGAGCAGAGGTGCGGAGATGGGAGATCTGGTGGAGACAGGAGGGGAAGGAGCTTCTCCCTGATTTTCTTCCTTTTCCTCGTGGAGTTGAGGCGAGGTCATCAGCTGACCATGAGCAGGTAGAAAATGCATTTGGAAGCTTGAGGAAAAAGTACAAGCCAATGGTTGCATCGCCTCGCTGAGTCTGTCTGATGTTCTTTTGAGCCTGTTGTGCTGCCAGTCTGCCACTGAGCTTCAGTGAACACCTGCTTCCGGGTGCCAGCAGGCAAGCTCTAGTGGAGGGATCTGGTATCTCCCATCCCTGTGCATCTCTGAAGCTGAGGAGCCCATTTGGCATTGGGAGAAAAGAGAAGCCAACTGTGTTTTCTTGTCTTTTCATTCATTCACTCAACAAATATTTATTGTGCATCTACCAAGTGCCAAGAACTGTGCTAGGCTCTTGGGATGCGTCACAAACCAGATGAGAATCCCTGAGTCCACAGAGCGACACCTTTGCACTGGCTGTTCCCTCTACCGGGCCACTCTTGTCCTGGATGTCACAATGAATGAGCAGACACTCGGGCCCCCTGCCCCTACCTGCTGTTAGAGAAACCTAGCCCAGGAGCCCTTGACTTGGGGCAGCCTCTGCCACTCAGTTTGCCTCCTTCCATTCCATGTCCCCTGCAGGACTACGAGAAAGCCCTGTTCTTCCCCTGCAAGGCGGCAGAGCTTGTCAACAACTATGGCAAAGGCTGGAGCCTGAAGTACCGGGCCATGAGCCAGTACCACATGGCCGTGGCCTATCGCCTGCTGGGCCGCCTGGGCAGTGCCATGGAGTGTTGTGAGGTGGGGCAGCGGGGAAGGGGGCAGGTCGGGGATGAGGTGGTGTGGGCCAGGGGCTGGGGCCTGGGACAGCAGGGCTTCCTTCTTCCAAATCAGCCCATGGAAGCCCCCTAGGGCTTGCCTCTGGCCCAGCCTCTCTAAAGGCGTGCACCACCATGCACAGCTAATTTTATTTTTGTAGAGACGGGGTCTCACTAAACCACCCTCCTGTGCTGAAGCGATCCTCGTGTCTTGGCCTCCCAAAGTGCTGGGATTCCAGGCATGAGCCACTTGTGCCTGGCCCAGTTTTTATTTTTTAAATGAGATGAGTTCTCTACAGCTGAACCCCTGAAGGAAACATTTGTCCCCCAGCCTCATCCCAAACCCACTCCCTTCCAATCCATCTGCAGGGGAGGGGGCTTCCTTCTGCCCCAACACCCTATATGGGGTACTTTGAAGGGTAGAGACGGAAGAGGGCCAGTTTCTGGAGTCCCACTGACCTGGGTTCACATCCCAGCTTTGTCACTTACTGGGTGACCCCAATCAAGTCACTTCTCTTTGAGCCTCACTTTCCACCCACCTTGCTGGGTGCTGTGACTTCAGTGGTTCAGTGTGTGAGCCCTCAGCACCATGATAGATTCACTAGGCTCTGAGGATGTTGCTTCCCTGGGCTGTCCCTTCAGAGGGGTCTGTTGAGGGGAGGGCACTCCAGTGGTGGTGGCAGAGGAGTAGGCCTGAGCCACTGGCCTCCCTCGCAGGAGTCTATGAAGATCGCGCTGCAGCACGGGGACCGGCCACTGCAGGCGCTCTGCCTGCTCTGCTTCGCTGACATCCACCGGAGCCGTGGGGACCTGGAGGTGAGGTCACCGGGATGCAGGGGCTGGGGGCAGGGGGCAGGGGCACAGGCCTGATACAGCCTGATTCCATCCCCCACCTGGCTCTGCAGACAGCCTTCCCCAGGTACGACTCCGCCATGAGCATCATGACCGAGATCGGAAACCGCCTGGGGCAGGTGCAGGCGCTGCTGGGTGTGGCCAAGTGCTGGGTGGCCAGGAAGGCGCTGGACAAGGTGAGGTCGGGCCTTTCCCACAGCCTCCAGCCCTCCCAGCACTCCCCACTTGGGGCCAGTAGGTTAGCCGGCTCTTTCAGCCACTTTGTCTGACGTCAGCCTCACCCTGATCCTACGAGGCCAGGACATTCCTGGTCATTTTCCAGGCTCAGAGAAGGCCCATCACTTGCCCTAGGACCCACAGCTAGTAAAGGGCTGGAACCCTGGGTAAACTGAGGCAGGAGGTCACTTGCCCACACAGCCCCTATGACTGTGCCCTAGTCTCTTCCTGCTGCCTTCACACACAAGGCAGCTGCCATGTCACCCTCCCTAGGCCTGCCCCCCTACCCTGTGCTTCCCTGTGAGCAAGGCCTGTCAGACAGCTCTGCCCGCAGCCCTGGCCTATGCTCACCTTCCAGGCTCTGGATGCCATCGAGAGAGCCCAGGATCTGGCCGAGGAGGTGGGGAACAAGGTCAGACTTGATTCTGTGTCCTGGATCTGGGGTCAAGGGCCCAAGTGGGGAACTTGGGTCTGGGGAAGGGCCTTCCTGAGCCTACTCACGTCATGAGCCCTTCCTGATGCTGGGAGCTGCCTGCAGCCAACCCCATACTCTGGCTCTTTCTCTGCCACACACACAGCACTTCTGAGGGCAGGGCAGAAGTTTCATAGCTTGGAGGATAGCAGAATTCCTCAGAAGCTTCCTGATGTTGATTAAAACCCCTAACAGTGGGCTGGACATGGTGGCTCACATCTATAATCCTAGAATTTTGGGAGGCCGAGGTAGGAGGATCACTTGAGCCCAGAAGTTCGAGAGCAGCCTGGGCTACATAATGAGACCCATGCTCTAAAAAAGAAAAGAAAAGAAAAGAAAAAAACATTTTTGAGATTGAGTTTTGCTCTTGTCTCCCAGGCTGGAGTGCAATAGCGCGATCCCAGCTTACTGCAACCTCTGCCTCCCAGGTTGAAGTGATTCTCCTGCTTCAGCCTCCTGAGTAGCTGGGATTATAGGCACCCGCCACCACACTGGGCTAATTTTTGTATTTTTTATAGAGATGGGGATTCACTGCGTTGGCCAGGCTTGTCTGAAACTCCTGACCTCAGGTGATCCACCTGCCTCGGCCTCCCAAAGTGCTGGGATTACAGGCATGAGCCACCAGGCCCGGCCTCTACAAAAAATGTTTTAAAATTAGCCAGCTGTTGTGGCACACACCTGAGGTCCCAACTACTTGGGAGGCTGAGGTGGGAGGATAGCTTGAGCCCAGGAGGTCAAGGCTGCAGTGAGCTGTGATTGCTCCACTGCACTCCAGCCTGGGTAACAGAGTGAGACCTTATCTCAAAACAAACAAAAACTAACAGTGGCCTCCACTCCCTGAGCACTGAGCACACACAGGGTCCTTATGGGTACTGGGTCCAGTCCTCACTCTCTCCCTGTGAGGTGAGTACAGCAAGCCCCATTTTACAGATGAGGAAAAGTGAGGCTCAAAGAGGCGTCCAAGGTCCCACACCTACTAACTTGTCTGTTTTAACTACAAAGCCCATGTTCCAAATTTAATAATGGTATCTAGTGCTTGCTTTGGCAGCCCATATTCTGAAATTGGAACAATACAGAGAAGATTAGCATGGCCTAAAAACCAAAACCAAGGCCGGGTGCGGTGGCTCACACCTGCATTTTGGGAGGCCGAGGTGGGCAGATCACCTGAGATCAGCCTGACCAACATGGTGAAACTCTGTCTCTACTAAAAATACAAAAATTAGCCAGGTGTGGTAGTGCACGCCTGTAATCCCAGCTGCTTGGGAGGCTGAGGCAGGAGAATCACTTGAACCCGGGAGGTGGAGGTTGCCATGAACCAAGATTGTGCCACTGTACTCCAGCCTGGGTGACAGAGCAAGACTCCATCTAAAAAAAAAAAAAAAAAAATCGTCATAATCTTATTAAAACCTTAAAATCTTGAAAACAGGTTCACCACTTCTCAAAGCCTTCCAGATGTGCATTTCTACGAGATCCTGTGCACAGTCCAACCAAAATGCCAAAATTTGGTTGGATTATAGCCACTCTGGTTTACCTGGGTATCAGGCTGATCAGAAATGCTGATGAGCTATTGTGTGTATATTTAATTAATAAAAACAGGAAAGCAGATTAATTATTATTTTTTTTTGAGACGGAGTTTCACTATTAGAGCCCAGGCTGGAGTGCAGTGGTGCGATTTCGGCTTACTGCAACCTCCGCCTCCTGGGTTCAAGCGATTCTCCTGCCTCAGTCTCCTGAGTAGCAGGGATTACAGGCACTCACCACCACCCCCGGCTAATTTTTGTATTTTTAGTAGAGATGGGGTTTCGCCATGTTGGCCAGGCTGGTCTCGAACTCCTGGCCTCAGGTGATCCACCTGCCTCGGCCTCCCCAAGTGCTGGGATTACAGGCATGAGCCACGGCGCCCTGCCGCAAATTATTATGGAGTCTGTGCACCAGGTTTGGTCATAAAATCTGTCAAAAACATGGGGTCTCCAGGCAGTTCTGGGGGGTGAAGTCTTCTGATCTCACCCACCGCCTCATTCTGCATGAAAGGAAGCAAGGTCCCAGAGAGGGCAGGACATTTTTCCAAGGTCCATCAGCAAGACAGGGAAGTGGCTGAGACCGGAGCCTACCTGCACTGACTTTGTTCTCATCCCCCACTGGCGCTCTCCACTCCTGCGGGCCCCAGCTGAGCCAGCTCAAGCTGCACTGTCTGAGCGAGAGCATTTACCGCAGCAAAGGGCTGCAGCGGGAACTGCGGGCGCACGTTGTGAGGTTCCACGAGTGCGTGGAGGAGACGGAGCTCTACTGCGGCCTGTGCGGCGAGTCCATAGGCGAGAAGAACAGCCGGCTGCAGGCCCTACCTTGCTCCCACATCTTCCACCTCAGGTGGGGGCTCCTGGGGGGGTGGACAGGGGTGGGCAGGATCTCTTCGGGGCACTCTAGGGCCCAGCTGGCTTAATCACAGCAATAATACTAATAGCAAACACTTAACCTTGGCCAGGCGTGGTGCCTCACGTCTGTCTCGCAAGCACTTTGGGAGGCCGAGGCGGGCTGATCACTTGAGCCCCGGGGTTCAAGATCATCTTGGCCAACATGGTGAAACCCCGTCTCTACTAAAAATACAAAAATTACCCAGGCATGGTGGTGGGAGCCTGTAATCCCAACTACTCGGGAGGCTGAGGCAGGAGAATCACTTGAACCCGGGAGGCAGAGGCTGCAGTGAGCTGAGATCTGTGGCCATTCTTTTCATAATCCCCAAAGAGGAGTCAGAGAGGCCCCTCAAAGGTCATTAGGTCGGACGTCCAGGGCCAGACCTGCCGTGGGTCTGGTTCCATCCCATCCTCTCAACTCCCAGCCCCTGCTCTGCCCTGGAGGTCCCTGGGGCAGAGGAGGAGAGGGGCAAGCCGGGTGCAGTGGGAGCCTGGGGGGACCGTTCCCTTCCCTTCCACTGCTGCTGAACAGCCACCAGGATGCATCCCAGCCCCTGCAGAGGGCAGGCAAGGAAGGAAGAGAGGGCCCGGAGGGAAGGACAGGCCTCAGGGGAGTGGACAGGGCCCTTTGCCTCCCCAGGTGCCTGCAGAACAACGGGACCCGGAGCTGTCCCAACTGCCGCCGCTCATCCATGAAGCCTGGCTTTGTATGACTCCTGGCAGCAGGCGTGGGCTTCCTCCTCGCCACTCCTGCTCTTTCTCCACTGCACGCCAGAGGCCCATTTACTCCTGGGGCAGCTGCCAGGTCGTCCTCACCATAGCCAAGGCCTTGGGGCCTGCCCAGGGCTGCTCCCCTGGGCCCAGCTCCCCTCCCTGCCTCTTTGTACTTTGCTCTTTATAGAAAAATAAACTGTTTGTACCTGGTCCCAGGGATTCCGACTTTCCATGCCCAAGGTCTGAGGAGTGGGGAGAGTGGGAGTGAGGCGCCCCACAGGAGCTTCCTCAGACGCAAGCGTTTCCTCTGCACATATGTACAAGGGCCTCCAGCAGCCCCTCCAGGAACTTGGGATGCCACAGAGACACGATCCCTGCAGTGAGAAGCTGACGTGCAGTGGGTGGGAGGGTATATGATAAACAGGAAACACACAGTTTGGAAAGCCTGGTGGGAAGCTGCTATAGACGAATCGTGTCCCCCCAGATTCCCATGTTGAAGGCTTAGTCCGTTTGGGCTGTTGTAACGAAACAGACTGGGTGGCTTGTAAACAACAGGAATTGATATGTCACAGTTCTGGAGGCTGGGAAGTCCAAGATCAAGGCACCTGCAGATTGGGTGTCTGGTGAGGGCGCACATTCTTGCTCACAGATTGAGTTTTCTTGCTGTGTTCTTGCATGGTGGAAGGGACAAGGAAGTTCTCTGCATTCCTTTTTTTTTTTTCTTTTTGAGACAGGGTCTCACTCTGTCGCCCAGGCTGGAGTGCAGTGGTGAGATCTCAGCTCACTGCAACCTCCGCCTCCCGGGTTCAAGCAGTTCTCCTGCCTCAGCCTCCTGAGTAGCTGGGATTACAGACACGCATCAACATGCCTGGCTAATTTTTCTATTTTTAGTAGAGACAGGGTTTCTCCAAGTTGGCCAGGCTGGTCTCTAACTCCTGACCTCAAAAGATCCACCTGTCTTGGCCTCCCAAAGTGCTGGGATTACAGGCGAGAACAACCATGCCAGGCACAGTCCCTTAATAAGGGCACTAATCCCATATATAAGGGCTCCACCCTCATGACCTAATTGCCTCCCAAAGGCCTCACCTGCCTAATGACAGTCCTAGCAGGCTCATATAATGTGATAAGTTCTTTGTAACAATAAAGAGTAGAGCCTGGTTGTGTGCAGTGGTTCCTGCTTGTAATTCCAGCACTTTGGGAGGCCGAGGTGGGTGGGTCACTTGAACCCAGGAGTTCAAGACCAGCCTGTACAACATGGCAAAACCCTGTCTCTAGAAAAAAAAAAATACAAAAATTAGTCAGCATGGTGGCACACACCTGTAGTCCCAGCTACTCGGGAGGATGAAGCAGGAGAATCTCTTGAACCTGGGAGGCAGAGGTTGCAGTGAGCCAAGATCATACTACTGCACTTCAGCCTGGGGGACAGAGCAATACTCTGTCTCAAAAAAAAAAAAATAAGAGTAGAGGCCTGGCGCAGTGGCTCACACCTGTAATCCCAGCACTCTGGGAGGCAGAGGGGAGGTTGGATCACCTGAGGTCAGGAGTTCGAGACCAGCCTGACCAACATGGTGAAACCCCGTCTCTACTAAAAATACAAACATTAGCTGGGCGCGGTGGTGGGCGCCTGTAATCCCAGCTCCTCCGGAGGCTGAAGCAGGAGAATCGCTTGATCCTGGGAGGTGGCAGTTGTGGTGGGCTGAGATTGTGCCATTGCACTCCAGCCTGGGCAACAGAGCGAGACTCCATCTCAAAAAAGAAAAAAGAGTAGAGCCTGGTCCCTCTTCCTCATGTTCACCCCCTTCCCTAAACCAGTTCTAAAACCATTAAGTGGGACAGAGCAAGACAAGCATCTGTGTGGAGGGGTGACCTGGTGTGAGGCACTGGAATCTAAGCAGGCTGAAGAGTGTCCACACAGGGCAAGGCCTGGGGTGAGAGGTCAGAACCTGTGTGGAGAGAGGACAGAATCCACACATGGGGTTGGGTTGTTTTGAAGTGTCAGAGACCAAGCCCAAGGAGGGGCAGCCTGGCGTGGGCCATTGGGACCTCACCAGAGTAAGGAGGCATCCAAATTGGTGAAGGTTTGTGTGAGGCATCAGAGCTTGAGTAGAGCGAATAGGCCATGCACATGATTTGGGGCATCCTGGCAGGGGGCATTAGGTCAAGGATGGAGTGAAGAGGGTTCTGTGTGTGGAAGGGAGTGGCAGTGGAACACTGGGTACACAGAGGGGGTTGATCAAACAAGTAAGTAGGTCAGGTGCGGTGGCTCACAGTCTATAATCCCAGCACTCTGGGAAGCCGAGGCAAGTGGATCACTTGAGGTCAGGAGTTCGAAAGCAGCCTGGCCAACATGGTGAAACCCCATCTCTACTAAAAATACAAAAAAAAATTAGCCTGGCGTGGTGGCAGGCGCCTGTAGTCCCAGCTACTCAGGAGGCTGAGGCAGGAGAATGGCGTGAACCAAGGAAGCAGAGCTTGCAGTGAGCCGAAATCCTGCCACTGCACTCCAGCCTGGGTGACAGAGCAAGACTCTGTCTCAAAAAAAAAAAAAAAAAAAAATTAGCTGGGCGTGGTGGTGCACACTTGTAATCCCAGCTACTTGGAGGCTGAGGCAGGAGAATCCCTTGAGCCCAGGAGGTGGAGGTTGCAGTGAGCTGAGAGCACACCACTGCACTCCAGCCTGGGCAACAAGAGTGAGACTCCATCTCAAAAAAAAAAAAAAAAAAAGTAGGTAGATTAAGGACAGTGGAAGGCAGCTTTCTCACTTTTTTTTTTTTTTAGATGGAGTCTTGCTTTGTCACCCAAGCTGGAGTGCAATGCCTCCATCTTGGCTCACTGCAACCTCTGCCTCCTGGGTTGAAGCAATTCTCCTGCCTCAGCCTCCTGAGTAACTGGGACTACAGGCATGTGCCACCATGCCGGCTAATTTTTTGCATTTTTAGTAGAGACAGGTTTTCACTGTGTTAGCCAGGATGGTCTCGATCTCCTGACCCCATGATCCGCCTGCCTCAGCCTCCCAAAGTGCTGAGATTACAGGTGTGAGCCACCGTGCCTGGCCGCTTTCTCACTATTGATGGAGAGAATTACAAATATGGAAAGGGAGAGAACCAGAGTGGACCCTGTGGCGCTGAATTAGAATTGTAAGAATCAGTGTGAACTCATGGATTTCAAAATATACGGGTAGATCTAGAAATAAATATAGTTATAAATGTGCGTGTCCACCAGCCTGGGCGCAGTGATATGCCAACAGCAATGAGCTCACCCAGCAGCCAGGGCTTGGCTTTGAAACACCATGTTTCACAAAAAGGAACCAAGGCTCTTTGGTCAAGGGCCTGATTCCAGGGCTGGGTCATAGAGAGTACAAGATGAGCCAGAGCTATTTTGTGCCAGAAAGCAAGGGAAGTTGAAAGAATAATGAGGAAAACTCAAAGGCCACAGGAGCCAGCTTGGATGGGCTCCCAGCAGCCACTGATAATGAGTAACAGTGAATGTCGCAGCTCAGGCTGCCATAACAAGGCACCTTAGGATGAGAAGCTTAAACAACTAAAACTTACAGTTCTAGAGACAGGACATCCAAGATCGAGGTGCCAGAAAATTCAAGAAGCCTCTCCTCCTGACTTGCCCTTCTCTCTGTGTTCTTACAAGACTTTCCCCCCATGCTGCTGTGGTGACAGCAAGATTGAGCCCTCTCTCTCTCTCTTTTTATGTATTTATTTATTTTTGAGACAGAGTCTCGCTCTGTTGCCCAGGCTAGAGTGCAGTGGCATGGTCTTGGCTCACTGCCTCAGCCTCCCAAGTAGCCAGGATTACAGGTATGTGCCACTATGCCTGCCTAATTTTTGTATTTTTAGTAGAGATAGGGTTTCACCATGTTGGTCAGGCTGGTCATGAAGTCCTGGACTCAAGCAATCCACCTGCCTCAGCCTCCCAAAATGCTGGGATTACAGGCACGTGTCACCACACCCGGCTAATTTTTGTATTTTTAGTAGAGACAGAATTTGGCCATGTTGGCCAGGCTGGTCTCGAACACCTGACCTCAGGTGATCTGCCCCCCACCCCCTAGTCTCTTTCCCTCCCTCCCTCTGTCTTCCTCTTCCTATAAAGGCACTAATTGTCTGGGTGTGGTGGCTCACGCCTGTAACTCCAGTAGTTTGGGAGGCGGAGGCAGGCAAATCACTTGAGGTCAGGAGTTCGAGACCAGCCTGGGCAACACGGCAAAACCCTGTCTCTACTAAAAATACAAAAATTAGCCACATGTGGTGGTGCACATCTGTAATCCCAACTACTTGGGAGGCTGAGGTGGGAGTATCACTTAAGCCCAGGAGGCAGAGGCTGCAAAGAGCTGAGATGGCACCACTGCACTCCAGCCTGGGCCAGAGTGAGACCCTGTGAAAAAAAAAAAACGAAACAGGCTGGGCCTCATTGAGAAGGTGGCATGTGAGTGAAACCTTAAAGGAGGTGAGAGATTGAACTAAGCAGATTTCCTGGAAAGAGCATTCTCCTAGAGAACAGAATCCTAAGACAGGAGCTTGCCTGATGTGCTCAGGAGCAGCAGGGAGGCCTGTAAGTGAGCAGGAGGGAAGGAGGAGGAGTGGAGGCCAGGAGGAGAGTGTGGTGTGAACACATGCAGGACTTGGGAAGGACTTTGGCTCCTGCTCTGGCGAGTCGGGCACCTGCTGAGGATTTTGAGCAGAGGAGTGACGTGATCTGACTTGGTTTTACAAGAATTCCTCTGGTTGCTATGTGGAGAACAGATTCCATACAAGACAGCTGGCCTGAATGTTTCAAAAATGCCAAGGCCATGAAAGACCAAAATGATTGAGAGATTGTTCTGGAATAAAGAAGATTAAAGAGATGTGACAACTAAATGGATCATGTGACCCTTGACTTGATGCTGGATTTTTAAAATTATTTTATTTTATTTATTTATTTATTTATTTCTTAGATGGAGTCTTGCTCTGTTGCCCAGGCTGGAGTGCAGTGGCGCGATATCGGCTCACTGCAACCTCCACTTTCCAGGTTCAAGCAATTCTCCTGCCTCAGCCTCCCAAGTAGCTGGGATTACAGGCGCCCACCACAGCGCCCAGCTAATTTTTTGTATTTTTAGTAGAGACAGGGTTTCGCCATGTTGGCCAGGCTGGTCTATGAACTCCTGACCTCAGGTGATCCACCCGCCTCGGCCTCCCAAAGTGCTGGGATTACAGGCGTGAGCCACCGCACCTGGCCAACGATACTGGATTTTTTTTTTAAAGGCTATAAGGGATGTTTAGGGAATAATTTAAGACATTTTTATATAGACTATATATTGGATATTATTGCATCAATATTAAATTCCCTGGGTATGACTATATATATAGATAGATAGATTTTTTTTTTTTTTTTTTTTTTTTGGAGACAGAGTCTCCCTCTGTCACCTAGGCTGGAGTGCAGTGGCGCAATCTTGACTCACTGCTACCTCCACCTCCCAGGCTCAAGTGATTCTCCTGCCTCAGCCTCCTGAGTAGCTGGGATTACAGGCATGCACCACCATGCCCAGCTAATTTTTGTATTTTTAGTAGAGACAGGGTTTCTCCATGTTGGCCAGACTGGTCTCGGATACCAACCTCAAGTGATCCGCCTGCTTTGGCCTCCCAAAATTCTGGGACTACAGGCGTGAGCCACCACCCCCAGCTGACAAGGTATTATACTACCAATGTATCATAGCTATGTATGAAAATGTCTGTTTTTAGGAGACACGGGCTGAAGTATTTACAGGTGAAGTGTCATGAAGTCTGGAAGTTATTTTGATTTTTTTTTTTATGACGGAGTCTTGCTGTGTTGCCCAGGCTGGAGTGCAGTGGCCTGATCTCAGCTCACTGCATCCTCTGCCTCCCAGGTTCAAGTGATTATCTTGCCTCAGCCTCCCAAGTAACTGGAACTATAGGCACGCGCCACTGATTTTTGTATTTTTAGTAGAGACGAGGTTTTACCATGTTGGCCAGGCTGGTCTCAAATTTCTGACCTCAAGTGATCTGTTCACCTTGGCCTCCCAAAGTGCTGAGATTACAGGCATGAGCCACTGTGCCCGGACAGAAATGACGTTCTCTGTCATCCATGCCAGAGTGTGGTGGCATGATCATAGCTCACCGCGGCCTTGACCTCCTGGGCTCAGGTGTTCCTCCTGCCTCCACCTCCTGAGTAGCTGGGACTACAGGCATGTGCCACCGCACCTGGCTAATTTTTTAAAATTATTTTTAGAGATGGGCTCTCCCTACATTGCCCAGGCTGGTCTCAAACCCCTGGGCTCAAGAGATTCTCCTATCTTGGCCTCCCAGACTGCTGGGATTATAGCCATGAGCTACCTCACCCAGCCTGTAGCTTACTTTGAAATGGTTTGGGAATAAATGTGTGTGTGTACACACACAGAGGAAGAGAGAGCAAAGTCAAATGTGGCAAAATGTTATCAATTGGCAAATCTAGACGAAAGGTACACAGGTGTTCATTGTCTATTCTTTAAACTTTGTTGTATGTTCAACATTTTTCAAAATAAAGGGTTTTTCAAAATAGTAGATTTTAGGAAGCATTGTCCAGAGAAACAGAACCAATAGGATCTTTTTGCTTGTACTTTTGTTTTTTGTGTTTTTTTGTTTGTTTGTTTTGAGATGGAGTCTTGGTCTAGTCGCACAGGCTGGAGTGCAATAGTGCGATCTCAGCTCATTGCAACCTCCACCTCCCAGGTTCAAGCAATTCCCCTGCCTCAGCGTCCTGAGTATCTGGGATTACAGATGCCCACCACCAACGCCCGGCTAATTTTTTTTGTATTTTTAGTAGAGACGGGGTTACTCTTGGTCAGCCTGGTCTCGAATTCCTGACCTCAGGTGATCTACCGGCCTCGGCCTCCCAAAGTGCTGGGATTACAGGCGTGAGCCACCGCGCCTGGCTGCTTGTACTTTTAATGGCAAAAACTGCAATTACTTCTGCACCAACCTGCTATATAAAGAGATGTAGTATAAGGACTTGGCTCATGTGATTATGGAGTCTGGCAAGTCCCTAGATCTGCAGGGTGAGTTCTGGAGACCGAGGAGACTTGATGGTTTTGTTCCAGCCTGATTCAGAAGGTCTGAGAACCAGGAGAGCCGATGGGGTAGTTCTCCTCTGAAGGCTGTCAGGCTCAAGCCCTGTGAAGAATAATGTTTCAGTTCAACTCCAAAGGCAGAAAAGACCTTTATGCCTGTCAGAAGGGAATCTGGCAGGAAGAACTCCCTCGGAGTCAGCCTTTCTGTTCAACGCCTGCAACTGACAGGATGAGGCCCGCCCACATTAGAGAGGGCAACCTGCTTTCCTCAGTCTCCTGATTTAAATGTCAATCTTGTCTAAAAACAGCCTGACAAAAAGACCCAGAATAATGTTGAACCAAACACCTGGGCATCCCATGGCCCAGTCAAAATTAATCATCACAGGAGGGTTAGGGTAGAATCCAGGAGACCAGTGGAAAGGTCCCCATAATAATCTAGGGGTAGCGGTGGCTCATGCCTATAATCCCAGCACTTTGGGAGATGGAGGCGGGCAGACCGCTTGAGGTCAGGAGTTCGAGACCAGCCTGGCCAACATGGTGAAACCCCATCTCTACTAAAAATATAAAAATTAGCCAGGCATGGTGGTGTACACCTGTAATCTCAGCTACTTGGGAGGCTGAGGGAAGAGAATTGCTTGAACCTCGGAGGCAGAGGTTGCAGTGAGCCAAGATAGTACCACCACACTCCAGCCTGGGCAACAGAGCAAGACTCCATCTCAAATGCAACAGCAATGCCAAATAATAATAATAAGCTAGGTCTGAGATGATGGTGGCTTGAACCAGGGTGATAGGCAATGGAGGGAGTGAGAAATGGTCCTATTCAAGGGGGTTAGGAGGAGTTATATCTTTCGTTTTGGAAATTTTCAAATAGATACAAAAGGAGAGAAACCAATGATTTCCATCTCAGCCTTAACTATGCATTTCAGCACATGGACAATCTTGTTTACCCCCAAAAGCCCCACCAAGCTCCACACCCTCCGCTTGATTGTTTTGATTCAGATCTTACTATTTCTGAATTCTGGATATTTGTTTAAGGTAAAGTAATCCCAGCACTTTGGGAGGCCAAGACGGGTGGATCACCTGAGGTTAGGAGTTCAAGACCAGCCTGACCAACATGGAGAAACCCCACCTCTACTAAAAATACAAAATTAGCCAGGCATGGTGGTGCATGCCTGTAATCCCAGCTACTCGGGAGGCTGAGGCAGGAGAATTGCTTGAACCCAGGAGGTGGAGGTTGCAGTGAGCCCAGATCGTGCCACTGCACTCCAGCCTGGACAACAAGAGTGAAACTCTGTCTCAGAAAAAAAAAACCAAAAACACAAAAATTAGCTGGGTGTGGTGGTGTGCATCTGTAGTCCCAGCTACTCAGGAGGCTGAGGTGGGAGAATCACCACTGCACTCCAGCCTGGGTGACAGACTGAGACTCTGTCTCAAAACAAACAAACAAAAACAAAGAATGACTCCAGGGTTTTGGCCTGGTGGCTCTCACCCTAGCTTGATGCCAAGACAGAAACATCTGTTCTAGGCCTGGCCTAGACCTCTTCTCTCTAGAGGCCCAGATGGACCAGAGGTCCCTAATTCAGCCAACCTCTTTCTCCCTGAAGACATGCTCTGCTCCAGGTTCCCAGCTCCTTGCTGGGACTGACCTCCTGGTACTTCCTTGACCTTTTTGAGCAGAGTGAACCTTCATAAACTATTCTCCTTTTTCTCCCATCTCCCCAAGACATTCCTACTCCTGGGCTCCCAAGATAATCAATCCCTGTCATTCTAGCCAGGATTAAAGAAGGAGATGTTCAGGGCCGGGTGCAGTGGCTCACGCCTCTAATCCCAGCACTTTGGGAGGTGGAGGCGAGAGGATCATGAGGCGGTCGAGACCATCCTGGCCAACATGGTGACACCCCGTCTCTACTAAAATACAAAAATTAGCTGGGCTTGGTGGTGGGTGTCTGTAATCCCAGCTACTCAGGAGGCTGAGACAGGAGAATTGCTTGAACACAGGAGGCGGAGGTTGCAGTGAGCCAAGATCGCACCACTGAACTCAAGCCTGGGCGACAGAGCAAGACTTCGTCTCAAAAAAAAAAAAAAAAAAAAAAAAAGCAGGCCAAGGGCTTATACTTCAAAGGTGAAGGATAAATGAGGACCTGGATCATATATCTAGAGGGATGAGGTATCAGGGGTGGGGGGATTCCGTTAAACTGACTAGCAGGATTTTTGTGAAAACAGGGTTAGACAGGTTGATGACAGGGATGAAGGAACAGCCCACAAGGCCTAGTCAAAAAAAGATGGCTCAGGCCGGGCGCGGTGGCTCATGCCTGTAGTCCCAGCACTTTGGGAGGCCGAGGCGGGCGGATCACGAGGTCAGGAGATCGAGGCCATCCCGGCTAAAACGGTGAAACCCCGTCTCTACTAAAAATACAAAAAATTAGCCGGGCGTAGTGGCGGGCGCCTGTAGTCCCAGCTACTTGGGAGGCTGAGGCAGGAGAATGGCGTGAACCCGGGAGGCGGAGCTTGCAGTGAGCCGAGATCCCGCCACTGCACTCCAGCCTGGGCGACAGAGCGAAACTCCGTCTCAAAAAAAAAAAAAAAAAAAAAAAGATGGCTCAGAAGAGCCTACCTAAAAGTTGGTTAAGGGGAGAATGTCTGCATCCCTCCTAGGCCCAGGCTGGAGGCTTTCTAAACATATTCGTATTTGTCAGGATCTCCAAAAGTAGGCCCCAGAATGGGACCCAACTGACCCAGGCATAGTGGGACCAGCACAGATTGGACAGTCTTTCCCCTCTGGGCTTCTTGGCTCCTATCGGGCAACTCAAAGTGAGAATTTGGGGTCAGCAGTCCTAGTGCTGCCAGTGACTCACTGAATAACCTCCAGCAAGGCACTTAACCTCTCTGAGCCTCCCTATGCTTATTTAAATTTGAGAATGGTAATTCAGTCTGTCCACAAGGCAGGCTTGTTGAGAGAATGGAATAAAGCACTGTTACTTGAGGAGACGCTTTGTCAGCCTGAGTGAGCAGCTGTACATGTTGTTATTTAAAGAAAAAAATTCTGCTTTCAACCGTGTTCCAAAAAAAACTACTGCAAAGGCTAGGTGTAGTGGTTCATGCCTATAGTACCAACACTTTAGGAGGCTGAGGCAGGAAGATCACTTACGCCCAGGAGTTTGAGACCAGCCTGGTCAACATGGTGAAACCTTGTCTCTACTAAAAATACAAAAATTAGTTGGGCGTGGTGGTGGGTGCCTGTAATCCCAGCTACTTGAGAGGCTGAGGCAGGAGAATCCATTGAACCCGGGAGGCGGAGGTTGCGGTAGGGAGAGACCGCGCCACTGCATTCCAGCCTGGGCGACAGAGCGAGACTCCGTCTCAAAAAACAAAAAACAAACAAGCAAACAAAAAAAAGGCAACGATTGCACAGATTTTCATCAGGTTAACAGAGTGTTTGTGATGGTTTGACTTGAAATATAAGCTATGTTGCTTACATGAAGTTCCCTTTAAAGGGGCTCCAGGGCTCACCTCAAAGGATAAGGAGAGATCATTTAAAATAGCCGACAAGGGTACAACGAATGAGTCTCCCATGATCCGGAGACCCGCTCTGCTCACTGAGATTACTAACCATGGTCAGAGAAAACAAACAATTGCAGATACGAGACATAATTTTTTTTGAGACGGAGTCTCGCTCTGTCGCCCAGGCTGGAGTGCAGTGGCGCGATCACGGCTCACTGCAAGCTCCGCCTCCGAGGTTCATGCCATTCTCCTGGCTCAGCCCGGAGTAGCTGGGACTACGGGCGCCCACCACCACGCCCGGCTAATTTTTTGTATATTTAGTAGAGACGGGGTTTCACCGTGTTAGCCAGGATGGTCTCGATCTCCTGACCTCGTGATCCGCCCGCCTCGGCCTCCCAAAGTGCTGGGATTACAGGCGTGAGCCACCGCGCCCGGCCCGAGTCATAATGTTTTTAATCGTAGAGGCTGATGGTCAATTGAGTTCTTCCCACGTGGACAATTCCGTGAAGCCTGCTCTGACGTTAGGAGCAGCAGCGATTTCTCTTTAAAGCTGGTTAATGATTCCCTCCCGTAACTCCGGGTGGCCAGCTTGTACTTAAATAATTGTAAAAATGCGGACTGAGGTGGCATGCCTTTTTGGCCCTTTGCACACGGCTGGCCTATGTCGTTTATTAATTGGGAGGCAGTGTCATTGTGTAAATCCCCTTATTCCTAGCGGGGTCACGGTCTGAGTTTGAACGCGCCCCTCCGCAAGCATCTGTCACGGGCCAGATTAAAGACTACATTTCCCAAAGGCCCTCGCGGATCCCACCCTTCTCCCTCCCTTTCCGGTTTTACACATAGGCCCCGCCCCCAACGCGCGTGTCGGCCAATAGCGGCCCCACCTCTCGCGCCCGGCAAAAATAGGACGCGGGCGGGAACGTTTCGGGGTCCGCGGGGGCGGGGCCTGTGGCCAGGGGTTGGTCTTTGGAATCGGAGAGGCAGATTCGCTGCTCCGCAGCACGGCCGGAGCTGGTCGGGTCAAGAGTCGGGATTTGTGGGGAGAGGTTTTCCACTGGTCAAGAGAAGGCTTTAAGAAAGACGGTATTAATCTCCCGTTGCGGCTCCCGCCTGGTCCCATCTTCTGCCCGCTCCTCCAGGAAATGAATCTGCTGCCGAATATTGAGAGTCCAGTGACTCGGCAGGAGAAGATGGCGACCGTGTGGGATGAGGCCGAGGTGGGCACCGGGCGAGCTGGCGGTCCGGGAACCGGGGCCCGCAGGGAGACGCCATTGACAAGAGGGAAGGAGGTGGCTGGGGGTCAAGGTCTGGCCCGATCCCGGGGACGGGGTTGTTTGGGATGTGGGCAGGGGTCCTGACTCCATCCTGGTTTTATGGGCGTGGAAACTGAGGCTGTGAGTGGGTTCGGAGAACGAGGGATGCTTGTCCTGAGTAAAAGTAAATATATAAATAAACAAATAATTTTTTACAGCAAGATGGAATTGGGGAGGAGGTGCTCAAGATGTCCACGGAGGAGATCATCCAGCGCACACGGCTGCTGGACAGTGAGATCAAGGTGGGCGCACAGCTCCTGTGCGGGCGATGGAGCCCCCACAGGACAGGCCCCGGCGATCCGAGTCGCCTCTCGTACTTCCTAATCGGGCACCCTGGGGGAGACATGGGGCTCGGGCTTCCCCCTCATATCAGGAAGAGAGGAAAGAAAACTAAGCCTTAAAAGGGACAAGAAGACAGGTAGGGGGTGGTGGGAGGCCTGGGCTGAGATGAGAAGTTATCAGATTGCCTTTCCCAGTGAGAACTGGGAATAATCCTCTCAAGAATCCTTCTTTTAGTAAAATGCCTATTTTACAGATGAGGAGACAGGCCCAGAGAGGTTTGTACTGCGATAAAGCACCCAGTTCTTACTATGAGGCAGAACCTAAAACCTATGTTTGCCTCTCTCGGAGGCCTGCTTTTATTCCAATACTACCACTATTTCACCAGGAGGTTTCCAAACTGGCCTCCTCTTTTGACTTCTGCAGGATGTGGACACAGTCAGACTCTGCCTTCAGAGAGCCTCAGAGCTGGATGAATGGATGCGGGAGGGTCCCCTGGGCACCCTGGACCTCACTAGTTACAGGGCTCTAGCATAAGCTGTGCCAGGGTTTATATTTGCTTCTCCTCCCCTCCTGATCTCAGATCATGAAGAGTGAAGTGTTGAGAGTCACCCATGAGCTCCAAGCCATGAAGGACAAGATAAAAGAGAACAGTGAGAAAATCAAAGTGAACAAGACCCTGCCGTACCTTGTCTCCAACGTCATCGAGGTGTGTGTGTATGTGGAGGGGAAGAGAGGGAGTCAGCAGGGAATGGGGACAGCCTGGGGTGGGGCCACTAGGGAAAGAGTGGGTGGAGGTATTGAGGCCAAACTGCATGTCAGAGCTACACCTCCTGGGGCACTTTCATGGGGAAGACGGGGCCTGCAAAGTCCTGGGAGGTCTCACGTGTCTCCTTTTCTGTTGGTTATGTCTCCTCCGGGGTAGATGAGCCCTGTGCAGAGGAGCAGCACCTACACAGAGATCAATCCCTGGGCTTAGCAGGGGCACCCACGTTTGGTGGGCTCAGGGCTATTGGAGGAGGGAGGTAAGGATGGCCAGCCCTGCAGGTATTAGGAACTGTCTTAGGAAGCACTGGGCCTTGGGGAGTTCAAGGAGCTGAGTATTTTTTCCTTCCCAGCTCCTGGATGTTGATCCTAATGACCAAGAGGAGGATGGTGCCAATATTGACCTGGACTCCCAGAGGAAGGGCAAGTGTGCTGTGATCAAAACCTCTACACGACAGGTGAGCGTGGCTCAGCAATGAGAGACTGGAGGAGGGTGAGGAGCGGATGTGGGACAGGACTAGGGAGCCTTCCCTGAGGACACTAACTGAGACTGCCCCTGTAACTTGTCCACAGACGTACTTCCTTCCTGTGATTGGGTTGGTGGATGCTGAAAAGCTAAAGCCAGGAGACCTGGTGGTGAGTGGGGCCTGAGCCCAGGCAGTGCTTTTCTGGTGACTAGCTGAGCCCCTGTACCCGCCCCAGGTCACTGTTGGCTCTGAATCTTGGCAGAACAGCTCCGAGAGTCTGGGATTCTGTCTACTTGCTGTTTGATTCTTGTATTGCCCAGTCCTGTGTCTTTCCCTCTGCAGACACCTGTCACCCAGTCAGTTGGGTAGCCCTTGAGCTGGGCCAAATCTGAAGGCCCTGTGCTGTGTCCTTAGGGTGTGAACAAAGACTCCTATCTGATCCTGGAGACGCTGCCCACAGAGTATGACTCGCGGGTGAAGGCCATGGAGGTAGACGAGAGGCCCACGGAGCAATACAGTGACATTGGGGGTTTGGACAAGCAGATCCAGGAGGTGAGGGAGGCACGGCAGCTGCCAGCAGCCTTGTCAGCCTTTTAGTTTCTCCACGCCATTGATGCAGCTCATCTCCCTAATGTGTCTTTCATCCTCATAGCAACCTAGGGAGGAAGGGAGGGGTGCCATGTGACAGGTGAGGAGACTGAAGCCCAGAGAGTTTAAATGCCTTGCCCAGGATCACAGAGAGACCAGAGCCAGGACTGGAGCCCAGGCTCCTGGTTCTTGGCCCAGTGTCCTTTTTTTTTTTTTTTCCGAGATGGAGTTTTGCTTTTACTGCCCATGCTGGAGTGCAATGGCACGATCTCGGCTCACCGCAACCTCTGCCTCCCGGGTTCAAGCAATTCTGCCTCAGCCTCTCGAGTAGCTGGGATTACAGGCATGCGACACCAAGCCTGGCTAATTTTAGCGGAGTATTTTTAGTAGAGACGGGGTTTCTCCATGTTGGTCAGGCTGGTCTCGAACTCCCAACCTCAGGTGATCCGCGTGCCTTGGCCTCCCAAAGTGCTGGGATTACAGGCATGAGCCACTGCTCCCAGCCCCTGGCCCGGTGTCTTTTCTGCCATATACTCCCGTTCCTGGAGAGTCCATAGCCAGCCTGGGTGGGGATGAGTGTTCTGTGTCCTCTTTTTTTTTTTTTTGTGACGGAGTCTTGCTCTGCCGCTCAGGCTGGCTGGTGTGCAGTGGCGTGATCTTGGCTCACTACGAGCTCCGCGTCCCGGGTTCATGCCATTCTCCTGCCTCAGCCTCCTGAGTAGCTGGGACTACAGGCACCCGACCACCCCGCCCGGCTAATGTTTTTGTATTTTTAGTAGAGACGGAGTTTCACCGTGTTAGCCAGGATGGTCTCGATCTCCTGACCTTGTGATCCGCCCGCCTCAGCCTCCCAAAGTGCTAGGATTACAGGCGTGAGCCACCGCGCCCAGCCTTGTGTCCTCTTGATATGGGGAAAGAAATGGGCGTGTCCCTGAGTTAGAGTAGGAGGGATGCAGATTGGGGTTGGAGCCATGAAGGGTTGGGCTGTAGAAGCCCTCAGGGCTTCATCTCCTCACCCAGGACTTCCTCCTGGCAGCTGGTGGAGGCCATTGTCTTGCCAATGAACCACAAGGAGAAGTTTGAGAACTTGGGGATCCAACCTCCAAAAGGGGTGCTGATGTATGGGCCCCCAGGGACGGGGAAGACCCTCCTGGCCCGGGCCTGTGCCGCACAGACTAAGGTGAGTACTTTGGGAGGGATGCGGGGGAAGTGGGCAGGAGCAGAAACTCTACCAGATGGGCTCAAAGGGTCTGCCTTTGACCTGACTCTACCACCTTTTCCTGCCAGGCCACCTTCCTAAAGCTGGCTGGCCCCCAGCTGGTGCAGATGTTCATTGGAGATGGTGCCAAGCTAGTCCGGGATGCCTTTGCCCTGGCCAAGGAGAAAGCGCCCTCTATCATCTTCATTGATGAGTTGGATGCCATCGGCACCAAGCGGTAAGGGAGGGCCAAGGGTCCCTAGCGATCTCTGTGGCGGTAAGGGGAAGCGGGTTGACTCTCAGTTGTGCTAAATTGTGGTTCCTTCCCACCCTGTATCCCCTCCTGCCCCTGGATGGTGGCTCCTCAACTCTTGAGATTCCAATTCCTAACTCCTGATCAATAGCCTCCCTGTTTCCCCAGCCATTCATTCCCACAGCTGCCAGCATGTTCCTTTCAAAACAGGAATCTGGGCCGGGCACGGTGGCTCACGCCTGTAATCCCAGCACTTTGGGAGGCCGAGGCAGGCGGATCACGAGGTCAGGAGATCGAGACCATCCTGGCTAACATGGTGAAACCCTGTCTCTACTAAAAATACAAAAAATTAGCTGGGCGTGGTAGCAGGCGCCTGTAGTCCCAGATGCCTGGGAGGCTGAGGCACAAGAATCACTTGAACCTGGGAGGCAGAGATTGGAGTGAGCCAAGATTGCGCCACTGCACTCCAGCCTGGTGAAAGAGTGAGACTCTGTCTCAAAAAAAAAAAAAGAAAACAAAACAAAAAAAGCCAAAGCAGGAATCTGGCCACCTCGCTCACATGAACCCACAGTGGTCCCTGACATAAACCAATCCTGTTAAAAACCCTGGCTGGGTGCAGTGGCTCACTCCTGTATTCCCTACACTTTGGAAGGCTGAGGTGGGCAGATCACTTGAGGTCAGGAATTCGAGACCAGCCTGGCCAACATGGTGAAACACATCTCTACTAAAAATAGAAAAATTAGCCGGGTGTGGTGGTGTGCGCCTGTAATTCCAGCTACTTGGGAGGCTGAGGCAGGAGAATCACTTGAACTTGGGAGGCGGAGGTTGCAGTGGGCTGAGATTGTGCCACTGTGCTCCGGCCTGGATGACAGAGTGAGCCTCTGTTTCAAAAAAAAAAAAAAAATCAAACTTTCCTGGGCCTCCCTGTTGCTCCCTGGGATAAATGCTGGAATTACAAGGCTCAACGTGTGCTGCCTTTTTGCGCCTTCACCCTCATCTCATGCCTGTCCCCAGCCTCCCCTGCTCTGGACTCCTGCCACGGTGCTTCCTGCGTTTCAGGCCCGCCGTGGCTCTTACCCTGTTCTCCACTGGTTGGTTGCCTAGCTGGTGTGCTTTCAACCTTCAGATCTCAGCCTCAGGGATACTTCCCGGGGGATGCCTGCCTGGGCTCTCCTGTACAGCACCGTCCAAGGCTGGGCCAGATACCTGTGTTTTTAAGCGTTAGCTCAGTTTGCAAGTGTACATTCATCACAGTTAACAGCCCAAGCAGTGGTTGGTTTTGCTTTTTTTTTTTTTTTTTTTTTTTTTTGAGATGGAGTCTCGCTCTGTCGTCCAGGCTGGAGTGCAGTGGCGTGATCTCGGCTCACTGCAACCTCCACCTCCCGGGTTCAAGTAATTCTGCCTCAGTGTCCCGAGTAGCTGAGATTACAGGTGGCTGCCACCACGCCTGGCTAATTTTTGTATTTTTAGTAGAGATGGGGTTTCACCATCTCACCTGGTTGGCCAGGCTGGTCTCGAACTCCTGACCTCAGGTGATAGGCCCACCTTGGCCTCCCAAAGTGCTGGGATTACAGGCATGAGCCACCACACCCAGCCTTGCTCACTGTTTTATCCTCAGCCCAGCACCTGATTCTAGGAGTCTCTTCAGTCTCTGAATGTGGTCAACAATTAATGACACTTTTTATGTGCCAGTCCCTGGGCTGGGGGCCCCAAGTTGAGTGAGCCATTTCCCTGCCCTGGACGGGTTAGGTTAGGCTTCCAGGGGGTAGAGGAGGGGAGGGCTCTGCCTAAGCTGTGCCCTCACCAGCATCTCGGGCTTCCTGTGCCCTAGCTTTGACAGTGAGAAGGCTGGGGACCGGGAGGTGCAGAGGACAATGCTGGAGCTTCTGAACCAGCTGGATGGCTTCCAGCCCAACACCCAAGTTAAGGTGAGTATTAGCACTCCCAGGCAAAGATGATGAGGCTCAGAGGTCAGGAGCTGTCAGGCCCCCAGCTAGCCAGTGGTGGAGCTGGAATGAGAATTGGGATCTGTCTTTAACATCCCATGTGTCTCACCTGCACTCTGGGGGCTGCCTCTCTGCCTTTTTTGACCGTGTCTGCCCATCTGTGAACACCTTGCTCCTTTCAAGTTGTGGCTTCTCTTCCTCAGGTAATTGCAGCCACAAACAGGGTGGACATCCTGGACCCCGCCCTCCTCCGCTCGGGCCGCCTTGACCGCAAGATAGAGTTCCCGATGCCCAATGAGGAGGCCCGGGCCAGAATCATGCAGATCCACTCCCGAAAGATGAATGTCAGGTGAGCAGGAGCACGGGCAGGGCACAGAGACCTGAACAGGCGCAGGAGGATGTCTCTGCCATGCTTCTCTGTACTGATCTTCCCCAGCCTCCACGACCACCACCTCCCAGGCCCCAGGCACACACAGCACCGTTCCACACGCCAGCCTCCGTTTCTCCTCAGTTGTGTGATGTAGCGTCTTGCCAGGGCCCATGTCGTAATTCTGGGTGCTCTGCTCCTTAGACTCCACCCCTCATCTGAAGGCACAGAGGCTGGAGGCACTTAGTTTCCTGGCCTCACACCTCAGCCCATTAACACACGCCAGGAATGGCCGGGACCAGATGGACTTGAGTTCAGATATGTATGACTCTCAGCAGGTGGCATGCCCTCTCTCAGCCTTACTTTTTTTTTTTTTTTTAATTTTTGGAGACAGTGTCTCGCTCTGTCGCCCAGGCTGGAGTACAGTGGCGCGATCTCGGCTCACTGCAAGCTCCGCCTCCTGGGTTCACGCCATTCTCCTGCCTCAGCCTCCCGAGTAGCTGGGACTACAGGCGCCCGCCACCACGCCCGGCTAATTTTTTGTATTTTTAGTAGAGACGAGGTTTCACCTTGTTAGCCAGAATGGTCTTGATTTCCTGACCTTGTGATCCGCCCACCTTGGCCTCCCAAAGTGCTGGGATTATAGGTATGAGCCACCACGCCCGGCCTCAGCCTCACTTTTCTTATTTGGGACTTGGGGATGATAGCACTGATTTCACAGGGTCGTGGTAAGGATTAGATGTGACAGTGTCAAGCGCAGTGCTGGGCACAGGATGAGGACAGTCAGTCCCTGGAGTCCCAGATGCAGATTTCTAGAAGGCCAGAGCTCAAGAGACCCTAGAAATAACCTGTTATAACCTGCATTAACTTCCTCCCTTCATCCCCCACATCTTGTACTGAGAAGAAAACAAGGCGCATTGAGTAAGGGACTTGCCTCTGATCACAGGGCAACTTGACTTTGTTGCTTGACGGGGCCAGGGGAGGATATTTGGCCCCTCTGCCCATTCCGCATAAGCCACTGAGCCTGTGGTATCTGTCCTGTCCCCAGTCCTGACGTGAACTACGAGGAGCTGGCCCGCTGCACAGATGACTTCAATGGGGCCCAGTGCAAGGCTGTGTGTGTGGAGGCGGTGAGTGGTCAGCTGGGGTGGGTGCGTTGCTTTGTGCCTTCTTGCCCCCTCCCTGGACAGGATGGGGGCATTTGGCTGGTGGAGACGGCTGAGGGAAGAGGCCTGAGCCTCAGGGAGCCAGGGAAGGCATTCAGGCGTTCAGACCTAGACTCTGTTTGTCCCGGCTGTAGGGCATGATCGCACTGCGCAGGGGTGCCACGGAGCTCACCCACGAGGACTACATGGAAGGCATCCTGGAGGTGCAGGCCAAGAAGAAAGCCAACCTACAATACTACGCCTAGGGCACACAGGCCAGCCCCAGTCTCACGGCTGAAGTGCGCAATAAAAGATGGTTTAGGGTCCCTGCCGCTGCTTGTCTGCCTTCCCTGGGCTCTGGCTGGAGGAGTGGGGGCGTGTGTGGGAGGCACCTTCCCCAGGTGCTGACGCCTGGAAACCCGGAGACAGCCGTGGGCCCCATACCACTGGTCAGGATGAGGCTTTCTGGGGCTGTGTGTGGTGCTGCAGCTGCTGCCTGGGCCTTCAGGCCCCTCAGAGCCCTCTCTCCCCGAGCACCACTCTGCTCTGAGCTTTCAGAGGCTCATGGCCCTGCAGTTCCTGCACAGAGGACCTGGATAGAAGCCACCCTTTCACTTTCGGCATTTTGGTGTCTGGCACTAGTCCTTGCCTCCTGGTAAAGCCAGGCTTGGGTTTAGGCTTTCAGCATCCTCCCTTGTTTCCTGGCCCTTGGGTCCCCTTTTCTCCAGATACCCCCTTAGCTCTTTCTCTCCCTATCTTTGGCCAAAAACTGAGCCTGAACAGGATCCACTGGGAGCCCCTCTAGGACTGGTCTGTCACGCTGTGCTCCCCTCCCCCAATTCTGCTATCTCTTCACTCCAGCTGGCCCCTTGCCTTCCCTGGGTGGCCCTGCTTGGCTTCCCACTGACTCCCCAGCCCCTGCCTCAGGAGTCCAGCAGCACAACCCCTGAAGTGCTTCTGTTTCTGTCCCCTGCCCTGGACTTGGCCGCCCCAGTCCTCCATTCCTGTTCTCTCTTCTAACCGGACAGGGCATTTGCTCCTGACCATGACACCCAAGTTCCCCCACAGGGACCACACCCACCCTGCTTTGGGTTCCTCATCTCTAAAATGGGGCCCCCGGCCTCTTCCAGTGGGCTGTGATGCTTGCACGCACTGTCTGCCATCCAGCAGGGCTTGGCACCCCAGCTAGCAGCCCTGAGCACCTGCATAGGTGAGGGGGGCAGCCGGCTGGGACGGCCATGGCTCATTCCTTGGATCTGAGGCCAGGAGTCAATGGGTCCTTGAGACAGTTATCTTACGGGATGTGTTGCAGCTAGGTGAAGCAAATACTATGTTGTTTTAAAATGTTTTGCTGATAGAAATACTGACAGCCAAGCACTCCCAGCTAAGGACATCACTGGGGTTTCACACCCACCTCTCCCACGCTCCATGACACTGCCCAGACTGCAGATCCCAGCCAGTGGGCTATTGACGGTGGTCCTGGGAGGGAAGAGGTGGACTGGACACCCCCACCCCCATTCTCTTGACAGGACTGGGGAAGGGGCGCCCTGCGCCTGGTGTTCTTATACTCCACACATTCAGAAGGGAGGGTGTGTGGTTTTGAATAAGGGTCCCATATTCTTTTTTCTTCTTTTCTCTTTCTTTTTTATTTATTTATTTTTGAGATGGAGTCTTGCTCTGTCACCCGGGCTGGAGTGCAGTGGTGTGATCTCAGCTCACTACAGCCTCCGCCTCTGGGTTCAAGCAATTCTGCCTCAGCTTCCTGAGTAGGTGAGATTACAGGCACGTGCCACCGCGCCTGGCTAATTTTTGTATCTTTAGTAGAGACAGGGTTTCACCTTATTGGCCAGGCTGGTCTCGAACTGCTGACCTCGCGATCCCCCTACCTTGGCCTCCCAAAGTTCTGGCATTACAGGCGTGAGCCACCACATCCGGCCTTTCTTTTTTAAGCGAATGAGAGCTTAATTTCACTGAGGCCAAACCTAGAGATGACTTTGTGGCTGGAGCTCCCTTCCCTGATAACATTTTCAGTCAAGGTGGAATGGGGGGCAGGTGGGGAAAATGCTCCAGCTTTCAGGTCTATAAGGACAGCACTAACTGGGTGCGGTGGCTCACACCTGTAAGCCCAGCACTTTGGGAGGCTGAGGCGGGCAGATCACAAGGTCAGGAGTTCAAGACCAGCCTGGCCAATATGGCAAAACCCTATCTCTACTTTTAAAAAAAAGCCAGGCGTGGTGGCACACACCTGTAAATCCCAGCTACTTGGGAGGTTGAGGCAGGAGAATTGCTTGAACCCAGGAGGCGGAGGTTGCAGTGAGCCAAGACCGCACCACTGCACTCCAGTGTGGGTGACAGAGTGAGACTCTGTCTCAAAAAAAAAAAAAAGATAAGGACAGCGTCCTGGAGTTTGTGGTGGTGAGGGGCTAAAATGGCATACGGCCAGGCTCATATAGGTGCTCAGTCATTGGAATAAAAAGTTAAGCCAGGAAGACATGGAACGTTCAGAGATGCACTGGGGTGACAGTTCAGAGACAAGGGCCTGGCAGTGGCAGTAAGGAAGGCCCTGCCTGGCCATGGAAGGCCGTGCAGAACCAAGGCAGCCAGTATGTGGATAATATTTATTTGTATCTTATCTATAGAACAAATATTTACAGATACAAACGGAATCACAGCAAAGTTGCTATAAAACCATCCAGACCTCTCGATGGCCACTTCTGAAAACATCCACGGTGAAGGGCAGGGCCAGGCCTGGCTGTGGAGTGGGCCAGCTGAGTACCTGGGCGTCAGCCAAGGGAAATGGTTGGGGATTATGGCTTCAGCACTCTGCCGGAGCACATTCCTGAGCGCTGACAACGTGGAGCCCTCACCGCCCCCACCTACCCCAACCTCAATGGGGAAGGAAAGGGGCCTGAGCTGGGCAGGGCTGCCCGGGCTCACTATGTGCCTGCTCCAGGAGTCCCTGGCCCCTGTGCTGGCAGGAGCATCCCTGAGCTGGACCGGGAGGCCTCTCTGGCCTGGGGCTGCTCCCTGCCCGGCAGGCTGCTGTTTGGCAGCTGGAGGTGGCAAGAGCTGCTGGTGCTGCCAGGGCGTGTTGGCCAGGAATGAGCTCCCAGGGCAGCCCTGAGGAAAGGGTCTTAGGAAGCGCCTCCCAGCTCACTACTAGGAGCTGGGGACTGTCAGTGCTGAGTGGGGCTGGGGTACAGGAGCACCTGCCTCTCCTTTCTTTGGCTTAGAAGTGGGGAAGGAAGGGCCAGGAAAAGGGACCAAAGCCGCCCCAGCCTTGGCCCCTAGGCCGCCTGGGGACTGTGTGTGTGCTGAGGGGGCAGTGGGAGGTGGGCAGCTCTGGAGTTCCCTGCACCCTGGATCCTTGGGCTGCTCTCACTCCCGGGGTCCCAGCAGGGCAAGGCCTCTGCTTGGGACCAGTGCTGCTCTTCCTCGCTGCTTACTCCGGGAGGTGAAGGTGACAGGGCGGCAAGGAGAGGTAACCACAGCATGGCTGGGGACAGGCGCTACACTGGGCCCCGGACCCAGCACAGGGATCACAGTGTCGGTCTCGCGCACACACCTCTGGCCACATGTGCACACCACATACATCCACACGCACCTCCCTCCTGTCTGGCGGGAGGCTCATTCTCTCTCGCAGCCACTCGCCCTCTCTGCCTCTCACATATGCGGTCACAGAGTGAATCCGAGCATCTTATTGCTGCAGGGGGCAGGGGCGTCGGCATCAGGGAAAGTTAATCCACGAAGAGCGAGAACAGCACCATTACCACGATGCCCGCACAGAGCAGAAGCAGCTGCTGCAGGGAGCGCCTGTGGGGAGGGAACGGCTCACGGTGGAGGCATGGGCAGGGGGAGCAGGCAGCGGCCAGGAGCCCTTCCCTCCTGAGCCCCTAAGGGCCCTGTGAGTGGCAGTCCTCTTCCTCCAACAGGTCACTCACCACGGGTCCTCTTCTTCCAAGAGGTCAGGGAGCACGTTCACCAAGGCGATGTAGAGAAAGCCGCCAGAGGTGAAGGGCAGGACCCAGGCTGCCGTCTCCTCTGCAGCGGGAGAACACCCAACTGGGTACCCAAGGCACTGTGTGTGCTCCCCACCTCCCGGGCCTGGGGACCAGCAGTGCGGTAGCCACACCCTTTGGCTGGTGCCCCTCTGCTGATGCCACCCGCCACAACCACCCGCCACGCCCGTACCTACTCCCTTGGGGGACTGGGTACAGATGGCGAAGCCAGCGCCCAGTAGGCCCCCCAGCGCTGTTGAGAGTTGCAGCTTGGCTGCGCTCCATCGGTCAAAGCCGGCCCGGAGCAGGATGGCAAAGTCGCCCACCTGAAGGGAGGTCCAGAGGTTCACCCTGCGCCCCAGCGGGGCCTGATGCCCTGAGTGCTCAGGTACGATATACACACTGAGCCCCCTGCCCTTCCCCACCCTTCCCCTGGGACCCCCATCCTGAGTATGGCAGAGATGGCAGCTGCAGGCTGCTGGGGTGAGGAGCTCCAGCCCTCACAGCCCAGCCCCAGAGTGCCATGCTGGACAGGCCCAGCCCCACACCCTCCTGAGCTCCACACCCATGCTGATCATGGGCACTGTGGGGGCCTGGGCCCCTGGGGGCTGCCCTACAAGCGCTCACCTCATGGGGGATCTCATGCAGGAGGATGGCCATGGTTGTCAGGAGCCCGATCTGCAGGGAGGGGAGCCGTGGCTGCGGGGTCTGTGTTGAGGGCTGAGCACCCCACTCGCCCACTCATTCCACAGAGGTTTACTCTGCTCTGAGCTGGCTCTGGGTGGGCACTGTGTTGGCCACTGGAAATACAGCAGTGACTAAAGGGGACAAGGAACCTGCCTTCACGAAGCTAGCGGTATAGAGGGGAGAGACAGGACTCACTCACACACTCACAGGCGCTGGGAAGGAAAGGATGGATAGAGTGCCCAGGGGAGCAGGCCCAGGAACCAAATTTAGATGAGGAGGTCAGCAAAGGCCTGGTGGAGGAGTCCATGTAAGTCGAGGCCCCAAGGATGAGTCGTCAGCCGCTCGAAGCGTGGGCGGGAGAACATTCCAGGCAGGGGGAACAGTGTGAGGTGGGAAAGATCTCGGCCAGCTGCAGAGTAGGCTGCCTCTGGGCCAGAGGCCAGAGGCCAGAGGGAGGAGGTAGAGGAAGAAGCATCTAGGAGCAGGCAGGGGCCACGCCTAGCAGCTTGACAGAGGCACCCAACAAGGAGTACTGGGAACAGGAACAGACCAGGGGCTCAGGATCAGAGAACAGTGGCGGCCAGGACAGCAGCAGGGAGGATGGGGGATGAGAGCCTTAGATGAGGGCGCTGGCAATGGAGGGGCAAGAAGCAGAGACTCCAGACACAGGTGGAATCCACATGGCTGCCACTGGAATCGCCAGAGCCCCACTGGCCCCAAGCCCCTCACCTTCTTGCTCACAAGGAAGCTGGCAGCCACAGCCAGCCCGTGGGTGAAGTTATCGATGGTGTTGGCCAGCAGGTTGAGGTAGCCGCTGACCTGGGAAGGAGGGAAGGCAGGAGGCAGGGCTGAGTGGGGCTGGCCACTCAGGGCAGTACGGCTGCAGGGGCCCTGAGCAGGCCACTCACTTTGATGCTCCGGACCACGGCACCGAGGCCGGGCTCTGCAGCCGGCTGGGCCAGACAGTGGCCTCCATTGAGCGCGGCGGCAGCAGCAGTGGGGTCTTTGTTGGGGGCCTAGGGCCAGGAGAAGGAGGGAGAGGTGACATTAGATGCCCCCCACTCAGCCAGGGCAGACAGAAGGGGAGAGAGATGGAGAAAGAGAGACGGGGGCTGGGTGCAGTGGCTCATGCCTGTAATCCCAGCACTTTGGGAGCCCAAGGCAGATGGATCACCTGAGGTCAGGAGTTCGAGACCAGCCTGGCCAACATGGTGAAACCCCACCTCTACTAAAAATACAAAAATTAGCTGGGCGTGGTCCCAGCTACTTGGGAGGCTGAGGCAGAAGAATTGCTTGAACCTGGGAGGTGAAAGCTGTAGTGAGCCGAGATCGCGCCACTGCACTCCAGCCTGGGTGACAGAGCGAGACTCTTCTCAAAAAAATAATAATAATAATTGGGAGGCTGAGGTGGGTGGATCAAGAAGTCAAGAGATCGAGACCATCCTGGACAACATGGTGAAACCCCGTCTCCACTAAAAATACAAAAGTTAGCTGGGCATGGTGGCGCGCACCTGTGGTCCCAGCTACTCGGGAGGCTGAGGCAGGAGAATCGCTTGAACCCGGGAGGCAGAGGTTGCCGTGAGCCACGATCGTGCCACTGCACTTCAGCCTGGGTGACAGAGCGAGACTCCGTCTCAAAAAAAAAAAAAAAAAAAAAGATAGGAACCCCTGTTTTTTCTAGCTAGAATCCTCTGCTGCTATATCAGTTGGGTGCCCCCAAACTCAACAAACCCTCCCCAACTGCTGTCACCATCAGGCTACCAGAACAAGCTACATCAGGGGCTAATGGTGTCAGTCCCAAAGAAGGTGGCCCAACCTCCCGCAGCTCCCAGGAGAGGGCCAGGAGACCCCTCTTTTCAGGGCTCAACTCAGACCCTGGGCCTCCAGGCCCCGGGCACTACCACAGAACAGAGGCTGATATATCCAGGCCCTTGAGTGTGGGGCCCACCTGGCTGGTCCCCTCCTCCTTGCTGTCCAGGAACATCTTCTCCAACGCCAGGAAGGTCAGGATGCCAGCAATGACCCACAGCCCCAGCTGTTGCTGCTGCTGCAGGCTCTGCCCCTCACCACCTGCAGGGGGCGGCAATGCCAGGCCAGGCCAGGCCAAGCCAAGCCAGGGCCATAGGAGGGGGCCATTTGGAATGGGATCTCATCCAGGGCACCAGGGCAGTGACAAGGGTGGGTTGGGCAGCTGGGGCCCAGAACTCCCACTGGGACCAGGGCCCAGAGACCAGGACAATGACCCTCCCTCCCTCCCAGGCAAGCTCCTGCCAGAAACCCAGAATCCCTCTCCTGGTCATCCTGGCCATCCCTGGGCGTGGGCACCAGGCCCCCACTCCTGGCACTGTCTTGCCCCTGGCGTGTGGCCTCACTTACCAGGGCTGGCGCTGCACGTGTAGGCCCAGGCTTCGGGCAGCAGATGCAGAAACACATTGCCCAAGAGTCCCCCCAGGGCGAAGCTGAGCAGCTGCTTCAGGCGCCAGGCCCCAGCTACAAGGGAGAGATGCGGGGTCTGGGGGCTGACTGGCTGGAGCTCCTGGCCTGACCTTCATCCCACCCCACTCACTGGGCTCTTTCTGGGCCTGCAAGGCTGGATATGGGTGGCTGCTCTTCCTGGGTCCCCCACCTCACAGCAGAAACACCACACCCTGCCAAATGCCCACAGGGCCACCACCATGTCATGGTGAAGAGCTGACAGGTCCCAGCTCCCAACCCACTAGCTGGTGACCTTGGCAGATGACTTTGGAGACTCGGTTTCTCCATCTGTAAATTGGGTCTTATGGGAATTATTATTTTATCTTGTTTTGTTTTGAGATGGAGTCTCGCTCTGTTGCCCAGGCTGGAGTGCAGTGGCGTGATCTTGGTTCACTGCAACCTCCATCTCCCAGGTTCAAGCGACTCTCCTGCCTCAGCCTCCTGAGTAGCTGGGATTACAGGTGTGTGCCACCACATCCGGCTAATTTTTGTATTTTTGGTAGAGACGGGGTTTCATCATGTTGGCCAGGCTGGTCTCGAACTCCTGACCTCAGGTGATCTGCCCACCTCAGCCTCCCAAACTGCTGAGATTACAGCTGTGAGCCTTTTATGGGCTCTTATGGGAATTAAATGACAATATGTACAGCAAGTGCTCATTACGTGGGAATTTTTCTCTTCTCAGCTGCTGTCACTCTCAGAAAAGTGGCAGAGATTTGGGGACTTGCAGCATCCAGGGTTGGAAGTCGCCTGCCTGAAAGCCATGTCCAACCCTTTGGCTTGATAGAGAAACTGAGGCCTAGAGGACAGAGGCAGCTGGGTTTGGGGTGGGATCCCAGGGGAAACTGCTATTTCCTGGCTGGGTGACCTTGGACTGGTCAAAGAACCTCTCTGTGCCTGTGCATCCCCACTTGTAAAATGGAACTAATAATCCAGGTGCTCCCTGCACTGACCCCGCAGGGCTGCTCTGAGGGTTGAGCACAGGCCTGACCATGGCCCAAGCAGGGCTCTATTCACAGCTGTGGCACCGCCCTCAGCCCAGTGCCTGGCACAGAGCTGCTGGGTAACCATCTGGTAAGTGAATGGTTCCTGAGCATCCAGCTGGCAGCACCAGCCCCTGGGATGCTCGTTTCTAACAGATTCCCAGGGCCTTGGTCCACCCCTCTTAGGTGGGGGATAGGCACGTGCATTCTTAGCAGCTCCCTAGAGCTCTCCTGCGTGTTTTGTTACAACATGTTATTTGTGAACGGGCAGTACATGCTCATGGTACAAAAGGGTAGTCAGGACAAAGCTCCCACCCGTGCCCACATCCCCATCTCCTAGACCCCCTCCCCAGGGGCAGGCCCTGCTACCAGGTGCTCATAGCTTCCTGGGGAAGCCAGAGCCAGCCGCCCCTGGCTAGATAGCTCCTACAGGACCAAGGGGAGAAGTTCTATTCTATCCTCTCCCTCCATCTCAGACACTCTGTGACCTGGGGTCTCCTAAGAAGAGCAGCAGCATGCTTCCCACACCCTGGCCAGCCCTGGGCGCCACCGGAGAGTCACCTACCTTCTGAGCGCAGCATGGTCCCCATCTCTAGGGGAATGACAAGCAACGGGAAGACCCCACTGAGCCCCACCATGAGGGAACCCAGGAGGGAGCAGATCCAGGTGTCCAGCCGCTCTCCGCTCAGCAGAGCCCCCCAGGACTCGCTTTCCTTGTTGTCCAGGCGACAGGCCGTCGCAGTCCCCCGGCTCCGGAGGGCCGGCTGGGAACCCCCAGCCCTTTCCAAGAGCTCCAGGGCAAGGGCAGTGAGGAAGAGGAGCCTTGGGCCCGCCATGCCACAGCCAGGGCAGGGACATCCAGGCATGCCACGTACTGAAAAACACAAAAGGCCACCTATATGAGCTACAGCCTTGGCCGCACACCTGCTTAGGAAACGTGGCGCCTCCCTCCTCCCCGCAAGGGACCCTGGCATCCACCCTCCTGCTGTCCTTGCCAGAGCGTCTGAGCATCCAAATGCTGGGTGCACAGCAATGGGGCCCTGTGTCTCCACACCCTACTCCTGAGCACTGCGTATTTTTTCCTTCTGAGCAGCTCCAGACTGTGTCAGCACCTCCGCCTGAGGCTAAACTTTCCCTAATGACAGGGTGAGGCGCTGGCTGGCTCTCCTCAGCCACCGGCGGCACGGCCCGGCCCAGCTGGGTGTCTCTGGCTGCCAGGGGAGGCCCTGCCGCCCGCGACACCCCAGAGACTGAGGCACCCCTTCTAAGGGGATGGGGTGGATTCAGAGAGACATACGTGGGGAAACTGAGCAGATGAGCCAGGGCAAGACCATCCACGCTTCTTCCTAGGACATGAGACCAATGTCCCCAGGGCACTGAGGGCAACAGGAGATGGGGCTGATGAGGAAGGAGCCTTTAGCCAGGGGATGCCTCTCTCTTGTATAGCGCAGGCTTTAGAGCCCCCACGGTGAATTCTATGCTGCACTTTGAGCTGTCTAACTCTGGGCAAATCTCTGAAGCCCCCCCTCTGAGCCTCAGTGCCCTCATCTGCAGGACAGGGATCAATATCACCTGCCTCAGCTGTGAGGACGAGATAAGCCTGAAAGTGCAGGTGGATGTACCCGGCATGAGGAGGCGCAGAGGCCCTGCCTGTGCCAGGGAAGGCCTGGGGCTCCCTGCAGCAGGAATGTGCCCAGCCGGCCGATCACAGGATGTGGACGTGAGTCAACCAAGCGAGAAGTTCCATCTGGAAACTCGGGCATGAGGTTTAAATGTGGTCTGCTCTGCCTCAGGCTGGCTGTGACCTTGAGCTGGTGATGTCCCTGCCTCAGTTTCCTCACCTTCTGATGGAGATGGGAGGGGAAGAAAGCAGCTGCCTCTGGGTGGTGGCAGAGATGCCCATGTCTAGGACCTCCAGGCCTTAACTAATCAGGGGCACTGATGAAGCCAGCGGGGCTCCACTGGGGACCACAGGCAAGACTGGGCCAGGACGAGGCGGTCACGCAGAGGTGAGGGGACCACAGGCTAGCGGGAGGGAATACACGGAGAGTCCAAGGGGAGAGGAAAGTAGAGAGTGAGAGAGCTAGAGAGAGGCGGGTGGGACGCGGAGAGGACAGCGAGGGAGGGATGGGGCGTGGGGCGCGGAGCGATGGGGGAGAGGAGGCCGAAGCGGGCGAGCCTGACTCCCGGGTCCTGGGAGCCGGCCCAGGTCTGATGAGGACCAGTCGGACGGGGCGAGGGATCGGCCGGGTCCATCACGCCCGGGGCGCGGGCCCCGAGGGTCCTGCTGGCACTCACCGTGCGGCGGCGGCGGCGGCGATCCGGGCGGCCCCAGCCATCCAGCTGCGGTGCCGCGCCCCGCCCAGGCTCTGCCCCGCCCGGCCGCCCGGCCGCCCGGCCCCCGGCCCGGGGCCGCCCCCGGCGCGCGGCCACGTCACAAGGGGCCTGTCCGGAACCCGAGGCGCCGCGTGCCGCGGGGTCGGGGGGAGTGGCGGCGGGAGGGCGCTTCCGCCTCGCGGCGGTGGGGGACCCGGGTAGAGGGCGCACTTCCGTTTGGGCAGGGCTGCGGGCCGGAGGGGAGGGTCGGTCGGAAGTGAGAGAGCCACACGCACCGCGCTCAGCCAGGCTGGGCAGGGACGGAAGCGGCGGCTCTGCGGGGACCGCGATCGACCAGGCTGCGGGGCTTGCGGATCTGGCCGCCGCTTCCCGTCCAGGGCCGCAGTCTGCCCGTGGCCGCACGGGGGCGCGCCCGGCCGCCAGACCACGCCGCCCAGGTCGGGCTGGGAGGACTACTGTGCGCTCCTGCTCTGAGTCAGCCCGGCCTGGCTCCTCCATGAGCAAGGGAAAGGGGAAGTGCCTGCCGCAGGGAGGGGCCTGGCCCCGGGAACCTCAGAAGAGGGAATTTTATTCTTACTCATCGAATTATTTTTATGCTTTGGTTTTTCACTGGGAACCTCAGGCCACTGTCTCCAGGGCTTGTAACCCTTTGGGGTCCAATGCATGGTGGCTGGACCCTGCTGATGGGAACTCCAAACCTGGGAGGCGAGGGCTCTGTGCTTCCCTCACCTGGAGGAAGCTAGACCTGACCTCTTTGGTTAGACTAAGGCAGCAAACACTGGATAGCAGTTCTTATAACCGCAATTTACTGACCACCTACTATGTGCTATTCACTTTACTCGCACTATCTCACTGAATCCTCATATTATCCCATTGTGGTGGGTACTGTTAGCCCAGGGTCACACAGTGGCACAGATGGCAGAGCCAGGATTCAAACCTGGGTGTCCTGAAGCCAGAGTATGTGATACCACTTCTCACGTCTAGGTCCTGAACAGCAGTGGGAGTCTGGCTTGGCGTTTCGAGTTTGTATTCTTCTCTGGAAATCAGCCAGTACAGGAGAAGATTCAGGAAGGGGCATGTGGGTACTCACTTGGGCAGAGATAGCGACTGAGTACAGGTCTCTTAAGTCTCTGACCCTCATCAGCCTCCCATGGCAGCTCCAACCATTTACTCTGTCACTTTCCCCTCTGCTGGGGCTCTTGAGAGCACACTCAGCTCTCAGGGCTGCCTCTGGTGCCTGTCCCACTTCATGTTGCACTGTTGGCCTTCCTTAGACCGCCAACTTCTCCCTGGTGGCCCAGCTTGTCTTCTGAAGCTTTCTGTCCATCTCACCCCACCGGGCCCATACAACTGCCAGGACGTTCTGTTCCCTCCCTGAGTTCCAAAATGGAATCCCTGGGTTAGTTTCTTGGCAAAGAAAAGCTACTCAGGGATCCTGCCCTAGGACTTCTAAAATGCCCCCCTCCCTGTATGCAAAAGCGCTCCATCTTATGCAAAGCACTTCACAATATGCAAATGATTTCACAATAACACAGTCAGCATTCCTGCCTCTGGAGGCTGAGCGCTCCTGGCCACCCAACAAGGGGATGGGCAAGACCCAGCCAGAAACGTTACTTGGTGCCAATGCACTACCCTTTCCTCCCACCTGGCCTGGAATTCCCATCGGATACCTAAGGCCCGGTGGCTCACATCTGTAATCCCAGCACTTTGGGAGGCCTAGGAAGGAAGATCTTTTGAGCCCAGGAGTTCCAGACCAGCCTGGGTAACAAACTGAGAACTGGTCTCTACAAAAAAATTTAAAATTAGTCAGGTGTAATGGTGCGCACCTGTAGCCCCAGCTACTCAGGAGGCTGAGGTGGAAGGATTGCTTGAACCCGGGAGGTCAAGGCTGCAGTGAGCCCTGATCGTGCCACTGCACTCCAGTCTGGGTAACAGAGCGAGACCCTGTCTCAAAAATAAAAAAATAAAAAAAATTACAAATTAATAAAATTGCAGGGGTTTCCAGGTGTGTGAGAAAAGTGAGATGCAGAAATATTTATTTAATATGATCCACTATTTTTATTTTTTAAGAGACTATTTTAAAATAATGACAAAAAGAAACCTTGTATATGTGTATGTGATTAAAGGTATCAGTATATATAAGTCTATGTATAATGAATACATAAAAAACATAGATAACACATTAAAGTGATATTATGGATTCTATGGTGGGAGGAACTAATGTGAATAGGGAAGGAAAAAATGTTAAAGGAAAACAACACATTAAAAGATGTGTATGGCCATATATGGCTGGGCATGGTGGCTTATGCCTGTAATCCCAGCACTTTGGGAGGCCAAGGTGGGCAGATCACCTGCGGTCGGGAGTTCAAGACCAGCCTGACCAACATGGAGAAACCCCCTCTACTAAAAATACAAGATCAGCCAGGTGTGGTGGCGCATGCCTGTAATCCCAGCTACTCGGGAGGCTGAGGCAGGAGAATCGCTTGAACCTGGGAGGTAGAGGTTGCAGTGAGCCGAGATCGCGCCATTGCACTCCAGCCTGGGCAACAAGAGCGAAACTCCATCTCAAAATAAATAAATAAAAGGTGTATATGATCACATGTATGCAATGTGTAAAATTGTATACATATATCAAATCTCATCTCAGATATATGAAAATCTCACTATATAAAATCTCTTTCTCTTTCTCTTTTTTTTTTTTTTTTTTTTGAGACAGGGTCTCACTCTGTCACCCAGACTGGAGTATAGTGGCATGATCTCGGTTCACTGCAACCTCCGCCTCCCAGGCTCAAGTAATTCTCCAGCCTCAGCCTCCCAAGTAGCTGGAATTATAGGCATGGGCCACTACTTCCCGGCCAATTTTTGTAGTAGAGACAGGGTTTCACCATGTTGGCCAGGCTGGTCTTGAACTCCTTACCTCAAATGATCCACCCGCCTCAGCCTCCCAAAGTGCTGGGATTATAGGCGTGAGCCACTGCACCTAGCCTCTGTCTTTCTCTCTCTCTCTCTCTCTCTGGCTTACCTCTTGGTGTCTTGGTGGTTAAGACAATACGATTCTTTGTTTTGTTTTGTTTAGAAAGAAGATAAAAGGGAACAGAAGAGAAAATTCAAAAGGTGAATATAACAAATTTTTTTTTAACTCTGTCACCCAGGCTGGAGTGCAGTGGTGTGATCACAGCTCACTGCAGCTTCGATCTCCTGGGCTCAAGCAATCCTCTCGCCTCGGCCTCCCAAAGCACTGGGATTATAGGCGTGTGCCACTGTGCCCATTCAAGACAGTAAGATTCTGATGCCAGACTTCCTGGGACAAATTACTTAACTCCTTATGCCTCAGTTTCCTCATCTCGAAATTAGACTTAGATGTTGTTGTGAAGATTAAATGGATAAATACAGACAAAGCACTTAGAACTATGCCTGACATATGGGAAGTTTTATATAGAGCTAGAAATTAATGCTGTTTATATGTATGGATATATGGGTATAAAAATATTAAAGCAACATAAAGAATAGCTACATTAAAGATACAGAGTGGGGACACCCTCTCTCCTTGCTAAGCATAAGAAAGTGTTTTTTTGTTTTGTTTTGTTTTGTTTTTTGAGATGGAGTCTTGCTTCGTCACCCAGGCTGGAGTTCAGTGGCGCGATTTCGGCTCACTGCAACCTCTGCCTCCCAGGTTCAAGCAATTCTTCTGCTTAAGCCTTCTGAGTAGCTGGGACTATAGGCACTCACCACCACGCCCAGCTAATTTTTTATATTTTTAGTAGTGACAGGGTTTCACCATGTTGGTCTCGAACTCCTGACCTGGTGATCTGCCCGCCTCCGCCTCCCAAAGTGCTGGGATTACAAGTGTGAGCCACCGCTCCCGGCCTGTTTTGTTTTTTGTTTTTTGTTTTGTTGTTGTTGTTTGAGACGGAGTCTTGCTCTGTCACCAGTCTGGAGTGCAGTGGCACGATCTTGTCTCACTGCAGCCTCCACCTCCCGGGTTCAAGCCATTCTCCTGCCTCAGCCTCCTGAGTAGCTGGGATTACAAGCTCCCGCCACCACTCCCGGCTAATTTTTTTATTTTTAGTAGAGACGGGGTTTCACTATGTTGGCCAGGCTGGTCTTGAACTCCTGACCTTGTGATCCGCCCGCCTCAGCCTCCCAAAGTGCTGGGACTACAGACGTAAGCCACCAGGCCCGGCCTGTTTTTTTGTTTTTGAGTTGGAGTCTTGCTCTGTCACCTAGGCTGGAGTGCAATGGTGTGATCTCAGCTCACTGTAACCTCCGCCTCCCAGGTTCACGTGATTCTTATGCCTCAGCCCCCCGACTACAGGCACCCACCACCATGCCCGGCTAATTTTTGTATTTTTGGTAGAGACGGGGTTTCAACATGTTGGCCAGGCTGGTTTTGAACTCTTGACCTCAGGTGATCTGCCCTCCTCGGCCTCCCAAAGTGTTGGGATTACAGGCGTGAGCCACTGCACCCAGCCACAAATGAGTGTTTTCTGACATATTTATCAGTTGGTTTGGAGGCCATAGGGTTTTCCTGGGTTGAAGCACTGGACAAACTTCAGCAGAGCTGGATGGGCCTGGGTACTGCGTGGCTCTAAGTGGCTGAGAGGTGTCTGGGATCAGGGAGCCACAGATCTATTTCTCTGACTTCACTGCAATGCCCAGAATCTGACTTTAACCCCTTGTTCCTGTCTCTGGCCCCTGCAAGACTGGCTGGCCTGGCAATGGCCAATGCTTTGACATCCTTCCCTCCACTCTGGCAATCGAGGGCTAGAGACTTGGGCTGGGGATGGATACTTCCAGAGTGTGGTCTCTAGTGAGATATCTGGCCTTATCCTTGTCACAGGGCTTCCTCCCGTGGGGGTCAGCAGGAAGATAGCAGTCTCTTATTGAAAGGCATATGGGGCTCAGGATGGTAATCACATTACGCAGGGTCACAGCTAAAAAGAGGCACAGCAGCTCCCCCAGGGCCACAGGTTCAGCTTCTCCAAAGGAGCCCTGCCCCTCTGAAACCCCTGACCCCAATCCTTTCTCAATCCTTCTTTCCAGGGTAGCCTTAGCTCCCTCATGAGTTCCTGGGGTATTTTCTCCACTGAATCCTAAGCCCTGGCTGGGCAATGCTCCAGTGACCCCACAGGGCCTCTCCCCTCTTCCCTTGCCACCAGCAGCTCCACCATGAACAGCTGAGTCCCACTACTCTCTGTCCAGCCTCTCCACTGTGGCAAGTTCTGTCACCCCCACCCCACTCTCGGCAGGCCTGGGATGTCCTTCCCCTTTCGCCATCTCAGTCGATTGAAACCTAGCCTGTTGACAAGGCCACCTCCTCCCTGCAGCCTTCCTGACCTGTCCATTCTGAAGGCTCTGCATGTCGGTGTGTCTTTGGATCCCTTAGCCTTGTCCCCTGGATACACAGGCCTCTTTCCCTGCCAGGTGTGGGCTGCTAGAAAAAGCAAGCTTTTGCCCATACTCTGAATAAAAGTTTATCCAAATCAATTTCATGTCTCCCATTCCCCTTCTCTTGTCTCAGGTGCACAAATTGGGGTGAAATCCTTGTGCGTTCTGCACTGCCCTTTTGGTCCCTGCAAGGCTCTTGTTTAATTTTTGTGTTGATTTACATCTTTCCTTACTTGTTACCCTTCCCCTATCCCATCTCCCTGTCTCCTCCTTCAGTGAAACCTGAATTTTGTGATGATCAGTCCTTTGCTTTTTATTTTTCTTTCTTTCTTTTTTTCTTTTTGAGACAGATTCTAGCTCTGTCACCCAGGCTGCAGAGCAGTGGCGCAATCTCAGCTCACTACAACCCCTGCCTCCCAGGTTCAAGCGATTCTCCTGCCTCAGCCTCCCGAGAAGCTGGGACTATAGGCGCCCACCATGCCCAGCTAATTTTTGTGTTTTTAGTAGAAACAGGGTTTCACCATGTTGGCCAGGCTGGTCTTGAACTCCTGACCTCAAGTGATTCGCTGGTCTCGGCCTCCCAAAGTGCTGGGATTACAGGTGTGAGCCACCACGCCTGGCCTTTCTTTTTTTAAAATTAGAGATTTTAATTTTAATTTTAAAATTTTTTTAAAATTGTTGCCCAGGCTGGTCTCAAGCTTCCGGGCTCACATGGTCCTCTGGCCCCAGTCTCCCAAGAAGCTAGGACTACAGGCACACACCACCACACCTGACTCTTGCTTTTATTTTTTTGATAAAGCTTTTTCTGACATATGTATGTATACCTAGACAATATTCCATTTGAATTGGCTTTTTTAAAAAAAAAACTATTTTAAGGTTTTACATTATTTAGTGAATTTAACAATTGTTTTCCTATAGGTTCTGCATAATTATTACCAAGTTTACTTCTAGATATTTTATATTTGTGGGGATATATATATATATATATATATATATATATTTTTTTTTTTTTTTTTTTTTTTTTTTTTTTGAGACAGAGTCTCACTCCGTTGCCCATGCTGGAGTATAGCACAATCTCCGCTGACCACAACCTCGGCCTTCTGGGCTCAAATGATCCTCCCACTTCAGCCTCCCAAGTAGCTGGGACCACAGGCACAAACCACCATGCTCGGCTAATTTTTTTTTGGTATTTTTTGTAGAGATGGGGTTTTGCCATGTTGCCCAGGCTGGTCTTGAACTCCTGGCCTCCCAAAGTGCTAGGGACACAGGCTTGGGCTACCATGCCCAGCCTAGAGTCTTTTATGTGGGTAATCATACCATCTCCTAATAACAAAGGTATTAGAAACAGGGAAGGAACATTGTTATTTGTAAAGATATGGCTTGGCTTGGTTTTGAACTTCATGAGAAGGGTAAGGACAGCTGTCCTTTGGCGTCCTGGCGGGGATGGGGGGGAGTTGGTTCCAAGACCCCCTGAGGATACCAAAATCCACAGATGCTCAATCCCTGATATAAAATGGTGTGGTATTAAATATTTGCATATTTAGCCTACCACATCCTCCCATATACTTTAAATCATCTCTAGATTGCCGAAAACAATGTAAATGCTATGTTAATCGCTGTTACATGGTATTGTTTGGGGAACAATGACAAGAAAAAAAGTCTGTACATGTTTAGTACAGACACAACCATCCATTTTTTTCTCCAAATATTTTCCATCCGAGGTTGGTTGAATCCATGGATGTGGAACCCAGGGATACAGAGAGCCGCAAGTATCCATCTTCTGGGACTGACTTTTTCCACTCAATACCATGGTGCAAAGATTCCTTCATGATATTGGTGAACCTGTGGGTCACCTGCTTGCATTGCTGAATGATCTCCACCCTGTGAATGTGTCTACTGTAATTTATTTATCCATTCTCTTATCAGTGGGCCCTGGGGTTATTTCAGGATTTTTTTTGCTATTAGGGACAACGTGAATATTTTTGTCCCTGTCTCTTGGCGCACTTGTCAGAGAACTTATCTTGATTTGCTGCCTGGGGGGATGTGTGGGTGACAGCCTCTGTACCTCCACTTCGTGAGATAAGGCCAGATTGCTCTCCCTAGGGGGCTATTTGGAGCCGCATCCTGACTAGCCACATGCAGGAGGGCCTGCTGCTCCCCTCCTTGCCAGCTCTGGCTGAAGGACAGTTCCCTTCTGCCCTTCAGCCAGCTCTGGCTGAAGGACAGTTCCCTTCTGCCCTTCAGCCAGCTCTGGCTGAAGGACAGTTCCCTTCTGCCCTTCAGATGGTGTAAATAGCATCTCATTGTGGTCTGAATTTGCATCGCCCTCATCAGCAGTGAGGCTGAGCCTCCCTTAGATGGTATTTGAGCAAATTCGTTTTCTCTGCCCTAACATGCCTGCGCTGCGTGTGTGTTATCTATTTTTTTATATTGGATTGCTTGATTTTCTTTTCCTTGATTTGCAAGAGTTCCTTATGTATTTTTGAGGCTATGCCCCGCTGCACTCCGCAGGCATCTCCAGTTGTGACTTCCTTTTCACTTTCTCTGAGGTGTCTCCGCTTCTCTCTCCCCCCCCCACACCTGTCCCAGGGAGGCCACTTGGCATTGTTAGTGTGGGGGGAGGTCGTGTGCCTCTCAGAGCCCTGTTTAAACTGACTCCACTGTTCCTCTTGTCCCTGGGGCCTTAAGGAACCCCTTTCCTCTTCCTTCTCAGACCCCCTCCCATTTTTGGCGAAGACAACTTAGTTTGGGGAGCTCCTATTGGGTTGTGGGCGAGTATCCCGGGACAACTCGGGCCTCACTGCAATGGTGTCCCCCCCCCCCCGTCTCGGTTATTTATCACTTCCGGCTGCCCACCTGGGGGGGCTGGGCCCCCTCTCCGCTCGACTGGGCCGCAGCCGGGCAGCTCGGGCGCTCCCCTGGGGGCGGGCGGCGCGGGGGAGGGGCCCTAGGGGGGCGGGGCCGGGGGCCGGGCCTGCGGCGGGGGCTGGAGTTGGGGGGCGGAAGCTGCCGGAGCAGATAAGGGCCGAGGTCGGCCCTGCGGTGGGACAGTGCGGGACACCGCCTCCGCCCCCGGCCTCCCCAGAGCGCCCCCGCACCCTGGAGACCCCCTCCTGCTACCCAGGCTTGGCATCCCGGGAGGAGACCCCAGGGAGCAGTGGGGGATGAGGCTCCAGCCTGCTCACAGCCTCAGCGACGAGCGGCAGCGGGGCTTCACGCCTCAGTTATCTCAGCTGGAAAATGGGGGTAGGAGCTCGGTTTTCCCCACAGGGCTGTTGGTGATGGACCAAGTGCAGGCTTGTGAAGGTCTCTGTGGGTTGGGCGAGTTTTGAACAGAGGGTCCTCTAAGCATCGCATCGCCTCATTCATCCCCATTGTATAGATGGCAAAGTGGGGAGTTTCACCCAAAGCCCCAGAGCCAGCATGCAAAAAGCAAGTGGGAGGGGGTTGGAACGCTTTCCACCGCCCCACCCTGGGGACAGATCTAGGTTCCCAGGAGCCTGAAGCTTAAAACCATTTGGGGGGGCACTCTTTAAGGAAAAGATTACAAAGTCACAAATACAAAATTGCTGAGAGGCTGGGCGCAGTGGCTCACACCTGTAATCCCAGCACCTTGGGAAGCCAAGGTGGGCGGATCACTTGACGTCAGGAGTTCCAGACCAGCCTGGCCAACATGGTGAAACCCTGTCTCTACTAAAATACACAAATTAGCTGGACGTGATGGTGGGCGCCTGTAATCCCAGCTACTCGGGAGACTGAGGCAGGAGAATCGTTGAACCCGGGAGGCAGAGGTTGCAGTGAGCTGAGATGATCGCACCACTGCACTCCAGTCTGGGTGACAGAGCTAAACTCTGTCTCAAAACAAAAAACAAAAACAAAACAAAACAAAACAAAACAGCCGTTCGCGGTGGCTCACACCTGTAATCTCAACACTTTGGGAGGCCAAGGTGGGTGGATCACCTGAGGTCAGGAGTTCGAGACCAGCCTGGCCAACGTGGTGAAATCCTGTCTCTACTAAAAATACAAAACATAAAATAAAATAATTAGCCAGGCGTGGTGGCGCTCTCCTGTAGTCCCAGCTACTCGGGAGGCTGAGGCAGCAAAATTACTTGAACCCGGGAGGCAGAGGTTGCAGTGAGCCGAGATTGTGTCACTGCATTCCAGCCTGGGCAATAGAGTGAGACTTCATCAAAAAAAAAACCAAAAAAATAAAAAACAAAAACAAAATTGCTGAGACCCCTTCCAGGGCCTCAGAAGGAGCTGAGCCAGTGAGGAAGCTCAAATGCAGCTTTCTTAGTGTCTCAGCCCCACCATGCAGGCCCCCTGGAAGGGGTTATACCCCTCTCCCAAGAAAGTCAGACACCAACAAGCTTAGAGGGCAGGGTGGCCCAAGGCAATATGTCAGGGAGGTGCCGCTGCAGCTGGTCCCCAACCCCTTGCATGCCCAGGCAGCAGTCCCTCAGCCCAACCAAGAGCAAGGGCAGTCAGGTATTTGCAGACTGCAGCCTCAGCCAGGCAGGGCCAAGCCCTCCAGTCCCATCCAGTCATGGTTCAACTTGCCACCCAGGGCCCCAACCCTGCAAGCTAGGAAGGTACAGAAGAACTCCTAGGAGAAAAGGAAGGAGGGGCTCTCAGGTATATGTAAGTGCATGGGACTTGGAGTTAGACAGGATTGGGGTTCAAGCCCCTGCAAGGCTGTGTGACCTTGGGACATCTCTTTTCCCTGGGTTTCCTCGTATGTAAAATGGGAGTAATAATCGTACCTACTGGACAGAGCCGGTGCCTGAAGGAGGGCTGGGCCCATGGCTGTTAGAAACACATTTCCCTCCTGTGAGATCTCCAGGCCAGGAGAGGCATTTTCTCCCATTTTCATGTTGTCACTTACCCAGGGGGTGGTCTCTCCATTGCAGAGCTGAGATTTAAATGCGGAAATGTCTGGTGCAGATGCACTCAGGTCTCACCACCAGGAATGCTGCCTCTTTGGGCCTGTCTCCCAGGGAGTTAAGTCCCACTGTTACGTGTTCATGCCCAGGGCTGAGAGCCAAGGGGAGCCTGGCTCATCCCCTTTCTGGATTTTATCATCTCTCTGGTCCCATGGGCACCTGAGGCTGGAATTTTTTCAACTCTGATATCCTCCAGCCTGGACCAGGAGAAGCAGGACAACTGAGAATAGGGACAGGGTAGGGGAGCTGGGAAGAGGTGGTGGCCGTGGGCCTGGAGGCAGCAGTGAGACTCTAAAAGGCTTGAAGTCTTTTTCCAAAGAGATGCTGCTTTGCCTCAGGGTTTGCATGGGACTTCCACTGGATGGGCACACAGGAAAACTGAGTTCTCATCTCAGCATTGCCCCTTTCTTTTACTTTTTTTTTTTTTTTTTTTTTGAGACGGAGTCTTGCTTTGTCACCCTGTTACCTAGGCTGGAGTGCAATGGCATGATATCGGCTCACTGCAACCTCCGCCTCCTGGGTTCAAGCTATTCTTGTGCCTCAGCCTCCTGAGTAGCTGGGATTACAGCTGCCCGCCACCATGCCCAGCTAATTTTTGTATTTTTAGTAGAGATGGGGTTTCACCATGTTGGCCAGACTGGTCTCGAATTCCTGACCTCAGGTGATCCACTTGCCTTGGCTTCCCAATGTGCTGAGATTACAGGTGTGAGCCATTGCGCCCGGCCAGTGCTGCCCCTTTCTAGCCAGCTGAGCTTGCACCTGTCAGTCCTCCCCGAGCCTCAGTTTCCTTATCTGTGAAATGGGGATGAGAATACCTGCATCGTCAAGGATTACAAGATGCTGTGTATGTAGAGTGCCTGGTGAATACCTCTAGTTATTAAGACAGTCTCGGGGCAGCAGTGGGGATGTCATGTGAGGGGCACAGAGTGTGAGCAGAACTGGGGAGTCCTGCCAAGGTGGGAGTTGGGGCCTCTAAGGTTTCTGTCCCAGAGAGGGAGCACCTTGAGGGTGGGGCTGGGAACCTCAGCTTCAGGACTCCTCCAGGTCAGGAAGGGCCAGAGGGAGGCCAGGGAGGGGCCCTGGGGGTTCTCAGAGAAGAGTGGCGAGCTGGAGTGTTCACCCCAACTCAGGCAGGTGAGAGGGGGGCGACAGGTGGGTGGCCGCAGTGTGTTGCCGGCCAAACGATTACCCCAAGGCCCCACTCCACAGCCTCATTTGTCCCTCATTGCAAACTTCTGAGCTAGGCATTTCTCCATTTGTTTATTTACTTATTTTATTTTATTTATTTATTTATTTTGAGACAGTCTCACTCTGTCACCCAGGCTGGAGTGCAATGGCATGGTCTCGGCTCACTGCAACCTCCGCCTCCCGGGTTCAAGCTATTCTCCCGCCTCAGCCTCTCAAGTAGCTGAGACTACAGGTGCGTGCCACCACACCTGGCTAATTTTTGTATTTTTAGTAGAGATGGGGTTCCACTATGTTGGCCAGGCTGGTCTCGAACTCCTGACCTCGGGTGATCCACCTGCCTCGGCCTCCCAAAGTGCTGGGATTACAGGCGTGAGCTACCAAGCCCAGCCTTTTTTTTTTTTTTTTTTGAGACAGAATCTCACTCTGTCTCCCAGGCTGGAGTGTGCAGTGGCACAATCTTGGTTCACTGCAACCTCCGCCTCCTGGGTTCAACGATTCTTCTGCCTCAACCTCCCAAGTAGCTGAGTAGCTGGGATTACAGGCACGTGGCACTGCACCTGGCTAATTTTTGTATTTTTAGCAGAGATGGGGGTTTCACAATGTTGGCCAGGCTGGTCTCGAACTCCTGACCTCAGGCGATCCACCTGTCTCAGCCTCCCAATGTGCTGGGATTACAGGTGTGAGCCACTGGGCCCAGCCTGAAATTCCTTATTTTATCTTAAAAAAATCATACAAGTTTGCATCCTTCTCTTTAATGTGTGGGGATTTCCCTCCCCTTTCCTAAAACATCTTCCTCTCAGTCTTCTACCTGAGTGGATGTTCCGAGAAGATACACCCGGGTTATGTCCTGAGGCTGTGGACATCTCATGCCCCACGGTGACCTCCAGGCCCTTCAAGCCCCAGGCCCTGGGCCACCTGGTCTGGCTGGGGAGAAGTTCAGGGATGGCTGAGGTTGATGGTTGAGGGCCTGCCAGCTGTCATGGCCTGGGGCTGGCCCCATCTCTGCTCTGAACTCTGCTGCCTCTCCCTCTCATCTTGGCTCCCAGATGTTTGTCCATCCGGCTCCAAGTGTCCCGCTAGGAGTTCTCAGGACACCTCACCCCTCCCTTTGTCCACTGAGGGGCCTTGGTTCAGAGGGGGCACTGCCTGTCTTCTGTCTTCATCCCTGTCTGCTGGGCAGCCTGACCACGCGACCCAGGGCTTTCTGTGCCAATTAAGAGGAAACTGAGGCCAAGTGGAGAGGTGCCAGCCCGGGGAGTGCAGCGAGGAGGGCTGTTGGGTGTCCAGGGGCGGGTGTCTCTGGGTAGATGGGGGTACCTAGGCCTGAAGAGAGATCTGGGTACTGGCCAGGGAGGCAGGAGGAAGGAGGGAAGGCCGCGGGGCACCCGGGGGCTGCTGCCTGGCAGGTCCCCATGCCCAGGCAAGGGAAGTTTGTTATTTCTCTTGCTTCGACTTCCCCCTTTGATTTATTATAGCCATGAAATGCTCTGCTCTCTTCTCTTTTCCTTGCTGTCCCTGGGGCTGGAGGAGCACGGGCCTCCCCGGGAGTGGGCTTCAGCCTCCCTAGACTCCTGTCTCCTTCCAAGGGCTAGGCCTGGGGGACCAGAAGCAAGAGGTGAGTGACGGCCGGCAGGGTGGGAGGAGGAGGGCCCATGCCTCCCCAAGGCAAGGTGGGGCAGGACCCCCAGGGACCAGCACGGTCCCGGTTGGGAGGGGCTGGGGCCCGGCAGAGGGTGTGGCAGGTGTGGACGTGGCAACAGGCGGCTCCCGGGGGTCTCGGGGGATGGCGGGCTCTGGGCCAATGGCCTCAGTGAGGACTGCCAGGGTCTGAAGGTTGGGCACAGAGTTCCCGGACGCCAAACACTAGGTCAGAGAAATGGCTTTTCTGTGACCCCTGACCCCACATTCTGATTTAAGGGTGGCCAAAGTAGGCCTGGCCCTGGCTGGCCTGGGGATTGAGCTGAGAGCCCAGAAGAAGGCTGAGGCCTGAGGCCTGGGGGACTCTGGGCTCCTCCAGGCCGCGGCTGGACATCCCCCTGAGGCCTGGCCCAGGCTGGCGAGGGCCGGAGGCTGTGTCCGGCTCCTCGGCAGGCCTGGTGGCCGGAGCGTTTCTCTGGGCCGCTGTGCGGTGCCTGTGGTAATGGGCTGTTGGCGTTTTGCAATGGGCCGGGGGTGGGGAGGCGGCGCACACATGCTTCCTGTGGTGACTGGGCGCTTCCTGTTTTCTCAGGCGCCGGCCTTGCTGCTGCCGATGTGGAAACAGGGGCAGCTGCAGCCCGGGCGGCTCCAGGCTGGGCGCTGTGACCCTGCCCAGAGGGGCCTACGTGGGCCCAGCAGCCCTAGGCCCCAGACCCCAGACCCAAGCAGTGGTGGCCCGAGTTTTCCCCCACAGCAGGCCACCATCCCTCCCTTCCCTAACAGCTTCCGCCAAGAGGAAGGGGCCAGGCAGGTGGTCTCAGAGGTCGGAGGTCAGAGGTCCAGGGGTGAGAGCGCTAGGAGGGGAGTCAGGGCACGTGGCTCTGGTCTCAACTCTGCGCTCGCCAGGCGCCACCGCCATCTCTCCCGCTCCAGGCCCGCCTTCCTCTTTCCTGCAGTACCTCGGCATCCATGGTCTAAAACCCCTCGCCCATTCCCATCCCGGTTCTCACATTCGTTGGGCTTTGCATTCCCAAGAGCCAAAGCTTTGGGGACAGCACTGAGGCTGGGGCCTTGGAGGTGGAACCTGGTGTAGACCTTGGCAGAGAGGGGAACAGGCGAGGCCGGTGGGGGTTCCACACTGGAGCAAGGCTTGGAGGTGGGAGGAGCAGGCCCATGTTTTGCAGACAGGGTGCTGATGGAATCTGGGGCGGCGGAGGCCACGCTGATCTGGGAGGACTAGGCTTTATTCCTGCAAACCTTGGGAAAGGGCCTGACACCCCCTCGCACACTTCCTCAGAAAGAAGACGCGGTCATTTGCAGGGTGGGGCAGGACCAGCCCTTCCCAGCTGCCGAGGAGGTGGATGCTGGTGTGGGGTGACGTGGGCACCTCAGGAAAGACCCACGCCTCTCCCACCTGCCAGCCTGCCTGGGGTCAGGCCTTCGGTGTCCGAACTGCCCTTTCCCCGAATCTGTTGTGTTTTGTTTTTAAGCTGATATTGCAAGAAGGGGAGGGAGATGACTTTGCTTCTGGTCAAGTTTGCTGACAGCATCTGACCTCGGAGGAAGAGGCTCTTTGCGAGAAGGCCGAGCCCTGTGCCCCCTGGTAGTGGCCAGTCCACCGGCTAGGCTCAACCATCCCTTTGGTCCAGGAGGTTCAAGACGACGGCTCCACAAGAAGCTCCCCTAAAACCCAAGTCCCGCCCATCACATCACAGTCCCAGCCAAAGAGGCCTTGGAGAACCCAAGACCCCTTGACTCAGCCTGAGGGGCCGTCAGGGCAGCCTGGCCCTCACTGTCCTGTTCCCTGCCTTGGTGTTTCAGGCCAGCCTGAGTGCTGAGTTGGCGGCTCAGCAGCTGCTCTGGCCACGGAGGCCCAGTTATAAATAAGCCCAGGGTGGCCGAGTCATCATGTTCTGAAGCTCCCCCAGCCCAGCTGCATTACCTCAGTGACCACAGGTTGCAACTGCCCAGAACTGGGCCCCCAGAACCCACCGACCCAGGCAAAGGCTGGCTGGGTTGCAGGCATCCTGGGGTCCCCCAATCCAGGGCTTGAGCATCTGTAGCTCCTTAGATCTGGGCTTCCCTGGACACAGGCCACAGAAGGGACAGGCCCATCCTGCCCTACGGAGCCGACAGCTATTTACAAACCGAAACCAGGAGAAGTGAAGTGGCTGCGGCCAAAGTGGCTCCAGGCCCCCAGCCCCCACCCCCACTCCATCCCCAGCAGCCCATCCCCCTCTCCCCTTGGCTTCCTCTTTCCTTCCCCGCACAGCTCCCCCACCTCCCACTGCCTGGCCAGCCCACTCTGGATTGACCTGCAAGCACCCCATGGTGTCCCCCAACCCCACCTCTGCCTGGGGCTCCCCCTCTCCTCTTCACCCCAGGACCCCATCAGTCTGAGCTCCCGGGAGCAGGCCCCCTCCCACCAGGCCCGGCCCACCCTGCACTACACAAGGCCCATTCCCACAGTTCTCAGTTCCCCTTCATGCTTGGAAACACTCCAACCCCGATGGTCACCTCCATGCCACCGGTCCTCGCCTGAGGGCAGCTTCTCAGGATGCCCTTGACCTTCAAGCAGACACGAGAGGGCCCAGAAATCTGGGGTGCTGTGGTGGAGCTGGAGCAGCTGAGGCCGTCAGGGGGCTCGTTTCTGGACAGGAAGCCCCGGCCATCATTCTCAGCCATCCAAGTTGGGTTTTGACCCCCTTGTCAGGCTGGCGCAGGTCATAGGCCTTCACCAGGCACAGACTTGAGCTGGGACAGATGGACGCTGGGCCCGAGCCTAACACTGCTTAGGAGCTGGCTGGTGGGATGGTACTGCCACAGCCCCCAGGGAGAGACCAGACTACACAATAGTCACTGCAGCTAACAGGCAGTTTCCCTCACGTCGGTACAAAGGTTTACAGTTACATCCATTAGTTTATTCTGTCCTCAGAACAAGCCTATTCCATTTCCTCCATCATAAAGTGGAAACTGAGGGCAGGACACAGTAGCTCATGCTTGTAATCCCAGCATTTTGAGAGGTCAAGGCAGGAAGATCACTTGAGCCCAGGAGTTGGAGGTCAGCCTGGGCCACAGAGCGAGACCCCGACTCTACCAAAAAAAAAAAAAAAAAAAAAGTCCAGCATGGTGGCGCATGCCTATAGTGCCGGCTACTGGGGAAGCTGAGGTGGGAGGATTGCTTGAGCCTGGGAGTTTGAGGCTGCAGTGAGCTATGATCACACCACTGCACTCCAGCCTGGGCAACAGAGTGAGACCCTGTCCAAGGTCAGGCAGCTACAAAGTGTCTGGAGATTCTAGATTTCACTGGGGAAATCTAGAACCCAGTGTCCTTCTCTCTTCCTCTGACTGCTCCTTGCTTCATCTTGTACCTTCATCTCCCTCCTGGGAGGGCGGACGTTTTCTAGCGCTGTGACCAGGGCAGGAGCAGGGTTGGCCTGAAGCTCAAGGGGGAAGCAGGGCGTGGACCATAGCACCACCTGTTACCTTCCCTGGCTGGCCATCAGCGCCCAGTGGCCCCTGCCGTCTCCCCCTGCCCTGCCCCAGGGGAGGGATCTTCCTGCCATGTTCCTTCCCTCCTGACCAGTCCCAACTGAGGAGGAGCCCGGCCTGAGCCCCGCTCTGCCGCACCAGCTGGCTGACTGAGCACCCCCGACCTCTCTGGGTCCCACATTCCTCTTCTGCGAAATTGTCATTCCACAAATACAGAGCGCCTACTTGGTGCTGGCCCTGTGCTGGGCACAAGCTGTTTCTACAGCTGGGACACAGCCCCTGCCCTTGTGGAACCCATAGTCCTATGGGGAAGGCAGATAACTTACAAAATCCTATGAGCTCCAAGAGGGAAACCAAGGCAGTGGGACTTAGAGGAGTTATGAGTGTTGCCTGGGGTGGGGAGAGGTGTTACTTGGATGGGCCTTGAAGGACAGAAACGAGTTTGCCAGCAAAAGCAGAGTGGATAGGCTCCATGCTGAGTCACAGCCCTGTGCCTTGGCTCTAGCATTTCCTCTGGTCTGAAGTGCCTTTCTTTGGTCTGGGCCTGGTGAACTCCTATTCATCCATCAGGGCCCATGGACACACCATGGCACAATCAGGCCTGGCCTGGCCTGGTGGCTCCTCAACTCCTTCTTCCCGCCCAAGGCCTGAGCAGACCTGGACGCCAGGCCTCCTTTGTCACAATACCCTCACCAGCCCCACCCAGGCTGGTGTCTGCTCCCTAGCTCCAGCCCCCGCCGTCCCCTGCTCCGAAAAGCACCGTTTCCCTTTTCTGGGTGACCACACGCCATGCACAGGGAATTTCCATCATAGCTTGCGGAGCCTCTGATTCACTCGGGCCCCTCACGCAGTTAACTCCTTCCAGGCCCAGGCCTCCTGCTCCTTCACCCTGGGCTGCCCCCCAACCCCTAACCGGGACCCCTGGGCATCCCTGCACTGTTCTTGGGCCCCAGAGCCTCAAAGCTGAATTCAGCTCCTCATTCACTGGCCCCTCAGGGCCCACTCTCCCTTGTTTGTCCCAAGGGCTCAAGGCACACACTCAGGCAGCCTTGGGCTAAGAGCACAGGCTTGAGAGGAATTCAAGCCTGGGTGCAAATCCTGATTTTGGCCCTTCTTCCTGGAGCAGGTGTAAGCGTCCACTCTGAGCCCCATTTCTCATCTGTAAAATGGATAACCCTATTGTAAAGATCTCATGTGCTGGGCCCATGGTGGGAGCTGTCATTATTAGTTTCCTTGTCTTTTCAAAGGGCCCTGCTCATCTTATCACAGGGTCCCTATTCCAGAGCTAGGCCCTTTTTCCCAGGCTGGCTTTTCCTCCCAAGAGCTGGTTTCTCAGACAGGGAGAGTGAGCGCAAAATGCAGCCCGGGGGCCCCAGGCAGGTGGGGAACCATCCAGGGACAGAGGCTAAGATGCCGCTGCCTCAGGGCCTCCTCTGCCAGCTTCCAGAGCTTCTCTCTGCATTTCTGTTTCTCCGAGTCCGCGGTGGAGAGGCCCAGGGTGGGAGCTTGGAGGGCTGAAGACAGGGCTGAACTTGCTCCCTATGGTGGGATGCAGGGCCTGTCACACACAGATAGCCACATGCTACCTCATCTAGTTCATGCAACCCCGCGAGGTATATTCTATTAATGTTCCCATTTTGCAGATGAGGACACTGAGGCTCTGAGAAGTGAGTGACTCTCCCGTCAGCCACATAGTGAATGAGGAGCGAGGATAGGATTCTAATCAGGGTCTCCGAAGCCATACTCCTAACCTCTGCATTTGTGGAGGTCAATGGAGGAAATGTGCATTTATTGAACTGCTACTGTATACCAAGCAAAGGCTTTCACAGACCATCTCTTTCCGTCCTCAGGACAATGCTGGGAAGTGGGTACTGTTGACCGCTCTGTAAAATTGGAGCATCTGAGCTCTGCAGAGGGGAAGGAACTCACCCAAAGGCCACACAGCCAATCCGTAGGGAAAGACTCAGGGGAACCTAGAGACCAGGGCATGGTGGAGGGGGCTCCACAGGGGAAGGGTCTGGGGTGGGGAGGCAGCTCCTGTCCTCAGTGAGCGAGCAGGGGGGTGTGGTGCTGCCCGTGGTGAGCAGAAGGAAGTCGCTGTGGGTGGCGGTGGGTTTGAGGTGCCGAAGCCTGAGTGATGTGGCCGGGAGGTGAGCGCCCCATCTGTAGAGCTGGTCAGCAGGGACAAGGGTGTGGGAGGCTGGCCAGGATTTGGGATTCAGAGGAGGTCTAGCTGCCCCTGGCCACTGGGGCTGGGGCAGAGTGGGACAAGAGACTGAGGCAGAGCTGGGGAGCGGTGGGGGGAAACTAGAGGGAAGGCGGTCTTGGGTGGCAGCCTGGAGGAGGCAAGCCCTTGAAAGAGAGAGATCTGAGGGTGTGGAAGTGGGTGGGCTTGTGCGCAAAAGCTGGGGAGACTGAGAAAGGTTCCAGGAATGCTGAGCGGTGTCCTCTGGCTGGAGGTGGAGGTGGGGCTGGCCACTTGGGCTGGGGACGGGCAGAAAGGCTGGCCGGACTCCGGGCGTTGGAGGTTCCCGCACAGGCCTCGGAGGTTTGGGCTTCAGCTTGAGGACAGGCAAGAGCTCAGGAAGACTTTTAGGTGGGGAAATATCCATGAGAGAACCTCGAGATAGGGACAGCCACGGAGGCACAGGCCTGAGGGGCCCTGAGAACCACAATCACCTCCTGCCCTGCTCCCGGCTGTGTGCCCTTGGCCGTGCCCCTTACCTCCGGGAACTGCACTTCCGTCATCTGCAGAATGGCACTGACAAGGCCTGCCTCGTACGGTTACGTGAGGGAGGGGTGAGTTAGTGCCCAGCACGGGCACCCTCCAGTGCTTGCCTGTCACCACCCACAAGCACTGGAGCACTGCCATGGTGCAGAGCTGGGGTCTAGGTCTCAGGTGGATCTGGGCGAAAGCCTCACCTACACCCCGGATTGACCAAGCCACGCTGTGCCGACTCACGGCCACTTCTGAGCCTCAGTCTCCTCATGTGTACCACGGCACCAGCTTCAGGTTTGAATAAGAGAGGACACACCCTGCGACACACTCCATGTTTCCTGGAGTCAAAGCCAAATTCCATACCATGGCCTGACCTGACTGGCCCTGTCTGAGCTTCTGCCACTGGCTGTGCCCCCATAGGCCTCCTTGCCATCTCTGGCTCACGCTCCTGCCTGGGGCATTGGCACTGACTAGTCCCTCTGCCCGGAATTCTTCTCCCAGACATCTGCTTGGCTCGCTCCCTCACTTGCTTCCAGGGTTTGCCGGATGCACCTCTCTTGGTGAAGCCTGCCCTGCCTGCTCTCGTGAATGCTGCAAACTGTCCCCGCCCACTCCATCCCCTACCGCAAGCCCCTTATCCAGCTGCATGCCCTTGTTCCTATGGCGAGTGTCACCTTCCAACATGCAATGAACACTCGCTATCATGAGTTCATCGTGGGTCTTGCCCTGCTGAAGAGCAGGCCCATGAGGGCGGGGATGAAGGGCCCTGCCTGTTTGGGCTGCCTGGCATGCAGAGGCCCCGAGTCAATCATTGTTGAAGGCCTTAATGCACTGAAGAGCCAGCCCAGTGCTGTCAACAAAACTTGGGGAGCTCGGAGGGGCCCAGTTGACCCTGGCTGGGGCCCAGGGAGCCTCTCCCAGTGTCTCAACCATGAGAGGAAGTTGCAAGACTGCCATTTCTGTCCACAGGCTCAGCTCTTTTTGGTCAACTTTCCCAGCTCTTGGTCTGAGGCCTGTGTGTTCTCACATGCCTTGTCACACCCTATGGGGACAGGTTGCTAGGAAAGTGGGTGGGGGGACATTTCCTCATTTTCTAGCTCGTTTGGGCCAAGGCTGAGAGATCTATGAGGTCAGGGGTCGTGCTCCCCTCTGTGGACTCAGCTTTGAGGACACCCCCTCAAGTTTCCTGTTGCCCGCCTGCTTTGTGATTGCATTAGCACCCGGCCTGCCCCTATCATCAACCCAGCCAGCAGGGGCAAAGGGCCACACTACCCTAGGCCTGCCCAGCCTCCCTGTCACTCTGCAAGGCCCAGCCCCTGCAGGGTCTCCCACTTGTCTAGTAGGCTGGGAAGCTGCACTGTCTAGCAGGACTGGTAGGATAATGAATAGGTATAACTTTTATTTTTATTATTATTTATTTATTTATTTTTGAGATGGAGTTTCACTCTTGTCACCCAGGTTGGAGTGTAGTGGTGCCATCTTGGCTCACTGCAACCTCTGCCTCCCAGGTTCAAGTGATTCTCCTGCCTCAGCCTCCTGAGTAGCTGGGACTACAGGTGTGCACCACCACACCCAGCTAAATTTTGTATTTTTAGTGGAGACGGGGTTTCACCATGTTGGCCAGGCTGGTCTCAAACTCCTGACCTCAGGAGATCCACTCGCCTCTGGGAGTGCTGGGATTACAGGCGTGAGCTATCATGCCTGGCTGATACAACTTTTGTTAAGGGCAATGTGATAATATCTGTTTCCAGTCTTATTTTTTTTTTTAAGACAGGGTCTTGTTCTGTCACCCAGGCTGCAGTGCAGTGGCGTGATCATGGTTCACTGCACCCTCATCCTCCAGGGCTCAACCAATCCTCCCATTTCAGCCTCCTGAGTAGCTGGCACCACAGGCACACACCACCACCACCACCACCCCACCAAGCTAATTTTGAAAATTTTTTTAGAGATGGGGTCTCCCTATGTTGCCCAGGCTGGTCTCAAACTCCTGGGTTCAAGTGATTCTCCCACTTTGGCCTCTCAAAGTGTTGGGATTACAGGCGTGAGCCACTGCACCCGCCCTGTCTGTCTATCCATCATCTGTCTCAAAATTAACAATGCACAGAGGGCATAGTGGCTCACACGTGTAATCTCAGCACTTTGGGAGGCCAAGGCAGGAGGATGGCTGGAGGGCAGGAGTTCGAGACCACCCTGGGCAGCAGAGGGAGACTCTATCTCTAAAAAATAAATACAGGCCAGGAGTGGTGGCTCATGCCTGTAATCCCAGCACTTTGGGAGGCCAAGGTGGGTGGATCGCTTGAGCCCAGGGGTTTGAGACCCAGCCTTGGCAACATGGCAAAACTCCTGTCTCTACTAAAAATACAAAAAACATTAGCTGGGCATGGTGGCGTGCACCCGTAATCCCAGCTACTCAGGAGGCTGAGGCAGGAGAATTGCTTGAACCCAGAAGGTGGAGGCTGCAGTGAGCCAAGATTGCTCCACTGCACTCCAGCCTGGGTGACAGGGCAAGACTCCATCTCAATAAAATAAAATAAAATAAAATACATAAATACATACATAAAAATTAAAAAATGAAAAATGCACTGTCCTTTGACCTGGTAATTCAACTTTTGGGAATCTCTCCTAGACATCCTCCCTCCTGCATATATGTAATTTAGCATATGTTATTGATTGCTGTATTATTTGTAATAGCAAAAGACTCGAAACAAATGTCCATCAATAAGTGGTTAAAGCTACTTGGGGGGCTGAGGTGGGAGGATCGCCTGAGCCCAGGAGGTCGAGGCTGCAGTGAGCCATGATAGAACCACTACACTCCAGCTGTGTGTGCAGAATGAGACCCTGTCTCAAAAATACATATATACTGATGAGAGACTGGTTAAATAACAATGGAATGCTGGGTGCGGTGGCTCACGCCTGTATTCCCAGCACTTTGGGAGGCCAAGGCAGGGGGATCACTGGAGATCAGGAGTTTGAGACCAGCCTGGCCAACATGGTGAAACCCTGTCTCTACCAAAAATACAAAAATTAGCTGGGAGTGGTTGCCCATGTCTGTAATCCCAGCTACTGGAGAGGCTGAGGCAGGATAATTGCTTGAACCCAGGAAGCGGAGGTTGCAGTGAGCCGAGATCATGCCACTGCACTCCAGCCTGGGTGACAAAGCGAGACTCCATCTCAAAAAGATAAGTAAATAAATAACACTGGAATACTATCCAGCAATGAAAATGGACCATAGCGACACAGAATAACATGGTGGGGAAAAGAAGAAAGACCCAAAAGGATATTTACACTATGATTTTTTTAATATAAAGATTAAAACCTGTTAAAATAAAAACTGAACTATAAGGGAAAGCAAGAGAAAAAGCAAGAGGCCTGTGCGTTGGCTCATGCCTGTAATTCCAGAACTTTGGGAGGCTGAGGCGGGCAAATAATGAGGTCAGGAGTTTGAGACCAGCCTGGCCAACATGGTGAAACCCTGTCTCTACTAAAGATACAAACAATTAGCCGGGTGTGGTGGCACACGGCTGTAATCCCAGCTACACGGGAGGGTGAGGCAGGAGAATCACTTCAATCTGGGAGGCAGAGGTTGCAGTGAGCCAAGATCATGCCATCGCACTCCAGCCTGGGCGACAGGGTGAGACTCCGTCGGAAAAAAAATAAATAAATAAAAAATAAAAGAAAAGCAAGTAGAAAATTACTGAAAAAGTTAGGACAGTGTTATTTCTAGAGGGAAGTAGGGGACATTTGGGGATTCTTCTGGGGTTCTGGCAATGTTTTTTTGTTGTTTTGTTTTGTTTTTTTTTTTGAGATGGAGTCTTGCCCTGTCACCCAGGCTGGAGTGCAGTGGCGCGATCTCGGCTCACTGCAATCTCTTCCTCCCAGGTTCACGTCATTCTCCTGCCTCAGCCTCCCAAGTAGCTGGGACTACAGGCACCCGCCACCACGCCCGGCTAATTTTTTTTTGTATTTTTAGTACAGATGGGGTTTCACCGTGTTAGCCAGGATGGTCTCGATCGCCTGACCTCGTGATCTGCCCACCTCAGCCTCCCAAAGTGCTGGGATTACAGGCGTGAGCCACCGCGCCCGGCCTTTCTGGCAACTTTTTTATTTCTTTACCTGGATGGTGGTTACATAGATGTCAGCTTTATAATTATCTTTTTTTTTTTTTTTTGGAGACGGAGTCTTGCTCTGTCGCCCAGGCTGGAGTGCAGTGGCGCGATCTCGGCTCACTGCAAGCTCTGCCTCCCGGGTTCACACCATTCTCCTACCTTAGCCTCCCGAGTAGTTGGGACTACAGACCGTGCCACCATGCCTGGCTAATTTTTTTTTTTGTATTTTTAGTAGAGACGGGGTTTCACCGTGTTAGCCAGGATGGTCTCAATCTCCTGACTTGGTGATCTGCCTGCCTCGGCCTCCCAAAGTGATGGCATTACAGGCATGAGCCACTGCACCCGGCTGCTTTATAATTATTCTTTAAACTGCACATAAATATTGTATTTACTCTTCTAAATGAACGATGTCTCTCATGACTTAAAAATATCCTGGTAAATCCAAATAGTGGAATACTATACGGCCATTAAAAAGACACTACAGTCAACACTAATTTATAGTGTATTTAAAAATAACTAAAAGAATATAATTGGAATGTTGGTAACACAAGGAAATGAAAAATGCTTGAGGTGGTGGATACCCCATTTACTGATGTGATTATTACACAATTTATGCCTGTATCAAAATATCTCATGTACCCCATAAATAAACACACCTACTATGTACCCACAAAAACTATAAATGGAAAAAACTCAGAAGGACAAGACAGTGCTACATGGGTGTGACATGTATATTGGGGAAAAAAAACAAGGGAACTACAATATGTTTAATGTGCCCCCCTCTGTGTAAAAAATTTTTTTCTTTCCTTTTTTTTTTTTGAGACGGAGTCTCGCTCTAACGCCCAGGCTGGAGTGCAGTGGCACGATCTCGGCTCACTGCAAGCTCCGCCTCCCGGGTTCACACCATTCTCCTGCCTCAGCCTCCCGAGTAGCTGGGACTACAGGCGCCCGCCACCACGCCCGGCTAATTTTTTGTATTTTTTTTTTAGTAGAGATGGGGTTTCACCGTGTTAGCCAGGATGGTCTCAATCTCCTGACCTCGTGATCCACCCCCCTTGGCCTCCCAAAATGCTGGGATTACAGGCGTGAGCCACCACGCCCGGCCCCCTCTGTGTAAAATTTTTAAAAATATATCTGCTACACGCTGTGTAGATGATTTCTAGACCAAAACACAAGATCAGGTAACAAGTGGGCTAGTCTGTGGAAGGGGAACTGGGCAGTTGTTTACCTTTTTTGTACCTTTTGAATTTTGTACCATGTGCACATGTTATCTATTCAAAAAATAAAATAATTAAAAATGATGTTTTTGTTTTTCAGTCCCTAGAGCGTCCAAGATTTTTGGTTTCAAACCAATTTCCTGCTGACCAGAATGAAATGGAGCCACATTCCAGCACGATGCACCTGCTGACCTCCTGCAAGTCAGGGACCTTCTCTGCCCCTCTTTTGCTCTGCTGCAGGAGGGAGAAGCTGGGAATGTGTTCCTCTGGGGTCCCATCACCTCCAGCCAGCCACTGTCCCTGTCTCCCCAAAACCTCCTCGTTGTCCCTCCTCTGTCCTCCTCCTCCTCCATCTGCCTTCGCCCTGCTCTCCTCTTTTTCGCCTGAGGTTCGTGCTGCCTCCTCACCTCTTGTCCTGTTTCTCCCTTCTCTCTGCTCCCTCCTTTGATCTTGCTATTTTGCTTCTCTTTCCCTTCCTCTCTTCTCCTCCCTCCCCTTCCTCCCTGCTCCCTGCCTCAGCTTCTCAGTCTCTCTCCGTTCTTCCTCTAGCTTCCTTCCCTCCCCAGAAGACCCAGCCCTTCCTAGAGCCCCAGAAGCCAGGGTTCATGCCCCAGCTCTCTACCCACACATGCTGTGCAACCCTGGGCCAGTCACTGGTCTCTTGGGCCTCAGTTCAACAGATGGCTGTCTTGGTGATGTGAGATCATAGGGTGGAAGCACCCAGAATGGTGCCAGGCACTCAAAAATTTTTTTCTTTTCCTTTTTAAGGAACTACTAACCGTGAGGTTATGGATTACCAAACCGTTCCTGTTCTTGGAATCTGGGTCCTACTATTCCCAAGAATTTGAATTACCACGGGTCCCTGGGGATGTAAGGGGATGAGGCTTCTGATGTACTTTGGGAGGGGGAGGAGTGGAAAGAGGAGTTGGGAGGACACTCTAGCATTGCCCAGAGGGCAGAGGACATTCTGCCTATTTCCAGAGGTTATTGACCCTGGATCTCTTTTATGGAGTTCCTCACCCAGGCCCCTTGAGCTTGGCCATACTTGAGGCAATGGGATATCTTCCTTCTCCTGGAGCCCCTTGAATCTTAGGCCTCGGGAACACACAGTCTACTGTGTTTCTTGGCTGCACCCACGGAGGACAGCCCCCATACTCCTTGCTTACAACCAGCAAAGACTCCACAGCCATCCCTGCACACGACTCAGGCTCCTTGGCTTGGCACTCAAGGCTCTTTGCTTTCCTGTCCTGCTTTGCTTCCAGCTGCAAAGATGGTGGCTTCCTGTTTTCCTCTTCGTTTCCTTTGCTTAAGTTGATTCTCAGCCAGACATGCTTTCCCCCTGCACGCTTCCCTAAGCCATCCTATCTGGGACCCTGACCCAATCAATGGTTCCCTAATGCACCTTTGAGACCAAGTGTACCTGGCACCTCCTCTCTTGCCCCACTATCTGCTCACATGACCCTCTGCAGGCCTGTAAGCTGCTGGAGGCTCCGAGTATGCCTCATTCATGTCTATCCCCCTTACTAGGCCCAGACCATGGAAGACACTCAATAAAAAGTAAGTGATTAAATGACAACCTCTACGGAAAAGAGTATGGAGATTTCTCAAAGAACTAAAAACAGAACTACCTTTTGGCCAGATGCAGTGGCTCACACCTATAATCCCAACATTTGGGAAGGCTGAGGCAGGTGGATTGCTTGAGCCCAGGAGTTCAAGATCAGCCTGGGCAACATGGTGAAACCCTATCTCTACAAAAAATACAGAAAATTAGATGAGACTACAGGTGGCACACATCCATAGTACCAGCTACTCCAGAGGCTGAGGCGGGAGGATCGCTTGAGCCCAGGAGGTCCAGGCTACAGTGGGCCAAGATCACGCCATTGCACTCCAGCCTCAGTGATAAAGTGGCATTCTGTCTCAAAAGAAAAAGAACTGGCCAAGCATGGTGGCTCACGTCTGTAATCCCAGCACTTTGGGAGGCCGAGGCAGGTGGATCACATGAGATCAGGAGTTTGAGACTAGCCTGGCCAACAATGATGAAACCCCATCTCTACTAAAAATACAATAATTAGCTGGGCGTGGTGGCGGGCGCCTGTAATCCCAGCTACTCAGGAGGCTGAGGCAGGAGAATCATTTGAACCCGGGAGGCAAAGTGAGCCAAGATTGTGCCACTGCACTCCAGCCTGGGCAACAAGAGCGAAACTCAGTCTCAAAAGAAAAAGAAAAAGAGAGAAAAGAAGAAAGGAAAAGAAATATCATTTGATCCAGCAATCTCACTGAGTATCTAACCAAAGGAAAATAAATCACTATACCAAAAAGATACTGCATTTTTATGTTTATCACAGCACTATTCATAATAGCAAAGACACAGAATCAACCTAAGTGTCCATCAACGGATGAGTGAATAAATAAAATGTTATATTTTTATATATATATATATATATAATGAAATACTATTCAGCCATAAAAAAGAATGAAATTATGTCTTTGCAGCAACATGGATGGAATTGGAGGCCATTATCATAAGCGAAACAATGCAGAAACAGAAAGTCAAATACTGCCTGTTCTCATGTATAAGTAGGAGCTAAATAATGTGTACACATGGACATAGAATGTGGAATGACAGACACTGGAGACTTGCAAGGGTGGGAGAGTGGGGAGGCATGGTGAGGGATGAGAAATTACTTAAAGGGCACAATGTACACTATTCTGGTGATGGATAAACTGAAAGCCTAGACTTCTCCATTATGCAATATATCCATGGAACAAAACTGCATTTGTACCCCTTACATTTATACAAAAAAGTGATTAAATGAATGAATGAATAAATAAGCATATAAACAAACCAAAGCAAGACAATAACACACACGAGTGAATGAATGAACACATCAAGCAGGGCCTAGATCTTGTGGAGTGGATAACCTTACACCCCACTGCACCCAGTCAGCTGGGGCTTGGCCTTCTTGATGGGGAAGTGGGAACAAGGATGGAACTGATGCCAAGCCAACCTGTCCCTCCCCTCCTTTTTGGGAGAGGCCTTGGTCAGGTTCCTAGGGAGCCCTGAGGACCTGTGGCCTGGAGCCTTTGGAGAGTCCCAAGTGCAGATACAAAGTCAGTGAAGGTGGAAGTCAAGTAGATCTAATGGTGAGCCCAGAGCTGTGAAATTCTGGTGTTTGCTGCTAATGAAAAAACACTTGTGGCCTAGGAATCCACTGGCAAGAAGGCAGGCCTGTCTTAGTGGAGTGGGAATTTAAAGCAAGGGGTTAGATTATACAGGGGAGGACACTGAATGTTCAAAATTCCTTCCCAGCAGAGGGGACTCACCAGAGATCACTGGGCCAGAAAAACAACAACAACAACAACAACAACAAAACAAAAATGCCTCTACTCATCCCTCCACCCCCCAGAAAAGATCAGGAACTCTCTGAAGGCAGGGGTCTTGTATAATACTTTTTTGTTTTCCCAGCGCTCAGCTTAGAGCCTGGAACTCAACATTGGGAAGATGCATGGATGGACAGATAAGTGGATAGACAGATAGATGAATGAGTGGATGGATGGATAGATGGATGGGTAGATGAGTGGATTGGTGGATGGGTGGATTAGTGAATCGGTAGATGTGTGGATGAGTGGATGGATGGATGGATGAATGGATGGATGGATAGATAAGTGGATGAGTGGATTGGTGGATGGATGAATGGATGGATGGATAGATAAGTGGATGGGTGGATTTGTGGATGGCTGGATGAATGAGTGGATGGATGGATAGGTGGATGAGTGGATGGATGAATGGGTAGATAGCTGGATTGGTGGACAGGTGGATGAGTAAATGGGTAGATGGGTAGATGGGTGGATAGGTGGATGAATGGATGGATGGATGAATGGATGGCTGGATGGATGAGTGATACCAAAAAGATACTGCATTTGTATGTTTATCACAGCACTATTCATAATAGCAAAGATACAGAATCAACATAAGTGTCCATCAACGGGTGAGTGAATAAATAACATGTTATATTGTATTTATATATATATATAATGAAATACTATTCAGCCATAAAAAAGAATGAAATTATGTCTTTGCAGCAACATGGATGGAATTGGAGGACATTATCATATGCGAAACAACGCAGAAACAGAAAGTCAAATACTGCCTGTTCTCATGGGGCTCCTGGAAACCGAAGCTGATAGGTGAATGGATGGATAGGTGGATGAATAGATGGGTGGAATGGTAGGTGGGTGGATTGGTAGATGGGTGGATGAGTGGACTGGTGGATGGATGGATGAATGAATGAAGGGGTAGGTGGATGATGGATGGGTTGATGGACAGATGAGTGGATGGGTAGATGGGTGGATGAGTGGATGGGTGGATGGATGGACAGGTGGATGAATGGATGAGCAGATTCATAGATGGATAAACAGATGGAATTGTGGACTGATGGACTGATAGCAGGTGGACGGGCTGATTAATGGACATATAGATGGTTAGATAGACAAGTAGATAAACAGATGGGTGGGTGGATGAATTGACTGACAGATGAATGAACAAACAAACGGACAGTTGGATAAATGGACACATAAGTGAATGCATGGTGGGCTTGATGAATGGATAGCTGGATGGACAAATAGACAGACAAATAGATGCATGGGAAAACAGATGAATGGTGGATAGGCAAGAAAGGTTTGTAAACCAGGAGGGTTAGATTGATATTCAGGCATTGCCAAGGGATGGGGAAACTGAGAAACCTGGGCTGGAAACAGAGCCCTAGGGATTTGAATGTGGTAATCAAGAAGCTGGGAGGGGAGGGTATAAGAACCCAGGACCCTCTTCTGGTGGTAGGGAAGCCCATGTGAACAGATTCAGAGGGAAGGAAGAAAGCAGCACTATGCTGAAGACCCTACACCTGAGCCCAGCCTCAGCCTAGGGATAGCCTAGGCAGTGGGGGTGCAGGGCCACAGGAAGAGCCAGGCCTGATAGCCTGCTAGATCAGAGCCCTCACCCAGGAAGGCTGACTCCAGAAAGTGGAGGCCCCAAGAGGCCACCCCTTCCAGCTCTGACCCCAATGAGGTGACTGTTGGCTACATAGGGATCTCAAAAGAAGCAGGCATTTGTTGGGTTAGAGCAAAAGCCTCCCAGTGGTGTGGCAGAGCTACACGTTCTCCCTCCCATCCTCCCTCCCCAGCTTAGCCCCCAAAGTCATCCCTCTCAGTCCCAGCTTCCTCTGGGCAGGGGGCCTGGACCCCATGGCTTCCCAGGCCAGCCCTTTGAGCACCACCTGCCCCAGCCGGCCAGAGACTTCCTGTATGTAGCGCAAGAGATTTATGCAAACGGGTTGGGGCGGTGATGTCACCCCAAGGGGACTATCTCCCAGCGGCAGGCCCTTCGATAAAATCAGGAACTTGTGCTGGCCCTGCAATGTCAAGGGAGGGGGCTCACCCAGGGCTCCTGTAGCTCAGGGGGCAGGCCTGAGCCCTGCACCCGCCCCACGACCGTCCAGCCCCTGACGGGGCACCCCATCCTGAGGGGCTCTGCATTGGCCCCCACCGAGGCAGGGGATCTGACCGACTCGGAGCCCGGCTGGATGTTACAGGCGTGCAAAATGGAAGGGTTTCCCCTCGTCCCCCCTGTGAGTACCGGGACTCCTCCACCAGCCCAACCCGTGGCCCTCGGACGCCTGCCTGCCTGCCCACGAACCCGCCAGCCCACCCACTGCCCTCCTGGCTTGCTATCAGTGGGAAGTCAGGGTTTCCTCCCTGGAACTCCTGGCCTGAGACCCAGCGAGGGGGCCATTGGCTTCCTCGGAGCATGCCCTGGCGGGCTGAGGCCAGGCCCACGGTGGGGCTGTGATCGGTGGGGCCTGAACAGTTATTTATAGACAGGGCTCGGGTGGCAGGCGGAGGCCGGGGCTCCTGGGGAGGGTGCTGGGCTGAGGATGGTGAAGGCGGTGGTAGAGAGGTAGAGGAGGGAGATGGGGGGACTGGCTTGGGGGAGGCCGGTCCCCTGGATGGGAAGGGGTTGAAGGCAGGAGGCAATGGGCAGAAGTCTTGGCCCATGGCCTTGGGGCTCCTGGAAACCAAAGCTGATGGAACTCTGGGTCCCCAACGCCCAGTCTGGGGCCTGGCACAGAGGACATGATTGTTGACCAAAGGGTCAGGGCCATGGGCCCACAGGGGTACCCACAGGAGACAGGGACTGGTGCTGGAAAGGAGCCAGGAGTGGAGCTGAGACAGTGCAGTTAGGGCTGGCCCCAGGGCTGGAGTTCAGGGAGAGGCGCGGCAGGGGACAGGGCTGGGACAAGGCCAGGACTGAGATTGGGGCTGGGTGGGACCTGGGGTGAGCATGTGATAAGTGAGAATGGGGGCTGAGGCTGGGACAAGGACAGGGACTGGGTCTTGGGGGTGAAGAAGTGGGAGCCCCAGGGGACCCCGAGAAGAGAAGGGCAGATCGCCACTGCTCCTCACTCTCAGTGACAGTTGCAGCCTTAGGCAGGTGTCAGACCAGGGTCCCTCGGAAAGGACCCTTCTCCCTTTTCCCACCCCATGACCTCTCAGGAGTGAGGAGGCTTGAGGGGAGCCGGGAAGGGCTTGGCAGGCTGCCCACCTGAATCCACTTTCCTGGTCTAGAGGCAGCTCCCTTCCCCCACTATGCCCTGGCTCAGAGCCACCCCAGGAGGCTGGGAGGCACCCCAGGCCTGACATCACACCAACCCGACCAGAGCCGGGCTGACATCCTGCAGCGAGGCTGTACTACCTGGAAACCCAGAGGGGCAGGCTCAGTGCTGGGCTCCTGGCCTCCTCACTTGGCCAGCCACAGGCAGGACCAGGCAGGACCAGCCAGCCTGCTGTGGCATCCACACCGACACCCCTTCCCACCTGGGAACACGAAGTGGGCGGCCCAGGCAGAGGGTGACGGAGGTTGTCTCAGAAAGAGCCAATTCTGCCTCAAGAAAGCCACAGGCCCACTGTCTCTGATCCCTGACCTCTCAATTCTGAACTCCAGGTGGAGCTAGATGGGTGGCAGAGCTCCTTGGGCCATCCCTAGGCACCCCCAGCCCTCTCTGCAAGCTCCAGGGTCACTCTGAGTGTCTCCTGGTAGGGTGGGCTCCCAAGGCAGCCCCGGTCCCCCAAGCCCAGCCCTAAGGGCCACAGTGACTGTTATGCAATCCTGGGCCACACGCTGCGGGGGCGGGGAGGCCTGATGACTGTTGGGAAGGCTCCTGGGTGTGCACGGCCCTGTGTCTGTGCCAGTAGGGGGAGGAGGACAGGGAGGAGGGAGGAAGGTGGGAGGAAAGAAGGAGGACAGGGAAGAGGGGGAAGAAAAGGAGGACAGAGGGGAGTGAGGAGGGGGAGGAGGAAGCAAAGGAGACGGGGAGGGGGATGCAGTGAGGAGGGAAGGAGGAGGATAGGGAGGACTCAGGAGGGAGAGTGAGGGGATCAAGGCCCTCCATGCGCTCGGCCCCTAAGTCTGCCTGGGTGACCCCTGCACCAACCGTCAGTGTGGAGGGTCATTGTGGTGCCACTCTTGCCCAGGCTGTGTGAGAGGCATAGGCTGTGAGAGTGGGGCTGGGCAGGCAAGTGTGTGCTGTGCGGTTGAGTGTGCAGGTGGAATGTGAGTGGCTCTGGGGGTGTGAGTGTGTGTGTTGATGGCTGGAACGTGGTGTCATGTGAGTGTCAATCAAGGAGACTCTGCGTGTGTGCATGAGCTGAGTGTACAATGTCTCTGTGAGGTGGGTGACCTCTGAGTGGGTATGAAGATGTGTGTGTGAGGGATAGTGTGCAGGCGCCTGCATGGGGGTGGGTAGGGGCTGTGAGAGTGAGTCCTCGTGTGGGATTATGAGTGTGAGGGTGACACAGGGATCGTGTGGACATGTGCATCAGTGTGACCAGGAGAGGTGTGTGGGATGAGGATGGGGGCACACAGGCGTGAGTGTGAGTGTGAGCGTGAGGTGGCTATGGGGAGTAGCCCAGCAGAGGGGGACCCTGGTCCTCTTCTGACCTCTCACCCCCAAGGTCCCTGTCACCCCTTTTCAGGCCTTCTGGGTCCCCTGCCCCACTCTCTGTCCCAGTTCCAGGCAGAGGGAGGGCTGTAGGTCCAACGCAGCCACTGAGCCAGGGAAGGTGATGGGGACCCAGCGTGCGGGGGTGCTGCAGGCCTGGCTGGGGTCTCCCACCATGGTGCAGGCCCTGACACCTCCTCTCTCAGCAGCCATCAGAAGACCTGGTGCCCTATGACACGGATCTATACCAACGCCAAACGCACGAGTATTACCCCTATCTCAGCAGTGATGGGGAGAGCCATAGCGGTGAGTACGGGGCCTGCCACGCCCCCATCCCCCAGCCCAGCCTGGGCTCCTGGGGTCTGGAGAGAGAAAAAGAATAAATGATTCCCAGGACTTCTTTGGAATTCTGAGAATCAGATCAAGTTTGCTCTCAAAGGCAGTGAACTGCAGCATCATCGCTGCACCCCCACACCTGAGCCTCCATTATGGAGCCTCTGCAGTGTGTCAAGGTGCGGGGTTCATTTCTTCCATGGTTATCTGCTGGTTCTGTCCTTGTGGTCTTCTTTATAAACAAGGAAACAGGCTTAGGGTGCTAGGAGACTTGCACAAGGTCACACGGCTGCTGGGTGGAACCCAGGTCTGTCCGCTCCAGGTCCTGTGCTTTTTTTTCTGCCCCTGCCTAACTACCCACCTCCTCCTCTCTGTTCTCGTCACTCTCTGTCCCAAACTCCCCGCCGGCACATCCGCACTTCCTGCCATGTGTGGTTGGCAGGGTTTCCTAACTGTGGCACTGCTGACATTTTGGGTGGGATGATTCCTGGGTGGGCTGTCCCGGGTACCGTAGGAAGCTTAGTGGCATCCTTGCTTCTACCTACCACATGCCAGGGCCATGGCCAATCATGACAACCAAAAATGTCTCCACCCATTGGCAGATCCCCCCGGGAGGCAAAATCACCCCTAATTGGGAACTGCTGGGCCGAAGGAAAACCTATGAGAACCTCTTGTTCAGCAGAGGCCGAGGCCCCCAGTTTGCTGAAGTGGGAGGAAGAGGCCTGGGCCAGGGTGTCCTTCTGTCTGTCCAGTCCTTCTGGGTCTGACTGTCTGCCCCATAGCCCAGCCTCCGTCCTGGAGCAAATTCAGGGGATGGGAGAGAGGCATTAGGTGCCTGGGACCTGAGCAGGGGGCTGCGGGAGGTTGCCCAAAGTGGATCTTGGCTTATTGATGTAGACATCCCTGACCCAAAGCGAGGTGGCCTAGTCAGTGGGTGAGTCGTCACTGGGGAATTCCTCAGGGCGTCTGGGACCCGGGCAGACCAGCGACTGGGGTGTCTGCACCTCAGAGGGCAGAGGCCCACAGCCTAGGAAGGTGTCACTCCTGAAGGCCACCCCTGCGGCCAGTCATGCCTGTAGCTCCATTCTGCAGATGCACCTGTGGCGGTCTAAACCTGATGGGCCCAGCTAGGGATCCACATGTGCCTGGTCCACATTTAGGGCCCCAGATTCATCCGGAACTCAGACTGGAAGCCATATCCCAGGGGTAGGCGGATATGCCTCCAGGCCACAGCTGGGAACGCACAGGCATCTTTTAGAATCTTTCAGGGCTAGAAAGCCTTTAAAATATCCTTTTTAATTCCTTCAAGCTTATTTGTAATTATGTAAAAAACACATCCTCTTGGTGGGAAACCCAGGCAATGTAGAGAGAAAGTCCCCCTCCCCCAACTCCATCCCCAGCTCTCCCTACCAGAGTGAAGAGCCCGGTCTGGGGGACCCAGAGACCACGCACCCACCTTCCCAAGCGGTTCCAGGACTCCAGGAGGTCCCGCTGGGCCCTGGGACAGGCGCCCCCTGGTGGCTCGGGTCACCACAGACAGTGCTGTCAGGCCTCCTCCAACAAGGACGCATTCTCCCTGGCCCAATCCCTCTTCAGTTCACTGGGCTTGGGTGCGTTTCCTTTGGGCCTTTTGCAGCCTCAGTTTTCCTTCCTGTAATATGAGGGCGCTGCCCACATAGCTGGAAACCAGTGAGCCTGGGGCTGGGCCTGATGGAGTGAGCACTTTAGAGAAAGCATGTGTTTTCGTGGCTCAGGGTCCAAGCAGGTTCCTTATATCTCAGGTGGGACTCTAGGAATGACTCCTGATTGGATGCCTGGGCACCCCATGTTGGTCATGAACCCCTAGTTCCTCCAGAGACTCCACCAGTGTTCCCAGGTGTCCTCGGCCTTGGCTCTGTCCCACTCTTAATCACTGCCAATCAGGGCATTTGGGCTGTCCTTTTCTTTTTTTTTTTTTTTTAGGACAGTCTTGCTCTGTTGCCCAGGCTAGAGCGCAGTGGCCCAATCTTGGCTCACTGCAACCTCCGCCTCCTGGGTCCAAGCGATTCTCTTGCCTCAACATCCCAAGTAGCTAGGATTACAATCGTGCACTACCATGCCTGGCTAATTTTTGTATTTTTAGTAGAGATGAGGTTTTACCATGTTGGCCAGGCTGCTCTCAAACTCCTGACCTCAAGTGATCCACTTGCCTCGGCCTCCCAAAGTGCTGGGATTACAGGTGTGAACCACCGCGCCCAGTCTGTCCCTTTTTTTTGATACGGAGTCTCGTACTGTCGCCCGGGCTGGTGTGCAGTGGCACAATCTTGGCTCACTGCAACCTCCGCCTCCCGGATTCAAGCGATTCTCCTGCCTCAGCCTCCCAAGTAGCTAGGATTACAGGCGCCTGCCACCACGCTCAGCTAATTTTTTGTATTTTTAGTAGAGACAGGGTTTCACTATGTTGGCCAGGCTGGTCTCGAACTCCTGACCTGGTGATCCGCCTGCCTCAGCCTCCCAAAGTGCTGGGATTACAGGCGTGAGCCACTGCGCCCGGCCGGGCTGTCCCTTTTTATACCCGCTGGAAGGTATCGTCTGAAGACTCAACCATAGAGACCCCCACACACTTCTGTCAATTCCTGCACGTCCTCTTTGTCCACATTTTTAGGTACTGAAGCTTAGTGAAAAAGCTTTGGCCCAGCCCTGGCTCCATCACTTACCAGCTGTGAAAACTTGGGGCAAGTAACATAACCTTTCTGAGTCCCTATTTCCCCATTTATAAAACTGACAGCATGAAAATACTTACCTCCTAGGGCTGTGATGATTCAGCGAGGTAAGGCATATAATCTCTGAGGTAAGGTAACGTGCAGAGGACGAGGCCCGTGCTAGCTTCACTGCATTCCTCAAGGCAGGAGGGACAAAGCGGCTGGGGAGTGGGAAAAGCACAGAGGGCTCTGTGAGAGACCAACTGGGTTATTTTCCACTGACCCAGGGGACAGTCAATCTGCCACCCACCCCCACATCCATGCACTCACCCTCCCATCCACCCACCTACTCGTCCATCCTGCCAGCCGCTTCCCATCTGATCCACTTTTCCTCCCTATTCCATCCATTAAATAGTTTCTGAGTATCAGACACTCTTGTAGGCTCTGGGGAGTCCATGATGAGCACCAGACAAGGCCACTGCTCTCACAGAGCTCACTCTCCAGCGAGGGGATGGGGACATAAGGAATTAAATAGGCTGGGGCGTGGTGGCTCATGCCTGTAATTTCAGCATTTTGGGTGGCTGAGGTGGGTGGATCACGAGGTCAAGAGATAGAGGCTATCCTGGCCAACATGGTGAAACCCCATCTCTACTAGAAATACAGGTGGTGGTGCCCACTTGTACTCCTAGCTACTTGGGAGGCTGAGGCAGGAGAATCGCTTGAACTCCGGAGGCGGAGGTTGCAGTGAGCTGAGATCGCGCCACTGAACTCCAACCTGGTGACAGACAAAGCGAGACTCCAGCAAAAAAAAAAAAAAAAGAATCAGACAAAGAGACCATTTTCTGCAGATGTAATGCGGAGTGTCTACATGGGGGGCTGCTTTCATTTGAGTGGTCAGGGAAGGCCTTTGAGGTGGCAGCTGAGCTAAGAGAAGGAACTCGTAATTCACATGTGACCATAGGTAGGGGAGAGGTATTCAAGGTAAAGGGAACAGAAAATGCAAAAGCAGAAAGGACCCTGACAGAGGACCAGAGAGGCCAGTGAGCACAGGGCAGGGGACAGAAAGGGAAGCCAAAGGGGTCAGCTGCTCACGCAGGGCGAAGGCCATGGCAGGCATTTGGATTTTATCATACACACCATGGGAAGCCACTGGGGAGTTCTGAGCAGGGAAATGACATGACCATGATCTGAATAACCTTCTGTGTATGTGTGTGTGCTGAAAATTTAAATACATTTACAATCTTTTTTTTTTTTTTTAAGACGGAGTTTCACTCTTGTTGCCCAGGCTGGAGTGCAGTGGTGTGATCTTGGCTCACTGCAACCTCTGGCTCCCAGGTTCAAGCGATTCTCCTACCTCAGCCTCCTAAGTAGCTGGGATTACAGGTGTGCACCACCATGCCCAGCTAATGTTGTATTTTTTAGTAGAGATGGGGTTTCACCATGTTGGCCAGGCTGGTCTCAAACTCCTGACCTCAGGTGATCCTCCTACCTTGGCTTCCCAAAGTGCTGGGATTATAGGCATGAGCCATCACGCCTTGCCTTTTTTTTTTTTTTTTTTTTTTTTTGAGATGGACTCTCGCTCTGTCGCCCAGGCTGGATTGCAGTGGTGTGATGTCAGCTCACTGCAACCTCCACCTCCCGGGTTCAAGCGATTCTCCTGCCTCAGCCTCCCGAGTAGCTGGAACTACAAGCGAGTGCCACCATGCCCAGCTAGTTTTTTGTATTTTTAGTAGAGGCAGGGTTTCACCGTGTTAGCCAGGATGGTCTTGATCTCCTGACGTTGTGATCCACCCGCCTTGGCCTCCCAAAGTGCTGGGATTACAGGCGTGAGCCACCGTGCCCGGCCTCCAGTCTTTCTATTCCAGTGCTATGTAAATGTACAAATGAAGATGTGGAATAGAGACTTAGAGCATTATTTATTGGCAAATATTTATTGAGTGCCTTTGATGTGTCAGGCAGCTTGATTTTTCAGTTAGAGATATATTTTATTTACTTGTACAATCAGAATTCAACTTTAGTCATTCACAACACACACACACACACACTCACATTTCTCCACACATCCCCAATTCATTACTCTATATGGTAACATTTGTTAAATCAGTATTTGAATTTTCCACTGTTATGACCATGTGGCTATTACTCACAGCTGAGCCACATGGCATCCTTTCTTTACCTGTACTTTCTCATATCCATATTTCTTTTAATTATTATTATTTTTTTATGAGACAGTCTCACTCTGTCGCCTAGGCTGGAGCACAGTGGCGCAATCTCTGCTCACTGCAGCCTCAGCCTCCTGGGTTCAAGCAATTCTCCTGCCTCAGCCTCCTGAGTAGCTGGGATTACAGGTGCCCGCCACCACGCCCAGCTAATTTTTGTATTTTTAGTAGAGATGGGGTTTCGCCATGTTGGCCAGGCTAGTCTTGAACTCCTGACCTAGTGATCTGCCCGCCTCGGACTCCCAAAGTGCTGGAATTACAGGCGTGAGCCACCATGCCTGGCCTTTTTTTTTTTCTTTTTTTTGAGACGGTGTCTCTCTGTGTTGCCCAGGCTGCAGTGCAGTGTGCAATCTCAGCTCACTGCAGCCTCCACTTCCCGGGTTCCAGCAATTCTCCTGCTTCAGCCTCCTGGGTAGCTGGGATTACAGGTGTGTGCCACCATGCCCAGTTAATTTTTATATTTTTAGTAGAGGTGGGGTTTCACCATGTTGGCCAGGCTGGTCTCAAACTCCTGACCTCAGGCGATCCACTGGCCTCAGCCTCCCAAAGTGCTGGGATTACAGGCGTGAGCCACTGTCCCCGGGCCTCATCCCCATATTTCTGAGGGGAAATGTAGCAAGGAGATAAGAACTCTTCTGAAACCAGGCTGCTGAAACTCATCCCCCATCTCCTCCATTGCTATCCGGGTGACCATGGGCAAGATCTCCAACCTCTCTGTGCCTCAACTTCTTCATGACAATACCAACTTCACAGGATGGCTGTAAGGACTGAACGAGCTACTGTATGTCAAATGCTTAGAACAGTGCCTGGAAATAGCAAATGTTTTGTACAGATTTGTTATCATGGTCGTCTCCTAAGAAAGGGTGTGTGGGAGGTGAGGTTTTTGTTGTGGTGGTGATGGTTTTATTTTGTGTTTTGCCTCATGTCTTTTATTCTATGCTGTCACTTAATTAATCATAGTTTGGCTGTGTATGGAAATCTAAGTTGAAAATCATTTTTTCCCTTAGAAATTGGAAAGCATTTTTCTACTGTCTTCTGGTTACTAGAGTTTTTCCTATGAAGTCTGATACCACTCCATGTTCCTTTAAATTTCTTTTATAATTAACCTAGCTTTTTGTTTGTTTCATTTGTTGTTTTTTTTTTTTCTCTCTCTCTCTTTTGTTTTCTTTCTCTGGAAGTTTTTAGTATCTTTTCCCAATGTCTCATGATTCAACTGAGTAAGCTTTTTAAAAGGTCACTCTGGGTGGAGAGCAGATGGAAAAGAGGCAAGAATAGGAGCTGGAAAAAAGAACATTGAGGAAACTATTGCAATAATCCAGGAAAGAGATGGTGGTGACCTGGACAAGGGTGGTGGCAACAGAGACAGAAAGGGGGGGACAGATTCAAGATAGACTTTGAAGGGCTTACAGGATTTGCTATTGTTTATTATGCTTTTTGTTTGTTTGTTTGCTTTTTTGAGACAGTCTCACTCTGTCACCCAGGCTGGAGTGCAGTGGCGTGATCTCGGCTCACTGCAACCTCTGCCTCCTGGGATCAAGTGATTCTCCTGCCTCAGCCTCCCGAGTAGCTGGGATTACAGGCATGCGCCACCACACCTGGCTAATTTCTTTGTGTGTATTTTTAGTAGAGACAGGGTTTCACCATGTTGGCCAGGCTGGTCTTGAAGTCCTGACCTCAGGTGATCCACCCGGCTCAGCCTCCCAAATAGCTGGGATTACAGGAATAAGCCACCATGCCCAGCCTATTACTCTTTTTAATTGTGGTAAAATACACATAATATTAACCATTTTTTAAACCATCTTAACCATTTCTTTACATTTTAAGTGTATAGTTCTGTGATATTAAATATATTCACGTTATCATCACCATCCATCTCTATAATTATTTTCATCTTGCAAAACGGAGACTCTGTATTCACTGAACAACAGCTCATTTTCCCTCCCCCCAGCCTCTGGCAGCTACCATTCCACTTTCTGTCTCTATGAATTTGCCTATTCTAGGTACCCCGCATGAGTGGATTCACACAGTATTTGTTCTTTTATGCCTTCATTTAGCATAATGTTCTCAAGGCTTACCCATTTACCCATGGTGTAGCACGTGTCAGCATTTCCTTCATCTTTAAGGTTGAATCATATTCCATTGTATGCGCGCGCCACGTTTTGCGCATGTGCCACGTTTTGCGTATCCAGCCGTCCGACACTTAGGGTGTTTCTGCCGTTTGGCTATTGTGAAGAACGCTGCTATGAAGAAGGGTGTGGAAAGACCCTGTTTTCAATTTTTTTGGATATATACCCAGAAGTAGGATTGCTAGATCATATGCTAATTCTATTTTTATTTTTTTGAGACGGAGTCTCACCCTGTCACCCAGGCTGGAGTGGAGTGGTACGATCTCAGCTGACTGCAACCTCCGCCTCCCAGGTTCAAGTGATTCTTCTGTCTCAGAATCCCGAGTAGCTGGGATTACAGGTGTCCACCACTATGCCCGGGTAATTTTTGTATTTTTAGTAGAGACAGATTTTGCCATGTTGGCCAGGCTGGTCTCGAACTCCTGACCTCAGGCGATCTGCCCGTCTTGGCCTCGCAAAGTGCTGGGAATACAGGTGTGAGCCACTGCGCCCGGCCTATTTTTAGTTTTATTAAAAATTAAACCATCGGCCGGGCACAGTGGCTCATGCCTGTAATCCCATCTCTTTGGGAGGCTGAGGCAGGCGGATCACAAGGTCAAGAGATTGAGACCTGGCTAACATGGTGAAACCCCATCTCTACTAAAAATACAAAAAATGAGCCAGGCGTGGTGGTGGGTGCCTGTAGTCCCAGCTACTCAGGAGGCTGACGCAGGAGAATGGTGTGAACCTGGGAGGTGGAGCTTGCAGTGAGCTGAGATTGCCCCACTGCACTCCAGCCTGGGCGAGAGCAAGACTCCGTCTCAAAAAAAAAAAAAAAAAAAAAAAAAAAAATTTAACCATCATCTATTTCCCATAGTGGCTGCATCATTTTACATTTCCAACAACAGTATACTAATATCCTAATTTTTCTGCACCTTCACTAACACTTGTTATTTTCTTTTTTTCTTTCTTTTTTTTTTAACTAGAAGCTATCCTAATGAGTGTGCTGGGATTTGCTATTTACGATAGGATTTTTTTTTTTTTTTTGAGGCAGAGTCTCACTCTGTCGCCCAGACTGGAGTGCAGTGGTGTGACCTTGGCTCACTGCAACCTCCACCTCCCAGGCTCAAGTGATTTTCCTGCCTTAGCCTCCCAAGTAGCTGGGATTACAGGTGCATGCCACCACGCCCGGCTACTTTTTGTATTTCTAGTAGAGACGGGGTTTCACCATGTTGACCAGGCTGGTCTCAAACTCCTGACCTAAAATGATCCACCCACCTCGGCCTCCCAAAGTGCTGGGATTACAAGCATAAGCCACCATGCTTGGCCTACAATAGGATTGATGAAGAAAAGAGTTCCAAAATGTGAATTCTATCCATCCATCCATCCATCCATCTATCCATCCAATTTCCATATACTTCTTCATCCTTTCATAGCACTAACCATCTACACATTCATTAATTTATTCACACACCCATCTAATCATCCACTTAGCCACCTTTCCAACTATCCTTCCCTCTACCTACCAAGCCCTCCATCTTGCACTGGCCTATCCATCTAATAAATATATACTAAGTATCTTTTATATGCCAGGCACATTGCTAGATGCTGTGGAATGAATAAAACACAGGTTCTACAAGATCCATCTTTGTAACAAGGAAAAGAATTAAAACTCTAATAATTAGAATCCAAGGTAGAGAGTAACAAGTGCCCCGAAACCTTCAGTTCTCTGTTCTCTGAGCCTGTTTCTTTTCTTTTCTTTTCTTTTCTTTTCTTTTTGAGACAGCGTTCCACTCTTATCGTCCAGGCTGTAGTGCAATGGTGCGATCTCTGCTCACTGCAACCTCCATCTCCTGGGTTCAAGTAATTCTCCTGACTCAGCCTCCTGAGTAGGTGGGATTACAGATGCCTGCCACCACGCCCAGCTAATTTTTTTTCTATTTTTAGTAGAGACAGGGTTTCAACATGTCGGCCAGGCTGATCTTGAACTCCTGATGTCAGTTGATCCACCTGCCTCGACCTCTGAGCCTGTTTCTACGTCTGAATAATTTTCAGGAGAGGCTGGGCTTCGGGAGCCCTAGTCTAGTGGTCTGTGATCTTCTGAGAAGGTTTTTTTCTTGGCCCCTCCTTTCCTGATTCCTCATCTTTCTTCTCTGTTTTGATCACACTTTTGCTCCCCTGGGAAGAGCCCAGGGCTTCAGGCTGGAGGTTCTGTTCTGAGGAGATAAGGTCAGCTGAATGACACTTAAGGCTTGACATTTTTTGTGGGGTTGTTTTGAATATGATTTTATTTTTATACTGGTGACGTACAGGTGTTAGTGACACCAAAAAAGTGAGTAAGACTAGGGATGTGTGGGTAGGACTTTGGCCCCAGATTAAGAACTGGTTTAGAGAGAGGAAATGAGAGATGAAGATGAATGGGTCATTTCTGGCTGGCTGGATGATAGTTGGATGGATAATGGTTCCATGATGAATGGATGGATGAAGGATAGATGGGTGGATGATGGGGGGATGAAGGATGGATGTAGGGTGGATGAAGAATGACAGGTGATGGGTAATGATGGTGGTCAGGTGGATAAAAGTACTCATTAAAATCTCTCAGTGTTGGCTGGGTGCAGTGGCTCATGCCTGTAATCCCAGCACTTTGGAAGGCCAAGGCGGGTGGGTCACAAGGTCAGGAGTTTGAGACCGGCCTGGCCAACATGGTGAAACCCCATTTATACTAAAAATACAAAAATTAGTTGGGCGGAGTGGCAGGCGCCTGTAGTCCCAGCTACTTGGGAGGCTGAGGCAGAAGAATCACTTGAACCCAGGAGGCGGAGGTTGCAGTGAGCCGAGATCGTGCCACTGCATTCCAGTCTGGGCGAAAGCATGAGACTCCATCTCAAAAAAATAAAATAAAAAATCTCTCAGCGTCACCACAGGTCTTACTGAAAGTTTTCATTAATCATCTTGTTTCTCAGAGGTGCTATGGTATAGTGGTAAGATTTCAGTCCTTGGGGTCAGATACAGGTGGGTTTGGGTCCTGATTCTATCAATATCTGCTGCAAAGGACTTAACTTCTCTGAGCCATAGATTCCTCCTATGCAAAAGATAGATTATACTGTAGTGGCCACCTCCTGAGTGCTAGGGTTAGGATTAAATGAGATAATGTGGATTGAACACTTAGCACAGTGTCTGGTATATAAAAAATATGCTAAAAGCTAACTTTTGTTGATCATTTAATCAAATAGCGATTGAGATCTACTGCCTGTTGGGTGCCTACCGGTCTGTAGAAATGAGGGTCCAGAGCCATGTCCAGATGTTATGCAAATGACATTATATTCTTTCGAGGAGCTGAGAGTCATGCTAAGGGGGCATATGGGTGACCCCTGAATGGATGGTCTGGGTGGCCCAGTGAAGGGACATAAAGAAATAAAGCAATTTGTTCTCGAAGAGTCATCCGGAAATGGGGTCCAAAGAGTCCAGGAGTGCTGACCTCTGCACTAGGAAGGATTCCTTGTATTGTGTTCTCACAGAGGGCTCTGTATTTGGAATATTTCTGCCTACCAGACAGTATTTATTACATAATTGCCTGAGCACCAAATCACAGGTAAAGGCGAGGTATCCATTGGGCCTTCTGAAACCTTAATTGTAGCTCGGGAGTCTCAGTTGCAGCCTTCAGGAGACCCCAGGTGGAATTCCAGAGTTTTTGTGAGCACAAAACCTCCTTGGGTGGCTTTAGATGCAGAGTCCCAGCTCCCCTTAGTGCTTCTGCTTCAGTGGGTCTCCAGCAGGATCCCACATTTACAGGCTTTTCCAGCCTCTCCAAGTGATGGATGATGGTGGACTGAGACCAGCTTTGGGAAATGCTGGCCTCAGGCTGGGACCACCACAGTGAGGTCATGGGTCTAATGTGGAGCTAGAACAGAGGTGGGGGTGCGGAGGAAAACAGAGCAATTGGGTGCCTCTTACCCCACACCTAAGGGGTGCATGCACTCAGGGTCCCTCCAGCCCTGGAATGGGAGTGGGTTCAAGGATGGGGGTTTGATGGCAGGATCCATTCGGCATTATACCAGGGCACTCCAACTTGGGCAGGAGAAGGCAAAAATGGGCAGAGCCAGAAGTGGGGCTGAAGCAGGGATCAATAACTGGAGAGGAATCATTTCACCAAATCCCAGAGCCCCAGGACAGCCTCCTCACTAAAGAGCAGAGCAAACTCTCCTACAGCGAGGAGAGTTTCGGGATCCTGTTAGCTCACTGCAAGATGAAAATGCAAATTAAGGCCAGACGCCTGTAATCCCAGCACTTTGGGAGGCCGAGGCGGGTGGATCACGAGGTCAGGAGATCGCGACCATCCTGGCTAACACAGTGAAAACCCGTCTCTACTAAAAAATAGAAAAAATTAGCCGGGCGTGGTGGCAGGCACCTGTAGTCCCAGCTACTCGGGAGGCTGAGGCAGGAGAATGGCGTGAACCCAGGAGGCGGAGCTGCAGTGAGCCAAGATCGTGCCACTGCACTCCAGCCTGGGCGACAGAGCCAGACTCCATCTCAAAAAAAAAAGAAAATGCAAATTAAGTTTTGTTTTGTTTTCGCTTCAGGTTTAGATAATTTTGCAGAGGAGAGTCTCAGAGGCTTTTTTTTTTTTTTTTTTTTTTGGAGACCGAGTCTGGCTCTATTGCCCAGGCGGGAATGCAGTGGCATGATCTCGGCTCACCACAACCTCCACCTCCCTAGGTTCAAGGGATTCTCCTGCCTCAGCCTCCTGAGTAGCTGGGATTACAGGCACCTGCCATCAGGCCCAGCTAATTTTTATATTTTTGTAGAGACGGGGTTTCACTATGTTGGCCAGGCTGGTCTCAAACTCCTGACCTTAGGTGATCTGCCCACCTTGGCTTCCCAAAGTGCTTGGATTACAGGCATAAGCCACCATGCCCGGCCTGAGAGGCTTCTTAAGAGGCTAGGATTCAGCTGGGCTCGGTGGCTCATGCCTGTAATCCAAGCATTTGGGGAGGCTGAGGTGGGAGGATCACTTGAGCCCAGGAGTTGGAGGCAACATAGTGAGATTCCATCTCAATTTAAAAAGAGATTTTTTTTTTTTGAGATGGAGTCTCACTCTGTCACCCAGGCTGGAGTGCAGTGGTGTGATCTTGGCTCACTGCAACCTCCGCCTCCCAGGTTCAAGCGATTCTCCTGCCTCAGCCTCCCATGTAGCTGGGATTACAGGCGCCTGCCATCACACCCAGCTAATTTTTGTATTTTCAGTAGAGACGGGGTTTCATCATGTTGGCCAGGTTGATCTCGGACTCCTGACCTCAGGTGATTCGCTCGCCTTGGCCTCCCAAAGTGCTGGGATTACAGGCGTGAGCCACTGCACCTGGCCTAGAAAGACATTTTTATTTTTAAAAAGAGGCAATCATTGATTCATTCATTCAGGAAATGTTTGTTGAGTGCCCACTCTACTTAGGCACTGGGAAGACGGAGGTGAACAAAACCAGTCCCTGCCCTCATGGTGCCATGCTTGGGCTTCAACTGCAGTGACAACATGGTCCCCTAAAGTTATTTCTCTGGGCCATTGACTAAGGTGGCCAGGAGCAGGGAGAACAAGAGGAAAGAAACATGTATTAAAAGCATTTGCTCTATGCTTGTTCAAGTGCTAATCCAGGCTTTTTTTTTTAGTTAAAAAAAATTTTTTGTAAGCCCCTCCCCCTGCACACTGAATACTTTTTTGTTAAGAGACAGGGTCTCAGCTGGGCGCAGTGGCTCAAGCCTGTAATCCCAGCACTTTGGGAGGCTGAGGTGGGCAGATCACGAGGTCAGGAGATCAAGACCAGCCTGGCCAATATAGTGAAACCCCATCTCTACTAAAAATACAAAAATTAGCTGGGCATGGTGGTACATGCCTGTATTACCAGCTACTTGGGAGGCTGAGGCAGGAGAATCACTTGAACCCGGGAGGTGGAGGTTGCAGTGAGCCGATATCGTGCCACTGCACTCCAGCTTGGGCAAGAGTGAGACTTCATCTCAGAGAAAAAAAAAAAAAAAAAAAAAGAGACAGGGTCTCACTCTGTCACCCAGGCTGGAGGCAGTGATGTAATCATAGCTCACTGCAGCCTCAAACTCCTGGGTTCAAACGATCTTTTCGTATCAGCCTCCCAAGTAGCTGGGACTAGAAGTGTGTGCCACCATGTCTGGCAAATTTTTAAACATTTTTTGTAGAGATAGGGTCTCACTATGTTGCCCAGGCCGGTCTCAAACTCCTGGGCTGAAGTGATCCTCCCTCTCCAGCCTCCTGGGTAGCTGGGATTATAGGTGTAACCACACTCAGTGGGAATCTAGGCTCTTTAGAATAAACTATTATTATTATTAATAATAATGATAATGATGAAGTTAATGTTTATCAAGGTCTGTCTTTGTGCCAAGTTCTAGTCTAAGCACTTTGCAAGCAATAGGTCATTTGCTTCTCAAAACAAGCCTGTGAGATGGGTGTAATTGTTAGCCCCATTTAACAGATGAGGACACAGGCTTGGAGAAATAGAATGACCTGCCCATTGTCACACAGTGGTAAATGGCAGAGCCAGAACTTGAGCCCAGCTCTGCCTTTCTCTCCTCTCTGCCATGTGGCTTCCTAAAGGTGGGAGTCTGGGTTGTCTGGACTGTGAGGCCAAATAATTATACATGTAGACAAGGCCTCAGTAACTACCCAGGTCTAAAAGCATTTCTGACTTTTAGAGTGGGGAATGAGAGGCTCCGGGAGAAAAAAATGTCTTGTCCATGGTCATACTGCAAAGCAGGTTTAGAAAGCGAGTACTCCGAGATCCAGTCCAGAACCAAAAATCATGATTATCTATTAGGGATGTGTGATTAGGTGTTTGTGTGAGAGAGAAAGAGAGATGCAGGCAGACATGTGTACACCTTTGTACACACGTACACACGCACGCATGGCTGGTGGTGGACTTGTCCCAGAGACACTGCCTGGACCTGGAGTCTCGTAGGCGCCCTCTTTGGCCCACATGAGACAGCCGATCTTGTCACTTTATTACCACGCTTCATTTTGGACCCCGAATTGCGCCCAGGAAGTCCCGCAGATGTGTGGCAGTTTTTGTTCCTGGAAAAGGTGTTCATGCTGAAGATCTTCCCCAGTTCCAAGACAGGGCTTTTGGTGGCATGGGGTTATTCCCCGGACTTCAGTCTCCTCCACCACAGACTCAAGGAACCCACAGGGGGTTTTCCAGGAAAGTCTCAGGTCCCAGGAACCTCACGGGAACACAGGTGCCACTGCTTAAGGTCATGGCTTTGAAGAGGAAGGGCCACCGTGTGCCTGGACAAGTTCTAGTGTGTGAGGAATGTCAGCCCTGTGACTCTGCTGTCACACCTTGGCCATGTGACAAGGCTGTGTGAGTGTGTGTGTGTGAGACAGAGAGAGAGACTGTGGGCAGCCAGGGAGCTCAGGAACCCGTGGGAGGTTTTTTTCTTTTCTTTTTTCTTTTTTTTTCTTTTTGAGACGGAGTCTCGCTCCGTCGCCCAGGCTGGAGTGCAGTGGCGCAATCTCGGCTCACTGCAGCCTCCGCCTCCTGGGTTCACACCATTCTCCTGCCTCAGCCTCCTGAGTAGCTGGGACTACAGGCACCCGCCACCACGCCCAGCTAATTTTTTTGTATTTTACTAGAGACGGGGTTTCACTGTGTTAGCCAGGATGGTCTTGATCTCCTGACCTCGTTATCCACCCACCTCGGCCTCCCAAAGTGCTGGGATTACAGGCGTGAGCCACTGCGCCCGGCCGAGTTTTTTTTTTTTTGAGGCAGAGTCTCACTCTGTCGCCAGGCTGGAGTGCAGTGGCGCAATCTCGGCTCACTGCTACCTCCACCTCTCGGGTTCAAGCGATTCTCCTGCCTCAGCCTCCTGAGTAGCTGGGATTACGGCACCTACCACCACGCCCAGCTAATATTTTGTATTTTAGTAGAGATGGGATTTCACCACGTTGGCCAGGATGGTCTCAATCTCCTGACCTCATGATCCGCCCGCCTCCGCCTCCCAAAATGCTGGGTTTACAGGCGTGAGCCACCGCGCGCGGCCCTGGCTGGGAGGTTTTAACAGGATAGGAGGGGAATCAACTTTCCCTGAGGGCCGGCTCTGGTGCGAGGTGTTTTACAAATGTGTACTCATTCGTATCTTCCCAATAACTGTGATCCCCATTTTACAGGCAACTCAACTGAGGTTAGAGAGGCCACATATGTGCCTGAGGTCACACAGCAAGTAAATGGCAGAGCCAGGATTAGACGCTCGGTCTGTGTGACTGCACAGGAATCAGGATGGAATTGCTGAGAACACGAGCTTTGCTTCAGCCCTGAGTCCTGGCTGTGACCCGGATGCTTTTGACCTTGGGCATGCTATGTAGCCGCTCGAAGCCTCAGTGTCCTCATCTATAAAATGCAGGCCTAGAGTAACCATGCAGGTGGCGAGGGTTAAACGAGATGGTTAGGCCCCATATGGCCTGGCAGTATTATTTAATGTTACTATAACCTTTTCCTGCCCTGCCCAACCCTGAGCTCACCCCATACTGCCTGGCTGTCCCCCACAGACCATTACTGGGACTTCCACCCCCACCACGTGCACAGCGAGTTCGAGAGCTTCGCCGAGAACAACTTCACGGAGCTCCAGAGCGTGCAGCCCCCGCAGCTGCAGCAGCTCTACCGCCACATGGAGCTGGAGCAGATGCACGTCCTCGATACCCCCATGGTGCCACCCCATCCCAGTCTTGGCCACCAGGTGCATGCCACCGCCTGCCCCGTCCCCCAGGAGACTGCCAGGCCTGTGGTGGGGCCCGGGAGCTTCACAGGAAGCTGACACAGGCTCTTACCCAACTCAGCTTCCTGCCCCACAGTGCCAACGGCGGCTGGAGCTCCAACGGCTGCCGCCTGACCCCCCAAGTGACCTCATGACCCCACACCCCTTATCTCATCTCACCCCGAGTATGGACAGACCCCAGATAATTCTCGCACCCTCACCAAGCCTCCCCATCCCAACGCCTTGTTGTGGGCCCTCCTGGGCCTCACTGTCTGCCACCCCCATTCACTAGCCCTCATGGATCCCACACCAAGTCACTGAACACCTCTACTGACCCTGCCTCTCCCCAGTGACCCTCCCTACTGACCCTAACCCGGATCAGTGACCTCTGCTGACCTCTACCACCCCTACTGACCTCCAGGGTCCCTCCACTCACTCATCATCCCACCTATGAAACCCCCTTCCAGACCCAACGCACCGGTCCCTAGCATGCCCTCTTCTGACCCCAGCCTAATGCGGGTCCACACAGCACCGCTGCAGGGAGGAGAACAAGGCACCACTTCCCCGGTGCCCACAGTCCTAAACCAGGAGGCCCAGCTGGGAGGGCTGGGTGGGCTGGATGTCAGCACCCCTCGCCCCACAGCCTGCACCCTATGTGCAGCACCTCAACTGGCCCCCCTTTTCCCTGGTCTTCTTCCTCCAGTCTCCTGTGCCTGCCATTGTCCCCTGCCCTCTGCACTCCTTCTCTCCCCAGCTGACCTCCCTCCCAGCCCCCCTGAGCTGTAAGCTGGCCCTTCCTGACTCTGATCTCCTTCCCCCACCGTCCAGGTCTCCTACCTGCCCCGGATGTGCCTCCAGTACCCATCCCTGTCCCCAGCCCAGCCCAGCTCAGATGAGGAGGAGGGCGAGCGGCAGAGCCCCCCACTGGAGGTGTCTGACGGCGAGGCGGATGGCCTGGAGCCCGGGCCTGGGCTCCTGCCTGGGGAGACAGGTGGGGCACCTGGCCCTCCACCCTGGCCCCGACCCTGGCCGTGTCTGTGCCCTGCCCCCACCCAGCCAGGCCAACTGACCCAGCAGCCACGCCACCGAGTCGCGTGTGTGTGTGTGTGCATGTTTGCCAGTGTGTGTGTTTTGTGGGGCTGTCTGTGGCTGTCTCTGTGTGTGTGTATCTGCTGTGTAGTGCATACGGGCATCTCCATGAAGTGTGCCAGGTGTGTGTGTCTCTCTGTGCCATGAGTGTGTGTACATCTGGGTGTGTGTGAGCAAGTGTGCAGAGGGTGCGTGTGCACAGGTACGGGCAGGTGCATGTGTGCGAGTGGCTGTGTGAGTGGGTGTGTGAGAAGGTGAATGTGAGAGCTGGTGTGGCTGAGAGTGGGTGTGGCCATGTTTGTGTGTCTGTCAACACATGAATGTATTTCAGTGCGTGTGAGCAGCTGTGCACGTATGATGTCAGTGGGTGTCAGCAGTGTGTGGGTGTGCCTGTGTGAGCAGGGATGTGAGCATGGTATATGTGAGTGGCTGTAAGCAGGCATGTGTGAGTGATATGTGTGAGTGGGGGTGTGACAGCAGGTGTGTGAGCAAGTGTATATGTGTGAATGTGTATGTAAGCAGGGATGTGTGTGATATAAGTGTGTGTGAATGGGCATAGGTGTGTGTCAGTGGATGTGTGAGTGGGTGTGAACATGTTTGAGGGTGTATGTAAGCAGGTGTGTGTGAGCAGGAAGGTGTGAGCTGGGGTGTGTGAGCATGTATGTGTATATGTGAGCAGGTCTGTGCATGTATGTGAGTGGATATGTGTTTTAACATGTGTAAGCATGTGTGTGTTCCCATGTGTGAGCAGGTGTGTGTGGGGGGTGAGGACGTGCTTAAGCACCTGCGTGTGTGAGCAGGTGTGCATGTGTGTGAACAGGTATGTGTATGTGTGAAAGCAGGTGTGTGAATGAGTGTGTGAGCATGAATGGGTGTGAGTGGGCCGGGCGTGGTGGCTCACGCCTGTATCCCAGCACTTTGGGAGGCTGAGGCAGGCGGATCACCTGAGGTCAGGTGTTCGAGACCAGCCTGGCCAACATGGCGAAACCCCGTCTCCACTAAAAATACAAAAATTAGTCAGGCGTGGTGGTGAACGCCTGTAATCCCAGCTACTTGGAAGGCTGAGACAGGAGAATTGCTTGAACCCGGGAGGTGGAGGTTGCAGTGAGCCGAGATCGTGCCATTGCACTCCAGCCTGGGCAACAAGAGCAACTCCATCTCAAAAACAAGAGAATGGGTGTGATGTGTGAGTGTGAGAGCAGGTGTGTGTGAGCATGCATGAGTGTGAGCTGCTGTGAGTGGATGTGAGAGCAGAATGTGTGTGAGCATTTGAGTGTGCAAGTAGGTGTCTGAGTGGTTGTGTGTGAACAGGCGTGTAAGCATGCAAGTGGATATGCATGAGCAGAATGTATGTGCATGCGTGAGCAGGTGTGAGGTGCAAGTGTAAGTGGTGTGAAATATGAGTGAGCAGGTGTCAATGAGGTGTGAAAGAGCTGGTGTGAGCGTGTGAGTGATAAGTGAGCAGCTGTGAGGTGTGAGCATGTATGTGAGCAGGTATGTGTGATGTGTGAGCATATGTGTGAGCATGTGTGTGTGCAGATATGTGTGGGCAGGTGTGTGTGAGTGGGTGTGAGATGTGAGCATGTGTGTGAGGTATGAGGTGTGAGCATGTGTGAGGTGTGAGCATGTGAGTGGGTGTGAATGTGTGAGGTGTTAGCATGTGTGAAGTGTTAGCATGTGTGTGAGCATGAGTTTGTAAGCATAAGTGTGTGTGAGACTTGGTGTGAGGTGTGTGAGGAAGTGTGTGTATGGATAGGTGAGCATGTGTGTGAGCAGACGTGAGCATGTGTGAGTGGGTGTGTGCGTGAGTGAATGGTGTGAGGTGTGTGAGCACAAGTGTGTGAGCAGGGGCGTGTGTGTGTAGCTGAGTAATGTGAGATGTGTGTGAGCAGGTGTGTGCGTGTGGGGCTGAGTAACGTGAGATGTGTGTAAGCAGGTGTGTGCGTGCAAGTGTGTGTGAGGTGTGGGTAGGTGCGATCATATGTGAGTGGATATGTGTGAGTGAATGGTGTGGTGTAAGCATGTGTGTGTGAGCAGGGGCATGTGTGTGCAAGGGTGAGCAATGTAAGGTGTGAGGGTGAGCAGTGTAAGATGTGTAAGCAGGTGTGTTTGTGCAAGCATGTGTAAGCAAGTATAAGCAGGTGTGATTATGAGACCTGGTGTGAGGTGTATGAGCAGGTGTGTGAACATGAGTGTGTGAACCTGGTGTGAGGTGTGTGTGAGCAGGTGTGAGTGGGCATATGAGTGTGAGAAGGTGCATTGGGTGTGACCGTGTGTGGGGGCAGTAAGTGGGTCTGAGTGTGTGTGCATGTGTGTGAGTGGGTGCATTGGGTGGGTGTGAGTGTGCATGTGAGTGGGTGTGAATGAGGTGTGAGCATGAGTGGGTGTGACCAGGTGTGTGTGAGTGGGTTGTGAATGTGTAAGCAGATGCAGTGTGGGTTTGAACATGTGGGTGGGTGCAAGCATGTGAGTGGGTGTGTCGTGTGGGTGCCAGTGTGTGGGGGCATGTTAGTGAATGAGTGTGTGAGCATGTGTGTGAGTGTGAGCTGGTGCATTGTGTGGGTGTGTGAGAAAGTGACAGTGTGTGAGGGCAGATGTGGGTGTGAATGTGCAAGTGGGTGGGTGTGGGTGCAATCTGGCGTTTGGGTGCATTGCACAAGCATGTGTGTGAGCATGTGGGTGTGAGTCTGTGAGCACGTGCATTGTGTGTGCATGTGTGTGACAGCATGTGTGTGATCAGATACATTGTACGTGTGAGCGTGTGTGGGTGTGAGCATGAGTGAGTGGTTGCATTGTGTTTAAGCATGAGTGTGAGTGGGTGTGAGAAGGTGCGTTGTGTGAGCACGTGTGTGAGTGGGTGTGGGCGTGATGTGTGAGCATGTGTAAGGAGGTGTGGGTGCGTTATGTGGATGTGAGCATGTGTGTGTACTTGGTGCACTGTGTGGGTGCGAGTGTGTGCGCGTGGGGGGGGTGAGTGCGTGGGTGTGAGTGGGTGTGTGTGAACGCCTGTGTGTGCGCAAGCATGTGTGTGTGTGTGAGTGTGGGTGCGTTGTGTATGCACGCCCGGCGCGGGCTGGGGCAGCCGTTCCCCTGCCCTTCCCGGCCACCCCGTCCCCGGGCCCCTGTGCGTACGCAAGGCGGTGGGGGCGGCTCCCATGTGGGCCCCGGGCCCCCTCCCACCGGGCCCTCCCCCCCGCAGGCAGCAAGAAGAAGATCCGCCTGTACCAGTTCCTGTTGGACCTGCTCCGCAGCGGCGACATGAAGGACAGCATCTGGTGGGTGGACAAGGACAAGGGCACCTTCCAGTTCTCGTCCAAGCACAAGGAGGCGCTGGCGCACCGCTGGGGCATCCAGAAGGGCAACCGCAAGAAGATGACCTACCAGAAGATGGCGCGCGCGCTGCGCAACTACGGCAAGACGGGCGAGGTCAAGAAGGTGAAGAAGAAGCTCACCTACCAGTTCAGCGGCGAAGTGCTGGGCCGCGGGGGCCTGGCCGAGCGGCGCCACCCGCCCCACTGAGCCCGCAGCCCCCGCCGGGCCCCGCCAGGCCTCCCCGCTGGCCATAGCATTAAGCCCTCGCCCGGCCCGGACACAGGGAGGACGCTCCCGGGGCCCAGAGGCAGGACTGTGGCGGGCCGGGCCTCGCCTCACCCGCCCCCTCCCCCCACTCCAGGCCCCCTCCACATCCCGCTTCGCCTCCCTCCAGGACTCCACCCCGGCTCCCGGACGCCAGCTGGGCGTCAGACCCCACCGGGGCAACCTTGCAGAGGACGACCCGGGGTACTGCCTTGGGAGTCTCAAGTCCGTATGTAAATCAGATCTCCCCTCTCACCCCTCCCACCCATTAACCTCCTCCCAAAAAACAAGTAAAGTTATTCTCAATCCATCCTCTTGCAGCACAGAGTCTCTTTTAAAATTTGTTGTGTATCTCTTTTGGCCCCTGTGTGCTGCGACGTCTCTTTTTGTCATTTGTCCATCGGGTGTTTACCGAGGACTGTACCCAATGCTGGACCCTGGGAACATGAGGACCAATGACACAGAGCGCCTGAACAGGAGTTAGAGTTTGGTGGAAAGAACAAGTCCTCAATTGTGATTAGGAGAGCAGATCCTATTTAAAAGCTCTCTACTCCTGATAGTTGTTGTTTTTAAGCCTTGATGAGGTTTGAACTCATGATGATGATGATGATGATGATGATGACCATGACCAGCAACAACATTTGATATTCTGGTCAATTAGTATCTGCCAACCTTGAGATGTGGAGTCTAATATCACTCCATTTTATAGAATGGGAAACTGAGGCTTGTAGAGGTCAAATTATTTCCCCAAGGTCACAGCCGTTGAGTGGCCAAGTTGGATCACACTCCAGGTCTGTCCCGACACGTCAACATGGAGTGGGAGGCCTTGCTTATCTGGAAGAGGATACTCTTCAGCATTCCGAGGACAGGAATTAAGCCCCAAAGCTCCTGTGGGCCGCAAAGGGTTCTCACGAGCTGCACGCCCAGCAGGACTTTAGACCCAAGTGAATCCCTGGTGGGACCCCCAGGTTCTATTTGCTTTCTAGCTCCTAGCCACAGCAGGGGAGAAACAGACCAAGCTGAGCGGAGAAGCCTGTAAGTCCTGTGTTTTCCTCCAGACGGTAGCAAGTAGTGGCAGTAGACAGCCTGGGAGTGAGGGACTTCCCAACGCTGTCAAAGACCTTAGGGAACCCAGATTCTGGGGCCATTATCGTAGGGACAAATACCCGCCCCACACCTCCTCAACCCCAGAGGGCTCACTGCAGCCCAACCCTGCAGCTCCCTAGTCCTACTGCAGGGCCACAAGAGAAGGCAAAATGGTGTTGTGTCTTCATTCTTCTATTTTTATTTTTTTTTTTTTGAGACAGGGTCTTACTTTGTTGCCCAGGCTGGAGTGCAGTGGCACGAACATGGCTCACTGCAGCCCTGACCCCCCGGGCTCAAGTGATTCTCCTGCCTCAGCCTCCCGAGCATCTGGGACTACAGGTGTGCGTCACATGCCTGACTGATTTTTGTATTTTTTGTACAGATGGGGTTTCATCATGTTGCCCAGGCTGGTCTCGAACTCCTGAGCTCAAGTGATCTGCCCGCCTCAGCCTCCCAAAGTGCTGGGATTACAGGTGTGAGCCACTTCGCCCAGCCCATTTTTATTTTTTTATTATTATTCTTTGAGATATTAATAATAAAAAATAATAATAAATAATATTTTTATTATTATTATCACTCTGTCACCCAGGCTGCAGTGCAGTGGTGCGATTTTGGCTCACTGCAGCCCGGAACTCCTTGGACTCAAGCGATCCTCCCACCTCAGCCTCCTGGGTAGCTGATACTACAGGTCCACACCACCACACCTGGCTAATTTGTGTGTGTGTGTGTATTTATTTTATTTTTTATTTTTTTAGTAGAGATGGGGTTTTGCCATGTTGCCCAGGCTGGTCTCAAACTCCTGGCCTCAAATAATCTGCCTGCCTCGGCCTCCCAAAGTGCTGGGATTACAGATGAGCCACCACACCCGGCCTAACATTTTTAAAATTATAAACCCACTTCATACGTGTGACAATCCTGTGCAGTGGGTGCTGCTTTCACCCACCCCGCTTTACAGATGAGGAAACCAGGTGCTTTGAGATTAAAGAGATGGCAGTGCTAGGACTCAGAGACACCCTGGCCCCAGGGTCTGTGGACATGACCACTGCCTGAACTGCCTGCGAGGATGCTCCTGACCCGTTAGCCTTAGGGTTATGGGCCCAGCATGCTCCCACCGTACAATTTGCTGTAAGAGGGACACACACGGGGCTTGGAGTACCCCTGAGGCTTGCCAAAGGTTGGGGAGGCAGAATTGTGCTGCGGGGGGTGAGGGGGGAAGGGACAGGAGCCAGCCAGGGACAATGTGGCCCTACCTTCTCCCTGGAGAGACCTCAGCTCTCTGGAATTCATCTATATTTAGCAGGTGGCTGGACAGGAGGCAGATAAGCAGAGCCTGGGGAGGGGGGAGGTCCCCATATATAGTGGGAAGGACAGGACCCCACTCAGTCCCTCTTTGGGTGACCTGTGCCTGCTTCGTGCCTGGTGTGACGTCTCTCAGGATGCCTGAGCCGGGGAAGAAGCCAGGTAGCTTTAGGACTGGGGTTGGGTCTAAGTGTGGGAGCAGGGGGGTGTCTACAATTGGGGAGCAGGGCTAGGAGGGAGTTCTTGAGGGGGTTGACGAGGACGTGGCCTCTGAGCCCCAGGACAGGGGCAGCCAGTCCTCCAGGGTCCTTTTTTGATTCTCGGTTTCTTTTTCCCATCCCTCTGATGAGAGGTGAAGGTAAACCCAAGGTCAGGGACGCAGAGAGGGGACACAGCCAAGACAGGAAGCACCCGGGGTCAACCCATTCTGAGAATGCAAAGGGACCCCTTCCCTGTCCCATTGCCTTCACCTTCCACAGCAAGGTTCCCCGCGGACAGAGCCCACGTTTAGTATGGAGCTGAGCCAGGCTCACGGCATGCCTTCAGACCAGTCTCTACCCACTATGGGTCTCAGTCTCCCAACCTGGGGTGCCGGGGGTGGTGGTGGCATTGGGTTGGTTCCTCCTGGCTGTGACATTATCTGCTTCATGAGCCTGTACGGTGTGGCCCCCATGTTGAGGGTGACACAGCCCCTCTTCTCTGAGAGAGGACAGTCAGGAGCCCCTGAACCCAGGCCAAGGGCAGGGAAAATCACAGCCCAGGGACCTGGGCCTGGGCTGTGCCCTTATGAAGGTTGTCCAGGGCAGAGATCCAGGTCCCCATCCCCCAGCGCCCTCCCAGGCCAGCTTTATCTCAGTTGCTGATACCCAGCCTGAGGTCCTTGGAGGACAAATTTGGCCACATTCCAAGTAGGCAGACTTCCCCGCCCCCTGCCAAGGGCCCGAAATGGTTGGGGGAAAGGGAGCTGGGTTCATCACGGGTGTCTCCAAGCAGGGAAAGTGGACACATGCAGAAAAAGTCTTGTTGGGAGGTCAGGACCACAGCCCTGGCTCTCCCGACTGCTAGCTGTGTGATCTTGGAGGAGCCGCTTAGCTTCTCTGAGCCTCAGTGTCCTCCTCTGAGAAATGAACAGAATAACTGCAACTACCTCAGAGAACTGGTAGAGTATTACGTGAGGGGATGCATAGAAAGTGCTAGCACAGTATTTACTGAGAGGGGCTGCAGGGGCGGGGTGCACGCTCCAACCAGGGGCCGCTGTAGCCTCCACCTGGCCCTTCAGTCTCAGCTTTTAGCAAGAAGCCACGGTCAGTGGAAGTGGCCGCAGGCAGCCCTGCCGTGTTCGAGGCCGAGACAGAGCGGGCAGGAGTGAAGGTGCGCTGGCAGCGCGGAGGCAGTGACATCAGCGCCAGCAACAAGTACGGCCTGGCCACAGAGGGCACACGGCATACGCTGACAGTGCGGGAAGTGGGCCCTGCCGACCAGGGATCTTACGCAGTCATTGCTGGCTCCTCCAAGGTCAAGTTCGACCTCAAGGTCATAGAGGCAGGTAAGATCCTGATCAGCCTTCCCTGAGGTTTGGGCTGCTGGGGGAGGGGCAGCCCAGCGACTCTCCATCCATCCAGGGAACAGGAGGTGCTTTCACACTTTCTTGCCTTTGCTGTGGCTGTGCCCCCCGCCAGGAACGCCCTTTCCCCCTTTTCTGCACATGACCTCTCTGAGTACCCCCATGTGCCATCCTGGCTTGTTCCAGCCATGGGGTAGGTGGGAGAGATGAACAAGACACAACCCCACTCTCCCCCTGCAGACCTCCCTGGGGAGATGACCCTGCACAGACGGCCGGGAAGCCCCAGGAGCTGTGGATGAGGGGAGTGCAGCCCAGTCTGAGGGGCTGCTCTAAGGCTGGGGCAGAGCAGGGATGGACCTGGAGCTGTTCAGGGCAGATGCAGAGGACATGGGAACTGATGGCCTGGGACGGGGAGGAGAATGTGAGAGGCAGGCTGGCTCTCCAGCTCAGCATGAGCTGCCTCTGAGGGGCCCAGGCAGCGGGAGGACAGCCATGGCAGACTTTCCTCATCCACAGCGGGCTCATGGGTCCAATGCTCAGGAGAGAGAGGGTGGAGGGGTCTCTGGTTAGTGGCTGCACCACGACTCCCATCTGATCCCCTCCAGAGAAGGCAGAGCCCATGCTGGCCCCTGCCCCTGCCCCTGCTGAGGCCACTGGAGCCCCTGGAGAAGCCCCGGCCCCAGCCGCTGAGCTGGGAGAAAGTGCCCCAAGTCCCAAAGGTGAGAGGGGCTGGGCAGGGAGGGGCAGGATCCGTGGGTAGGGCGTGTCCAGGGCAGGTCTCAAAAGCCTTTGCTGGGCCAGGTGCGGTGGCTCAGGCCTATAATCCCCAGTACTTTGGGAGGCCGAGGTGGGCGGATCATGAGGTCAGGAGATTGAGACCATCCTGGCTAACATGATGAAACCCCATCTCTACTAAAAATACAAAAAAATTAGCCGGGCGTGGTGGCGGGCACCTGCGGTCCCAGCTAACTTGGGAGGCTGAGGCAGGAGAATGGTGTGAACCTGGGAGGCGGAGCTTGCAGTGAGCCGAGATTGTGCCTCTGCACTCCAGCCTGGGTGACAGAGCAAGACTCCATCTCAAACAAACAGAAAAAGCCTTTGCTCACAGGGTCAAGCTCAGCAGCTCTCAATGGTCCTACCCCTGGAGCCCCCGATGACCCCATTGGCCTCTTCGTGATGCGGCCACAGGATGGCGAGGTGACCGTGGGTGAGTGTGAGCTGCTGTGCCCAGCATTGGGGTGGGAAGGGGGGGCAGCAGGACACTCCCCAAGCCGGGCCTGTCGCCCCTGCCTTTGCAGGTGGCAGCATCACCTTCTCAGCCCGCGTGGCCGGCGCCAGCCTCCTGAAGCCGCCTGTGGTCAAGTGGTTCAAGGGCAAATGGGTGGACCTGAGCAGCAAGGTGGGCCAGCACCTGCAGCTGCACGACAGCTACGACCGCGCCAGCAAGGTGGGTCCACCGGGGTCGTGGAGACACGGAGAGAGGGGACATGGAGAGCCCTAGAAGGCACAAGGCACACAGAGGGCACCATGAGACCCAGAGGCACACACGAGCTGCAAGCAAGGGGTGTGGGGAATCTGGGAGGCAGGTGGAGGGGCCAGGGGCCCACAGGGAGATCCCGGAGGCCTGGGGGCCAGGGAGTGCGATGAGGCTCATGGGAGCACTGTCGGGGACCTGGGAGACTTGGTGGACATGATCACCTCAAGGGGGCACCTAATAAGGTTTGGCCGGGGGTGGGGGGTCGCCCAGGGTGGTCAGGAAGCCTGGAGGACACTGTGAAGCATGGGGGCACCAGCTAGTGGGGTTGTAAAGCCCCTGGATGGGTGAGTATCAGGGCTAAGGGCTCAAGGGACTCTCAGGGATTAACCAGAACAATTCCTCATTATACAGACACGGAAACCAAAGCTTGAGAGGTTAAGTGGCTGCTCCAAGGTCACTTAGACATAGGCCTAGAACCTTAAGCCTTCGTTTTTTGTGTTTTGTTTTTTTCCGCCCTGCCCACCAGAACCTTAAGGCTTAAGTCCCCTTGTTTGTTCACTCCAAGCCTCTGCTTTTCCCAACCTTCCCCAGTCCTGGGCTAGGCAAGGGGGCCTCTAGCAAGAGAGGCCAACATGTTCTGCTGTGCGGGGCTGTGCATTGCACAAAAGCCTGTATTTCACCACAACCATGTGCCAGCAGATGGCAATCATGGGTTTCGAGATAGTCCCCTTTCTCTGTACAAAAACTCTGTATGGGTTAACTAAAGCCTGAGGGTGCGAAGATCGATGAGCATTTGTCACTCCCAGCCTCCTTTAAATATATATATATATATATAATTTGAGACAGGGTCTCGCTCTGTCGCTCAGGCTGGAGTGCAGTGGCTCAATCTCGGCTCACTGCAACCTCCACCTCCTGGGTTCAAGCGATTCTCCCACCTCAGCCTCCCGAGTAGCTGAAACTAGAGGTGTGCACCACCATACTTGGCTAATTTTCGTTATTTTTAGTAGAGACGGAATTTCACCACGTTGGCCAGGCTGGTCTGGAGCTCCTGGTCTTATGTGATCCGCCCGCCTCAGCCTCCCAAAGTGGGGATTACAGGCCTGAGCCACCGCGCCCGGCCACTCCCAGTCTCCTTTAAGGGTGCGGAGCCTTGTCTCCCGGCCCCTGGTGTCCCCTGACGCCCCGTCCCTCCATGCACACAGGTCTATCTGTTCGAGCTGCACATCACCGATGCCCAGCCTGCCTTCACTGGCAGCTACCGCTGTGAGGTGTCCACCAAGGACAAATTTGACTGCTCCAACTTCAATCTCACTGTCCACGGTGAGGGGGCCCTGGTGTCTGTCCTGGGCTCGGGCTCCCCATGGGTCCTGGTCTCCTACCTCCTTTTCCCAACACTAAGGAGGATGCCTCGTCCCATCCAGACATGAGTGCTGGCCACGTGCCCAGTGCTGCACACACAGGGTGTGAGAGAAACCCCAAGGCTTGCAGGGTAGGCGTGGGGGCTTAGGGCTGAGTCCGGGTCTCATCTGGGTGGGACTCTGTTTTATCATCTTGGTGTCACGGCTCCTGGCCCATGGCCTGGCACTGTCTGAATGTTTGGGCGATGGGTGAAGGTGAGTTGAGAGATGGGTGGGAATTGGGGACAATAAACCGTCCCACCTGCCTGGTACCTTGACCCTGGGAAAGGCTGGGAAGGTGAGATCCTGGGGCAGATGCCCAGCCTCATGGGGTCATGAATGGGCAAGTCTGTGAATACTCAGAGGCCGCCCCCAGGGCAGGGCTTCTCAAACGGCCCCCTCTGAAGCCCCTTCCCCCATCTCTCCACCCTTTGAACCCAGAGGCCATGGGCACCGGAGACCTGGACCTCCTATCAGCCTTCCGCCGCACGTGAGTGGCCATCCTCAGGGCCTGGGGGAGGCCAGTGCTGGAGTCTGAGGCCCTTCAGGGTCTCGACTGGGGGTCAGGGCTGGGGATGATTTGCGGGGCGGAGCTGAAGTCAGTGGGGGCTGCAGGGGAGAGCAAGCTTCCCAGGCAGGTGAGGATACTGAGTCTAACCCCCACAGGAGCCTGGCTGGAGGTGGTCGGCGGATCAGGTACCCCTGCCCCAGGCCCTACCTGCACCATCCGCAGACCCCCAGGGGTCTGAGACGGGTGGGAGCCCAATCTGGCTAGTGTCCCTTTCTCCCTCCCCACTCCACTCCCATCCTGCTCCTAATCCCTTTCCAGTCCCTCACTGCAGCCTCACTGGGGGTCCCTCTCCATAGTGATAGCCATGAGGACACTGGGATTCTGGACTTCAGCTCACTGCTGAAAAAGAGGTGAGTCCTGGGTGGCAGTTCCTGGGGCAGCTGGTGAGGCCTGGCTCCAAATCCCAGCACTGTGGTTTGCCAGCTGTGTGACCCTGAGCACAACACTGCACCTCTCTGAGTTGGTTTCCTTGTCTGTCGAGGGGATGATCCCAGTGTGGAAGGAGTTAAAGGGCTCTGCAGACATTATGTCCCGTCAACAGTCATCCTCACAGTGTCCCCCACGGCCACTCCACACTTGAGGCTGCAAAAGCTCCCTCCGTAAACTCCGGGGACCCAGAAGGAACAGAGAGAGGGTCCCCAGAGCTGCAGGGTCTACCAGGTCGGCCCAACTGACTTATGTTCTCTCTGCCCTCTCTCTCCCTCTCCCCCGGCCCCTCCATTATGGCTGCTGCTGCTGTGGCCCAGAGAGTAAGAATCGGGGTCTGGGTGTTTGGGGGCGGCAGGGCGCTGGTGGGTGCAGAGGGGATTCCCGTCCCCTCTCTGAGAGGCTGTGGTGAGAGACTCAGAGCAGGGTGCGGCTCCCCACGGACAGGGGTGAGTCTCTGTGCCTTGGGCTTCTCCTGCCACCCACCTATCTGTCAGAGCTTAGGAGGGATAAGAAAAAGTAATGCACACAGGAGGTCCTGCCAGAGCCTCCGGAGCAGCATGGGTGCCCCACAACACAGGGAGTGCAAGTGCGGAAAATAGGGAGGAAGTAAAGGCCCATGGGTGGGGTCCAGGTCTTTGAGGGAAGGTGGCCATACCTCTCATGTGCCACCTACCCTTTCTCCCACCCCCACCCCTGGAGCAGCAGTTTCCGGACCCCGAGGTGAGTGCCCAACATAGCACAGCACCCTCATCACCCCTAATTCTGCCAGGAGCCCCTCCAGATCCCCAGCCCCTCTTCAGCTCCCTTGGCCCCCAGTCCTGCCTGGCCTGGGACCCAGAGCAGCTCCAGCTGCCCCACCAGAAGGGAAGGGGCAGAGGGACAGGGGTGGCTACAGCTCCTTGGTCCTGGGCCCAGGAAGCCCCGCCCAGGGGGCTGCAGTCTTGCCCCCGGCCACAGCCTAGACTGCGGGACACAGGGACTCGAAGCTGGAGGCACCAGCAGAGGAGGACGTGTGGGAGATCCTACGGCAGGCACCCCCATCTGAGTACGAGCGCATCGCCTTCCAGTACGGCGTCACTGACCTGCGCGGCATGCTAAAGAGGCTCAAGGGCATGAGGCGCGATGAGAAGAAGAGCACAGGTTAGCCCTTCCTCAGAGGGGAGAGGAGAGGGCACAGGCTAGCCCTTCCCTACACAGGAGAGGAGAGGGCATAGGTTAGCCCTTCCCCACAGGGGAGAGGAGAGGGCACAGGTTAGCCCCCCACCTCGTCCACATACATGGAAAGAGCGGAGTCCGGCTTAGCACAGAGACTCACAGGAAAGAAGAGCCCAGGTTAACCCCTCCTTGTGTAGAAAAAGCCAAGAATGCCCAGGTTAGCCCCTTACCACAGAGATAGAAGAGAAGAGCAAAAGTTAGGCCAGGACAGCCACAAGGAAAAGGACAGAGCTCAGGTTAACCCTCCTCACCAAGGAAAAATCAGGCTACACTTTCTTTCTCTACCCTCTTCTGAAAAGAAATGAAGCCCGGTTAACCCTCTCCACACCCAAAAGAAAAGGGAAGAGGCCCGCTAAGCCTGGAGAGCCACACACAGGCAAAGAAAAGAGCCTGGCTAATCTTTCTCTCAGGCAAACAAAGCAGGAGGGCTTGGGTTAACTACCCTCACCCCCAGGCAGATGGAAAGAGGAGAGCCCAGGAATAGCCCTTCTCCACTGAGGGGTTGACAAGGGCGGGTGTGAGCCGGGAAAGCAGGGGTCTCACATGCCTTCTCCCCACCATGTCTGGGTCTAGCACAGGGCCTGGCACACACCTCGAGCGCTCTATAAACACCGACTGAATGGAGGGGTCAGCTTCCATGCAGGATATGGGAGACAAGCCCCTCCCAAAGCACACACACAAAACACACACGATCATGGGGACGGGGAGAGGAGCTGGTTAGTCCCTCCCTGCTGACCTCCCCCAGGCCCCTTATCCCTCTGCCCTGCCTCCCTGTTGTCTCAGCCTCACTGGGTTTCCCATCACCCCATCGCTAGGTGGCCTGGCCCTTACCGGCACCGTGGCCCCATTTAAGCCAGGGATCCCCTGAATGCCACCAATGTTCCTCTGGGTTAACTCCTGAACTGCTGAGCCCAGAGGGCACCAAGCAAAGGACTGTAGGTGCCCAAGGAGGAAAAGATGGAGGCTGGCAAGGCAGATGGGGACCTCCGAGGGTAGGGGTGTCTTCCAGGAATAGCAACAACAGTAAAAAGAGCAAATTGCTGGCCAGGTGCAGTGGCTCACGCCTGTAATCCCAGCACTTTGGGAGGCCGAGGCAGGTGGATCACCTGAGGTTAGGCGTTCAAGACCAGCCTGACCAACATGGTGAAACCCCGTCTCTACTAAAAATACAAAATTACCTGGGCATGGTGGCAGGCGCCTGTAATCCCAGCTACTCCGGAGGCTGAGGCAGGAGAATCACTTGAACCCGGGAGGCAGAGGTTGCAGTGAGTCAGGATTGTGCCATTGCACTCCAACCTGGGTGACAGAATGAGACTCCATCTCAAAAAAAGTGAGTGAGTTCCTTCCTAAGCCAGCCACTAGGTGCTTTATGTAATTATCTCATTTAATTCTCGAAACAACACTATGATGGAAGGACTATTACCATTTCCATGTTACTGAGGAAACCGAGGCACAGAGGGTTTAAGGAACTAGCGCAAGGTCACAGAGCACCCAGCAGTAGATCTCTGCCCCTCCGCAGCTGACTCCAGGCCCAGCCAGAGTATTTGAGGACTCAGGGGTCCTTCTCTGCTCGGTGGATGGAGCCCCCACTTCCTCCCTGGGCTCAGCAGCAGCAACATGGGCTTTTACAAACACGGCCGCAAGAGGAGGCATTGTTGTGGAGCAGGGCTGGGCTCAAGACCCAGCTCTGCCACACACCTGCTGGGCTGGTGGCATTGGGCCAGTCGCCTCTCTGAGCCCTATTTCCCCCACTGCAGCAGCATGGGGACCACCGCACTGGCCCTGGGGGCTGAGATGGGAGTGAGAGTGCTGGGCACAGAGGGCTGCTAGGTGGGAGCGCCTGGGAAGAGTACACAACTCAGGGGTTGCTGAGAGAAGAGAAGGCACAGCTGTCCCAGCCCCAGTTCTCCTGACAAGCTTCTGTCTTTCTGGAAGCCCCTAACCCAATCCCTGAGCTGAGCAGGTGGAGAGGACCCCAAGGAAGACAGAAGGACAAGGTCAGACAGACAGAGACAAGGAGGTGGGTTGACACATAGACACAGATAAAGAAATGAAGACACCATGCCTGTAATCCCAGCACTTTGGGAGGCTGAGGCGGGCGCATCACCTGAGGTCAGGATTTCAAGACCAGCCCGGCCAACATGGTAAAACCCCGTCTCTACTAAAAATACAAAAATTAGCTGGGCGTGGTGGCACATGCCTGTAATCCCAGCTACTCGGGAGGCCGAGGCAGGAGAATCACTTGAACCTGGGAGGCAGAGGTTGCAGTGAGCCAAGATGGCGCCATTGCACTCCAGCCTGGCCAACAGAGCAAGACTCTGTCCAAAAAACAAACAAACAGACAAACAAACAAAACAAAAAGAAATAGAGACACAGAGAAGTGGAAGCGGGGCGGCACAGAGGGGATTGGAGGGGGGGACCTGGGCCCCAGCCACAGCCACAGTAGCTTGGCCTGGGGGAGCAGGGTGCGGGCGGTGGGGTGGCCGGGGCTGAGGGGTGGTGCTCAGCCTTTCAGAAGAAGCTGGAGCCGGCCTACCAGGTGAGCAAAGGCCACAAGATCCGGCTGACCGTGGAACTGGCTGACCATGACGCTGAGGTCAAATGGCTCAAGAATGGCCAGGAGATCCAGATGAGCGGCAGGTGCAGCCTGGGGTGGGGAGGGGGGCTCGGGTGGAGGTGGGGACCCCCATAGCCTTGCCTCCTGCCCCTCTCCACATGCGTATCTCTGACTCGGTGTGGCTCTCAGCCCCATCTCTCTGGGCCTAATTTCCCATCCTTTTGCTCCTGCCGGTCCCTCTCTCTCTCTCCTTTTGTCTCGGGCTCACTTCCTCCCGTCGGGAACACTTCAACGGCCCCTTCTGTTCTACAGCAAGTAAGTTCCCCTCTGGATGGCTTGGGGTGGGGGGCACAGGGATTATCATGGGGCGCACTGGGCCCGGAGGGGTGTCCGCAGCTTTCCTGCCACTTCCCTGCGGCCCCCACCCAGGTACATCTTTGAGTCCATCGGTGCCAAGCGTACCCTGACCATCAGCCAGTGCTCATTGGCGGACGACGCAGCCTACCAGTGCGTGGTGGGTGGCGAGAAGTGTAGCACGGAGCTCTTTGTGAAAGGTGGGCCTGGGACCTGAGGATGTGGGAACCTGGGGAGGAGATGGCCTCAGGGGAGCCAACCCTCATGCTCACCCTGCCTGGACAGAGCCCCCTGTGCTCATCACGCGCCCCTTGGAGGACCAGCTGGTGATGGTGGGGCAGCGGGTGGAGTTTGAGTGTGAAGTATCGGAGGAGGGGGCGCAAGTCAAATGGTGAGTTCCAGAAGCACGGGGCATGGGTGTTGGGGGCATCTGCCCAGAAGAGGCCACAGCACTTGCCACCCACCCACCCGGCTAGGCTGAAGGACGGGGTGGAGCTGACCCGGGAGGAGACCTTCAAATACCGGTTCAAGAAGGACGGGCAGAGACACCACCTGATCATCAACGAGGCCATGCTGGAGGACGCGGGGCACTATGCACTGTGCACTAGCGGGGGCCAGGCGCTGGCTGAGCTCATTGTGCAGGGTGAGCCTGGCTGGGGGGGCACATGAGGCTTTAGGGCTTGGACCCCTCAGCCCCCACCCCACCTAGCCCTGTAGGGGAGCAGGCAAACCTGGGCTCAAGGCCTCTGTGACCTTGGGCCTTTGACAGCCTAAACCTCATCCTTCTCATCTCTAAAATGACGATGCTGAGGTGACCGCTCCAGAGGGTACTGAGAGGGTCATACGGGCCTGGTGAGCATCACCACCCCTCAGACACTTGAGGTTCCTTATGTGCACTGCACCATCACAGGCAAACATGGCACACACAGGCACACGTGTTTTCACATGCCCACATGCACCCAGACACGTGCGCACCAGCGCCCATGGGCCCACACGCCCTCCACAGGGATTCACGCCACACCCACACACCCTCCCGAGCTCAATGGCTCTGCCCTGCCCTGCAGAAAAGAAGCTGGAGGTGTACCAGAGCATCGCAGACCTGATGGTGGGCGCAAAGGACCAGGCGGTGTTCAAATGTGAGGTCTCAGATGAGAATGTTCGGGGTGTGTGGCTGAAGAATGGGAAGGAGCTGGTGCCCGACAGCCGCATAAAGGTGTCCCACATCGGGCGGTGAGTGTGCAGGGCAGGTGGATGGGACAGGTGGAGACTGAGATGGAGACAGAGAGAGACACAGGGAGAAACAGAGAGAGAGAGATAAAGACAGGTGGACAGAGAGGCAGATGCACAGAGACAGGACAGAGACTGAGACAGAGACCCACAGAGAGGGAGAAACAGACAGACCCAAAAAGACAAAGAGACAGAAAGACAGAAATAGTTCTATAGAGACAGAAAGATATGCACAGGGAGGCACACACATAGGAGAGTTCGTCAGAGACAGAGAAGAACAGAGGGACAGAGACAAAGAGGCAGCAGGGAGAGACACGGACGGGGTCGAGCGCTCCCCAGCACCCTCCCCCAGCTTGTGACCAGGGCAGGGCAGGAGGCCACCAAGGAGGCCGGCTCTGGCCAGAGGCCCTCACTGCCTCTCCCGCCCTCTTGCTCATCCCTGGAGCAACTGGGCTGGCCGTGCTGGGCCCAAGTTCACAGAGATTAATGAGACCCAGCCCCTGCCCAGTCTCCAAGGGCCCAGCCAAGGAGATGCTTTGATGTAGAAATCACTTTTACGCTGCCTACCTCTGAAGGCACATTAAAAAGCTGGAAAATTAGATAATATAGAAAAAAAAAGGCATTTTTAAAAATCAGAATACCAACAAGCCAGGACAAGGTGAGGGCCTCCTGGGACCCTGGCTGGGGTATCTGGCAAGGCCAGGGGTGTGTGGCCCAGTGGGGTCCCCTGAGCCACTGCTCCCCTGCAGGGTCCACAAACTGACCATTGACGACGTCACACCTGCCGACGAGGCTGACTACAGCTTTGTGCCCGAGGGCTTCGCCTGCAACCTGTCAGCCAAGCTCCACTTCATGGGTGAGCCTGCTCCAGGGTAGGGTGGGTCGGGGCAGTGGGGCCAGGAGCCCCTGTCACTGGGCCCTGCCTTTGCCCCCGTGCTACTTGCTCTTCCTTCTCTTGCAGAGGTCAAGATTGACTTCGTACCCAGGCAGGGTAAGTCTTGGGGCCCCTGAGTCTTGGTTCTGCTCACTTTCCCGCAACCCACCCACGCAGGCCTCCCCTCCACTCACAGAGGGAAGAGCAAGGATCAAAAGTGGGGGTCCTGGGGCCCAGCTTCAGCTTTGCCACTCATGACCATGGGTCAATTATAATCTCTGTGAGCCTCAGTTTCCTCTTCTCTAAAATGGGAACCCTGATAGTGCCACCTCATAGGATAGTTATAAAGATGAGGTGACATGATGTATCAGACCTGTCAAGTGCTGTCACATGTGTGACTGTTATTATTACATCTTTTCTTCTTCTTCCTTTTTTTTTATTTTTATTTTTTTTGAGACGGAGTCTCCCTCTGTCGCCCACGCTGGAGAGAAGTGGCGCGATCTCGGCTCACTGCAAGCTCCGCCTCCCAGGTTCACACCACTCTCCTGCCTCAGCCTCCTGAGTAGCTGGGACTACAGGCGCCCGCCACCATGCCCAGCTAATTATTTTTTGTATTTTTAGTAGAGACGGGGTTTCACCATGTTAGCCAGGATGGTTTCGATCTCCTGATCTCATGATCTGCCTGCCTCGGCCTCCCAAAGTGCTGGGATTACAGGCGTGAGCCACTGCGTCCAGACTGCTTTGCTTTGTTTAACTGAGGGCAGATTCCTGATTTATTTGGCCAGGGAACCTTTTTAATGTGTGCATGTGTGCGTGCATGTGTGCGCGCGTGTGTGTGTGTGCATGTGTCTGTGTGTGTATGTATATATGTGTGTCTGTGTCTGTGTGTGTGCGTGTATGTATGTGTATTTGTGTCTGTGTGCATGTGTGTGTCTGTGTGTGCATGTGTGTATGTGTATGTGTGTCTGTGTGTATGTGTATATGCGTGTGTGTGTGTGTATTGTGTGTGTGTGTATGTGTGTGGCAAGACACTGATGTTCCCCCAGTTTTCAAAATGCTATGCTAGGTGACCTGACCTGAATATTACAAGCCTCCCAGCCAACGTCCTGGGGTGATGGGAATGTTCCAGATCTTGGTTGGATTAATAATTGCATGGGTGTATTCATCTGTCAGAACTCAGCCTACTGTCAGATCTGAGCATAAACTATACCTCAATACAAATCTAAAAAACCAATAACCAGGGGCCCAGGCTCTTGAGCAGCCCCGCCCCAGTGACCTGTGCTCCTCCTGGCTCTCCCGTTTCTCTGAACTACATTGTGTCTTCTGCAGAACCTCCCAAGATCCACCTGGACTGCCCAGGCCGCATACCAGACACCATTGTGGTTGTAGCTGGAAATAAGCTACGTCTGGACGTCCCTATCTCTGGGGACCCTGCTCCCACTGTGATCTGGCAGAAGGCTATCACGCAGGTACTGTGGGTCCCTCCTCAGTCTCCCCATCTATAAGATGGGTGTGTGGAACCAGCCAAGTGCTAGGACCTGCTGCACACCCCACCCACATGTGCACGCCCTGCTGTTGGCTACCCCATGGGAGAGACTGGTCAGGGGGCAGGCAAGGTGGGCAGTGTGGGTCAGGGGGTGGAAGAAGCAGCAGAGGGGCGCTTCCAGGCTGAGTCAGCTCCTCTGCTCCCTACTTCCCTCCTGCCCTGTTCCCAGGGGAATAAGGCCCCAGCCAGGCCAGCCCCAGATGCCCCAGAGGACACAGGTGACAGCGATGAGTGGGTGTTTGACAAGAAGGTGAGTGAGACTGAGGTCAGGAGGAGGCTCGTTTGTCTTTCATCACTTTCTACCTACGTGGTGCCGAGCCCTTGGCGAGGTCTCCATGGAGGTGCCACACTTGGCCGGGTGTGTTGCTGCCCCCAGCAGGGTCCCTGTGGGGCCCTCACACCTCAGGCAGAGGGTCTCTGTGAAGTGTGCTGATGGCCATCACAAGGATGTGGACACCCTCTCATTGCCAGGAAGCCCTCATGACTGGGCTGCTCCCTGGCTCCCTTCATCCTAAGCTGACCTTGACCTTGACCTTGTGCTCCCTCTCAACTCAGGAGTAGTTTCTGAGACACTTTTCTGCCAGTGTAGCTGCCGGGGTCTTGCTCCTGCCTGGCACTGTTGGTTCTTCTGAAGGCTGGGGTCTTGAGGGGTCCTCATGATAGCTCATCTGAGAGGACAGGTGGTTGCCCCAGGTCCCGTGACAAAGCTAGAACCCGAGCCCCTGCCCTCAGTCGGTGCCACAGAGATGATTTTGAACTAGATGCTGACGTGGATGCAGTCTTCCCACAGGCTGTGTTCCCCCCATGGACCCCCGGGACATCTGGCTGTTGGCGGAGGCTGCAAGGGCCTCTGGGGTCTGACTTGGATCTCACCCCAACTCTGCACCCCCCCAGCTGCTGTGTGAGACCGAGGGCCGGGTCCGCGTGGAGACCACCAAGGACCGCAGCATCTTCACGGTCGAGGGGGCAGAGAAGGAAGATGAGGGCGTCTACACGGTCACAGTGAAGAACCCTGTGGGCGAGGACCAGGTCAACCTCACAGTCAAGGTCATCGGTGAGGCCGGCCGGGGTCCAAGCTGGAGAACACAGAGGGGCAGCCCCAAGGAGGGCCCATCCGTTCGCTCATTCAGCCACTCGACAAACATCACGGGCATGCTCCCTGAGCCGAGCGGCAACAGGACAGGTTTTTCTGCCCAAAAGGAGCCCCGCTCTGGGGGAGATGGAGGCAGATGCATCCAGCAGATTTCCTGCGACACTGCTGTACATGAGCCATGTCCAGAGTGCCGTGGGAGCACTGAGCAGAGAGCCATCCCTGTGCCTGGGGGTGATGCCTTTAGGAGGCTGAGAAGATGGTGAGGAAAGGCATCCCAGGCAGAGGAAACTGTGTACAAAGGGGTGGAGGAGGGAAAGGGCCTTTTGGGTGTGGAGAATGAATGAAACATGTCAGGAGAGGACTGGGTGGGGTTGGGAGGATCAGAGCCAGGACAGGGGTGAATATGGGCAGTGAGAAGCCTTAAAGGGTTGACGGAGGGCTGGCGACATGATCAGAAATGCATCCTGTTGAGACCCAGCCTGGACAACACAGTGAGACTCCATATCACTAAAAAAAAAAAAAAAAAAAGGAAAAGAAGAAAGAAATGCATTCTAGAAAGATCTCTTTGGATCTGGGGGTGGTGGGGGCAGCCTGTGGCGGTTAGTTGGAGTGGGAAGGGGACGAGCAACGTTACTCAAGGCCCTGAGCGGGGCAGGGCTGATGTGGGTCCATCCCACCCCATCCAGACGTGCCAGACGCACCTGCGGCCCCCAAGATCAGCAACGTGGGAGAGGACTCCTGCACAGTACAGTGGGAGCCGCCTGCCTACGATGGCGGGCAGCCCATCCTGGGTGAGTGCAAGGGCACCGGATGGAGGTGTGAGGGCGCCAAACAGATCCGAGGGAAGGTGGTGTGGGGATGCCTGGGTTCCAGACCAGAGCTGCCACCTCCCCTGAGCCAGGCTACATCCTGGAGCGCAAGAAGAAGAAGAGCTACCGGTGGATGCGGCTGAACTTCGACCTGATTCAGGAGCTGAGTCATGAAGCGCGGCGCATGATCGAGGGCGTGGTGTACGAGATGCGCGTCTACGCGGTCAACGCCATCGGCATGTCCAGGCCCAGCCCTGCCTCCCAGCCCTTCATGCCTATCGGTGAGCCTGCCTGGCCTGGTCCTGCCCCCCGCCCCCTCCCCAGTTAAAAACCTCCAATAATAGCAGGTGCTCTGCAGGCAGCCATGCTAGACACTCACATCCACAGTCTCCTTTCATCCTCGACTGGGGATACTCAGCCGCATTTTACAGATGAGGAAACAGGCTCCAAGCAGTTAAATGACCTGCTTGAGATCTCCCAGCTGGTTGGGGTGGAGCTGACTCTCACACTACGCCGACCCCTAGTTCACGTTTCAAGCCTCTCTTTCCATGTCTACAAAATGGGAATAATGACACTGCCTATCTCAGAGAGCTGTTAGGATGATATGGGATGACCAGGCAGGCCATCTGGCATCTAACAGGTGCTCAATAAATGTTCATTGTCCCCTGTTCTCCACACCCTTCAACCCAGGGTTTTCACCTATGGGATGGGGCAAGGGCTGTAGTTAGTGGAGGGGTCTCAGGGGCATCTGTCTGTGGAAAGAGTCCTGGACCAAGACTCAGAGATGGCAGAGGCAGCTCCATGGTCCCCGGGGGGCCAACTGGAGTCATCCCTCCCTGAAGCCTCAGCTTCCTCATCTGTATAATGGGGTCTGAGTGGGCAGAACAGGTGTTGAGACTGTGGCAGGGCTCAGGAGGACACCTGTTCCCACTAGGGTGGGTGAGTCCGGGGGCAGCTGCCTGTGGCAAGGGCAGGCCAAGGACCCCTGGGCCCAGGGATGGGGCACAGCTTGGGAAGATGGCAGGAATCGGGGCCTGTGGGGAGAAGGGTCCAGGCCTCTCGTTTTAGGGACTGATTCCTGGTTTGTTCAGTTCTTAGTCAACTCACCTAATCATACGTGCCAGGAAATTCCCATGTTTTCTGTAGTTTTAGTTTTAGTTTTTTTTTTTTTTTTTTTTTTTTGAGATGGAGTCTCGCTCTGTCACCCAGACTGGAGTGCAGTCCTGGCGCGATCTGGGGTCACTGTAACCTTCACCTCCCAGGTTCAAGCAATTCTCCCACCTCAGCCTTCTGAGTAGCTGGGATTACAGGCATCCACCACCATGCCCAGCTAATTTTTGTATTTTTGTAGAGACGGAGTTTCACCATGTTGGCCAGGCTGGTCTTGAACTCCTGACCTCAGGTGATCCTCCCACCTCGGCCTCCCAAAGTGCTGGGATTACAGGCGTGAGCCACCGTGCCTGGCTGCTGTTGCTGTTTGTTTTTAAGCCAATCTACAGACATGTCTTGTAACAGGGACAAAATATTCCTTAAAGTGGCCAAAAGCCAGCTGAACAGGAAGTGCCCCCTATGTGACCAGTGGGCAGTTCAGAGTCTAGGGCATGGATCTCCAGCTTCCCCAGGCTTGCTCAGACCCCTCTCTGACCTCTCCTCTGCCCAGGTCCCCCCAGCGAACCCACCCACCTGGCAGTAGAGGACGTCTCTGACACCACGGTCTCCCTCAAGTGGCGGCCCCCAGAGCGCGTGGGAGCAGGAGGCCTGGATGGCTACAGCGTGGAGTACTGCCCAGAGGGCTGTGAGTGTCCCCGCCCCCAACCCCCCTCCCCAAAGGAAGAACATGCTCACCTTGCCATTGAGCAGATTCACCTGTAGTCAAGTTTTTTAGGCCCACTTTTGCCGAAAGTTGAGGACACCCAGAGAAATATCTGTCCTGTTTTCAGAAGTAAAAAAGCTTGCCTAGTGAAAAACAAATGCAGAGTAAAGCTGACTGTAACACTTCTTTGAGCAGTGCGAAATCAGCAACTACATTTTAAAAACATATTTAAGGCCAGGCGCGATGGCTTACGCCTGTAATCCCAGCACTTTGGGAGGCCAAGGTGGGCGGATCACCTGAGGTCGGGAGTTCGAGACCAGTCTGACCAACGTGGAGAAACCCCGTCTCTACTAAAAATACAAAATTAGCCGGGTGTGGTGGTGGGCACCTGTGATCCCAGCTACGCGGGAGGCTGAGGCAGGAGAATCACTTGAACTCGGGAGGCAGAAGTTGCGGTGAGCCAAGATCATGCCATTGCACTCCAGCCTGGGAGACAAGAGCGAAACTCCATCTCAAAAATAAATAAACAAATAAAAATTTAAAAAAACATATTTAAATCCTGGAGATTCCTATCAGAGGAGTGGGCAGTGGGAGTGGGGTGTCAGTGGTGACACAGCCTGTGGCCTTGCCTCCCCCTCCCCACCCCCAGGCTCAGAGTGGGTGGCTGCCCTGCAGGGGCTGACAGAGCACACATCGATACTGGTGAAGGACCTGCCCACGGGGGCCCGGCTGCTTTTCCGAGTGCGGGCACACAATATGGCAGGGCCTGGAGCCCCTGTTACCACCACGGAGCCGGTGACAGTGCAGGAGATCCTGCGTGAGTGCCCCTTTGTGCAGTCACAAGACCCGCCATTGACACCCCAGGCCCTTGGTGTCCAGTGGAGGTGGGGACAGTTGGGGAGGCCCAGAATGCTCTGCCCAGAACGCTGGGCAGAGACAGGAGGGGTTGGAGCCATCGTCCATGCGCTAGGCCTAGGGAAAAAGTGCAGAGAGGGTGGCCAGGCACAGTGGCTCAAGCCTGTAATCCCAGCACTTTAGGAGGCCAAGGCAGGCAGATCACTTGAGGTCAGGAGTTTGAGACCAGCCTGGCCAACATAGTGAAACCCTGTCTCTACTAAAAATACAAAAACTAGCCAGGTGTGGTGGCGCGTGCCTGTAGTCCCTCAACTACTTGGGAGGCTGAGGCAGAAGAATCGCTTGGACCCGGGAGGTGGCAGTTGCAATGAGCTGAGATCACACTATTGCACTCCAGTCTGGGTGACAGAGTGAGACAACGTCTCAAAAAAAAAAAAAGTGCAGAAAGGGCTCTCTTGGTGTATGTCAGTCCCTTAGTTCTGGAACAGGGAAAGTAAAAGCCACAGTACCCAAGCTCTCTTCCAGGAGTGTCTCAGCTCCAACAGGTAAATATTGTCTATGTAGTCAGATTGGTCCCTCTGGGATCCACTTCCCATTCCTTTGTTCCTTGTCCCAACAAAGGGTCCATCTTTTGTAAGGATTGGTTCTCAAAGCTGGAACGAGGCAGCAAACTCAGGTGGTAACAACACAGGGCATAGGGTGTCAAAGCCCAGGCTTACACCCTGGTCTATGACTTACTAGCTGTGTGACTTCAGTCAAGTTGCTTACCCTCTCTGATCCCTGCCTTTTGAAGTGGTGAGGCTCGGGGAAGCCAGCTGGGCTTGGGCAGCCTGGAGTTGCTGTGTTAGCAGGAGCTAAAGGAGGCGCAGGGCCCAGCAGGCAGCTTTTTTCTTAGCTGCAGCTCTCTGGGCCTTGTCTCAAGGGAGGTTGGAGCTGTGGAGCCCCTCAGAGCTGTGGCGGGCCCTCACTTAGCTACCCACTCTATACCCACAGAACGGCCACGGCTTCAGCTGCCCAGGCACCTGCGCCAGACCATTCAGAAGAAGGTCGGGGAGCCTGTGAACCTTCTCATCCCTTTCCAGGTGGGACTGGCCCCCTTCCCTGTCCCCCAGGGGAGAGAGGCTATAGTGTGTTGTTCCCATCCAGTGGACTGATGTCTCAGGGCTGGCCTGATCTGAGGTACCAGAGGCTGGGGTGGCGGCCGGCCCTTGGAGTGATCCAGGTTCAGGGTTAAGCTTTTCCTCCCCTCAGGGCAAGCCCCGGCCTCAGGTGACCTGGACCAAAGAGGGGCAGCCCCTGGCAGGCGAGGAGGTGAGCATCCGCAACAGCCCCACAGACACCATCCTGTTCATCCGGGCCGCTCGCCGCGTGCATTCAGGCACTTACCAGGTGACGGTGCGCATTGAGAACATGGAGGACAAGGCCACGCTGGTGCTGCAGGTTGTTGGTGCGTGGCCAAGGCCTCCTTGAGCCCCCTTGTTTCCCTTCCCTGGGCTGGGCTGCTGGGGCCAAGGGTGGGGCCAGGGGACCCAACCCACAGCTCACATTTTCCAGTCCACTGCCCCAGCAGGCCTGGCCCTGGTTGGCAGGGGTGGGGTGGTCCCTGGAGCCAGTGACCCCCTGCTCACTGTCAGGAGGCGTGGTGACCCAACTGGGTCTGTCTCCCGCAGACAAGCCAAGTCCTCCCCAGGATCTCCGGGTGACTGACGCCTGGGGTCTTAATGTGGCTCTGGAGTGGAAGCCACCCCAGGATGTCGGCAACACGGAGCTCTGGGGGTACACAGTGCAGAAAGCCGACAAGAAGACCATGGTGAGCCCAGGGTCTGGGGTCCCCACGTGCACCCTGCCTAGGCCCGGCAGACCCAGGCCGCAGCTACCCTTCACTGTCCTCACCGTGGACCCCTCACCCTCCCTCTGCTGATCTGAATCCCTCCATAGTAGGGGTGGAGATGCCAAGGGCACCCAGGAGAGGCTCTCGGCATCAGGAAGGGCCTGGCCCAGAGATGCCTCCCCTCCCTCCCTGCCCCCAGGAGTGGTTCACCGTCTTGGAGCATTACCGCCGCACCCACTGCGTGGTGCCAGAGCTCATCATTGGCAATGGCTACTACTTCCGCGTCTTCAGCCAGAATATGGTTGGCTTTAGTGACAGAGCGGCCACCACCAAGGAGCCCGTCTTTATCCCCAGACCAGGTGCTGTACCCTCATTCTTCCAACCAGGGGCTGGGGCAGGGAGGCTGTGGGAACAGGGAGAGGGGCCTAGCTTTGTGTGGCCCTCT